>NC_000004.12:48099227-48408651 GCF_000001405.40 Homo sapiens | reverse complement strand
AACACAAACATGTTGTACAGCTGTCCAAAAATATTTTCTTTCTTTATATCCTTATTCTACAAGTGTTTTTTAATTTTAAATTTTTATTTATTTCACCTGAATTTTTTTTTTTTTTTTTTTTGCTAAAAACGGACAGAAACACACACATAAGCCTAAGCCTATACAGGGTTAGGATCATCAATATCACTATCTTCCACCTCCACATCTTATCCTATTGGAAGGTCTATGATGTTACTAGGTGATAGAAATTGCCACCATCGTACACGCAATCCACTGTTGACTGAAATGTCGTGTTTTTTTTTTTGTTCGTTTTAGATTTTTTGAGATAGGGTTGTCTTGCTCTGTTGCCCAAGCTGGAAGTGGTGCGATCACACCTCACTGCAGCCTCAACCTCTTGAAACTCAAGCAATCCTCCAACCTCACCCTCCTGAGTGGCTGGGACCACAGGTGCGTGCCACCATGCCTGTCTATTTTATTTTTTCTGATGTAGTCTCACTATGTTGCCCAGGCTGATCTCAAACTCATGGGCTCAAATGATCCTCCTACCTCAGCCGCCCAAAGTGCTGGCATTATAGGCATGAGCTACTGTGCCTGGCCCTGAAACTCTGTTATGCAGCAAATGACTATACTGATACATGCTACAGAATGACGAACTTAGAAAACATTATGCTAAGTAAAAGAAGCCAGTCACAAAAGATCATATATTGTATAATTCCATTTATATCCAATGTCCAACATAGGCAAATCTAGAGACAGAGAGGGTAGATGAGTGGGTGCCAGGGGCTGGAAGAAGTGAGGAATGAGGAGTTCTATTAATAAGTATGGGGTTTCTTATGGGGGTGATAAATATCTTCTAAAATAAGATAGTGGTAATGGTTTCTCCCTCTGTGAATATACTAAAAAACACCAAATAGTACACTTTAAGAAAGGGTAATTTTGAAAGTGGAGTGAGGGAATAAAGGAAAGAAATCTCAGAAAATAAGCAGCCATGTTTCTGAACACTTCCAAATACGAGAGAGAGCTAAGAACCATAAAATTAGTAAGTCTTAAATCAAGCTAAGTGTTTAGAAAAATCAATTTCATGGAAAAATGAGCAATAGAAAAGGACTGAAGTCAAATCACACATAAAGTTATTACAAGAAAAAAAAGAATTTAAATAAGGAGTAGAGTAACTCTTCTACAAGAAGTGAAATCTTACCAGAAATCATGGTAAGAAATCATACACACAAAGATGAAATTATCTATTATTTCACATTTTAAAAACATTTTAATATTGCTACAAGATACGAAAGAATAGCATAAATCGGAGTGACAAACACTCAGAAATGAGCTGATGGAACTCAGGAAGGAATTGGCTATAAAATGAATCATTTTAAGAAGAAGACTAAGGAGAAACATAAGAGTCAATATACACAATACATAATGTAAGAGAAACAGACAATGAAAACAAACTTTTAGAAGAAAAAAAATAATTCGAGAGAAGGCAACAAATATTAGAAACAAGAAACGAACCTCGAACATGCATACAACAGGAGTTCCCACAAAAAAGAAAACCAAAGCAAGAGAACAGAATATAAAAAACTATAATTCAATAAAACTTTTCTGAAAAACAAAGTTTGCTACTCTATAATGAAAGAACATACCCCGAATCTGGGAAAATCAGCTCAGAATGATCAATACTAAGACATATTCTAGTAAATTATTATAAAGAAAAAGAAAATATCTATTGTACATCCAGATAAAAAGACCAAATGATTATAACAGAAACAATTCTTTATTCCTGCAGAAGGTGGAGTAATACATTTAAGTTAAAGAAAAAGTGAGCCAAAGATTTCATATCTAGACAATTACTTTCAAGTATGAAAACAAGAGATAAGTTATCATCAACATGCAAAAATTGAAAGAATGAATACTGTTCTCATAATTCCTTAAGGAATCTATTACAGAATAAGCTTCAGACAAGAAAAATGACTGATGAGACAATGACATATAAACTGGCATTAGGCATCAAACATGTATTTAAACGGAGAGCCTAAACTAAATGAGGTATGTGAAGGAGAAAATAGTATGTAACAGGTATCTGACAATGTGGATATAGCTTAACTTAAAAAAAAAAAAAAAAAAAAGAGAGAGAGAGCATAACCAAAAGTTGTAAAAATTGTTTTCAGTAAACATATTGTATGTTACGCTAATGTTATTCCAAGAACACTTTATGTGAAATATGGGACAAAACAAATTATTATGATATTCTAATTCTATGTGTTGCTAAGAAATAAGATTCTCAGGATGAGAGAATGCTAAAGGAGGTTAAATAATTGCCCACAAGCTCTGCATTTAATATTAAAAAAATATACAAACACAAACCTACACGTTTCCTAGCTCTAGTAACTAAAAAGACCTGGAAACAATGACCAACCCAGTAGCAATAAGTATAGCTAAACACACAGATTTTGGTCTTGAAATACCATTGCCTACCAAAAGCAAGCAGGACTTTTTGGAGAAATGCCTGACTCCAGGTCTCTGGCAAGAAATGTACAAGACCAGCCAATCTTGTCATACCAGTTAGCAAGACGGTATCAAAGACTACTAGAGTTGTGTCAAAAAGACTTGGAATCCAACTTGTAGAGGCTTCCAGCAAAGTTGGAAAAACATCTAGAATGACCTGAAATGTATTAAAAAATACGTTTAAATCTGTAATTTCATAATGAAAAACATTTTTTAAAACTGGCCACCTTTGGAAGGTGCCACGTTGCCATTTTTTAATTTTGTAAACTAGTAAATAAAGGGAAAGAACAAATATTTGGTCTGAATTTCCTAAAGAAACTACCACTGGGTGACCAAATAAGGAAAAAATTCTCTTTATACAGTATTTTGACAAATAAAAAAAGGAACACGGGAATTAAAATTCCCAATTCTGTAATAACTAATGAATTATGAATCTAGGCATTACACATCAATGACTGCTAACATCATGAAAAGAGGAAACCCCACTTTATGCACCTTTGGATAAAGAAGCACTACTACCTATGCAAAAAAAAAAATAGTTTTGCAAAAAATAGCAAAACAATTCAATTAATTGTCTAGATCCAACTATCACTTTATAGAAAATACAAGGGAACTTGCTAAACAAAGCCATGAAAAAGTAATCAGCAAAGTTCAGCCTGTAAGAACCTCTGCAGAACAAATGATCTGGTGGTTTCTTCTAAGAAACAAACAATGAGAGAGAGAGAGAGAGAAAAGAAATGGAAGAAAACGATAAAGTAAGAGAAACTTAAAAAGACATATCAAAAAGGCAAAACTAGTTTCAAAACTTGGATGATAAAACTATACAAAAAAGGAAGTGACTGCTATGAAAGTTCAGAAGAGTAGATACTTTTTGGGGAGGGGTCAAGAGAGGGTTGTGTTTGGAAGCAGACAGGTGGACGATGTCAGAGGTGCCAAGTTCTAGTCTCCTGATATGGATGGTAAGGGCGTTTGCCGTATAAGAATTAATTAAACTGTGCATTGGTTTTCTGATTTCGTGTTTTATTTAAAAATAGCAAAGTTTAAAAACAGATTTATAAACCAGAAATCATTATAAATTTATTAATCCCTAAATTATTAGATAAATGCAACACAGTCTATGAAAGAACAAGTAAAGTCCTACAACATCAAGATATGGAGAGAAATACTTTAACAAAGTTTATGTATAAGTGGAGGGGAAACTAGAGAGGATTTCAAGAGGTATACTAAGCTGCAGTTATACTATTGGAAAAAATGTTTCACGGCAGCAGCATTTTGACTCATTTATAAACATGTGGGCCAGGGAACAATAAAAATATAATGAGGTTGATTGGATACAGGTGACCTTTAAAGAGTTTTGACCTAGGACTTTCTCAGCAAAGGAAATTGACAGCTGTAATCAAGATTTAACTACAGAGAAAGACAAAGGCCTTAGAAAGCCATAAAAACATTATTAAGTCTAAATGTAAAATAAACCCTATAATGTTATCATTCCAAAACTGGCATGAAATGGTCTAACAGGAATGTGTGTTTGGAGGGAACCTCAAGAACAGCCTCCATGCTCTTTCTTCTCTCATTCTCCAAATTTTACATATCAAAATCATAGGAGGGGAAACAACTCCTATCATTTTAATTGTTTCTAAGAAGTCTGTGTATGTCAGAAGCTAGTTTTGAACACAACTGTAAGAGGAGAAAGCAAAGAGGGGCTAGAATAGAGAAGCAAAGAGGAAGGATATAATGAGTGTATCTTGTTTCTGATACAGATTCAATAAATACTTGTCAGCTGATAGAAAAGAGAAGACAATTTTTAATTTTGAATCCTAGGTAATCACAAAATTCTTTCATTCTCCATTTTCAAGTAGTCTAATATCAAAAGGCATTTTAAAATCTAATCATTAGAAATGCAAAAGTCGGAGGGTGGGCCAAGATGGTCAATTGGAAGTAGCAGTGGTCTGCAGCTCTCACAGAGAGGAATGAAAAGAGGAAAGAAAGAGTGAGTTCATTCTGCACCTTGAACTGAGGTATCCAGGTTCTCGCACTGGGACTGACTAGGCGAACAGCTTGACCCCATGGAGAAAGAGGAAAAGAAGCAGGGTGAGGCAATGGCCCACTTGGATGCAGCATGGAGCCAGGAGAGCCCCCATCGCCAGCCAAGAAAGGTGGTGAGTGATTGTGCAACCCTGCCCTGACTTGGGAAACCACGCTTCTCCCACGGATCTTTGCAACCCACAGATCAAGAGATTCCCTCACAAGCCCACGCCACCACAGCCTAGGATCCAAAGCACAAAGCTGTGTGGCGTCTCCGCAGAATGGCCACTCAGGCACTCACGGAGACCCAGTAGTTTTGCATACTCCAGTTCCAGGAATTCATGCAAGGCAGGAGATCCCTCCATGCATTACCCTAGGAAGGGGGCTGAATCCAAGGAACCAGGCAGCAGTGTTCTCTGGGCTCCATTCCCACGGCACCTCACAAGACCTACTGGCTTGGAATTCCAGCCAGCCAGTGGTAGCAGGCTGGAGACTGCCTGACACAGACCGAACTCCTGGGAGGAAGGGTGGCCGCCATCTCTGTGGTTGGAGTCAGCTGTGCTAGCCTGCTGGCTCTGGAAAGTCCAGATGGTCCAGACCAGGAGTTCCCCACAATGCAGCACAGCTGCTGTGCCAGATCGTGGCCAGACTGCTTCTTTAAGTGGGACCCTGATCCATCCCTCCTCACTGGGCAAGGCCTCCCTGTGAGAATTTCAGCAACTCCAGCCAGGGTTATACGAACAGAACTCTGATGATGGAGCCCCTGGAGGAGGAGCGACCGCTGTCTCTGTGGTTCAGCCAACAGCCTTTCCAGCCTGCTGGCTCTGGAGAGTCAGAGCAGTCTGGACAAAAGGGGATCCCCCCAGAGCACCACACCTGCTCCACAAAAGGGCAGCCAGACATCTTCTGTAAGTGGGACCCTGATCCCATTCCTCCCGACTGCCTGAGACCTCCCAACAGGGGTCTCCAGATACCTCATAAAGGAGAGTTCGGGCCAGCATCAGGTCAGTGTCCCCCTGGGACGGAGCTCCCAGAGGAAGGGACAGGCTGCCATCTTTGCTGTTCTGCAGCCTTCACTGGTGATACCTCCAGATGCAGGAGGGACTGAGGTGACTAGGGTCTGGAATGGACCCCCAGAAAACCATAGCAGCCCTATGGAAGAAGGGCCTGACTGTTAAAAACAGAAAGCAACGACAACATCAACAAAAAGGACCGCACAAAAGCCCCATTCAAAGGTCAGCAACCTCAAAGATCAAAGGTAGATAAGCCCACAAAGATGAAAAAGAATCAATGCAAAAACACTGAAAACTCAAAAAGCCAGAATTTGTATTCTCCTCCAAATGACCACATCTCTCCGGCAAGGGCACAGAACTGGGCTGAGGCTGAGACAGCTGAATTGACAGAAGTAGGGTTCTGAACTTTGCTGAGCCCAATGCAAAGAAGCTAAGAATCATGATAAAACAATACCGGAGCTGACAACCAGAATAGCTAGTTTAGAGAGGAACATAACTGACCTGATGGAGCTGAAAAACACAACATGAAAACTTCACAATGCAATAACAAGTATCAACAGCAGAAGAGACCAAGTGGAGGAAAGAATCTCAGAGTCTGAAGACTATTTTCTGAAATAAGACAGGCAGAAAAGAATAGAGAAAAAGGAATGAACAAATGTGGGATTATGTAAAAAGGCCAAACCGATGAATGACTGGGGTACCTGAAAGAGATGGGGAGAACAGAATCAAGTTGGAATGCATACTTCAGGATATCATCCAGGAAAACTTCCCCAACCTAGCAAGACAAGGTCAATAATCAAATTCAGGAAATCCAGAGAACCCTAGTAAGATACTCCGCAAGAAGACCAACCCAAAGACACATAATCATCAGATTCTCCAAGGTCGAAATGAAGGAAAAAAAAAAAAAATTAAGGGCAGCCAGAGACAAAGGCCAGGTCACCTACAAAGGAAAGCCCATCAGACTAACAGAGGACCTCTCAGCATAAACACTACAAAGCCAGAAGAGATTGGGGGGTCAACATTCAACATTCCTTAAGAAAAGAATTTCTAACCCAGAATTTCATATCTGGCTAAACCAAGCTGCATAAGTGAAGGAGAAATAAGATCCTTTTCAGAAAAGCAAATGCTGAGGGAATTCATCACCACCAGGTCTGCCTTGCAAGAGCTCCTGAAGGAAGCACTAAATATGGAAAGGAAAAACCATTACCAGCCACTACAAAAACACACTGAAGTACACAGACCAGTGATCCTGTAAAGTAACCACATAAACAAGTCTGCAAAATAACGAGCTAACATCATGACAGGATCAAATACACACATAACAATATTAACTTTAAATGTAAATGGGCTAAATGCCTCAATTAAAAGACACAGAGTAGCAAGCTGGATAAAGAGTCAAGACCCATGCTGTCTTCAAGCGACCCATCTCACATGCAAAGACACATACAGGCTGAAAATAAAGGGATGAATGAAAATTTGCCAAGCAAATGGAAAACAGAAAAAAGCAGGGGTTGCAATCCTACTTTCTGACAAAACAGACTTTAAACCAACAAAGATCAAAAAAGACAAAGAAGGGCATTACATACGGTAAAGGGTTTTTAATTCAACAAGAAGAGCTAACTATCCTAAGTATATATGTAACCCAATACAGGAGCACCCAGATTCATAAAGCAAGTTCTTAGAGACCTACAAAGAGACTTAGACTCCCACACAATAATAGTGAGAGATTTTAACACCCCTCTGACAATATTAGACAGAACATCGAGACAGAAAATTAACAAAGATATTAGGACCTGAACCCAGCTCTGAATTAAGTGGACCTGATAGATGTCTACAAAACTCCCCAAACAAAAACAACAGAATATACGTTCTTCTGATCACCACACAACACTTACTCTAAAATTGATCATGTAATAGTCCTCAGCAAATGCAAAAGAACTGAAATCATAACAGTCTCTCAGACCACAGCACAATCAAATTAAAACTCAAGATTAAGAAATCCACTCAAAACCACACAACTACATGGAAAGTGAACAACCTGTTCCTGAAAGACTCTTGGGTAAATAATGAAATTAAGGCAAAAATCAAGACTTTCTTTGAAACTAATCAGAACAAAGAGACAACATATTAGAATCTCTAGGATGCAGCTAAGGCAATGTTAAGAGGGAAATTTACGGCACTAAATGCTGACATCACAAAGCTAGAAAGATCTCAAATCAACAACCTAACACGACAACTAAAAGAACTAGAGAACCAAGAGCAAACAAACTCCAAAGCTAGCAGAAGAACTGAAGGAGATAGAGACAAGAAAAACCCTTAAAAAAACAAACAAACAAACAAACGAATTTAGAAGCTTTTTTTTTAATTAATAAAATAGACTACTACCTAGAATAATAAAGAAGAAAAGGGACCAGGCACAGTGGCTCACGCCTGTAATCCCAACATTCTGTGAGGCCAAGGCGGGCGATCACTTGAGGACAGGAGTTCAAGACAAGTGTGGCCAACATAGTGAAACCCCATCTCTACTAAAAATACAAACAAATTAGCTAGGCGTGGTGGCACATGCCTGTAATCCCAGCTATTTGGGTGGCTGAGGCATGAGAACTGTTTGAACCCAGGAAGCAGAGGAGCTTGCAGTGAGCCAAGATTATGCCACTGCACTACAGCCTGGGCGACAGAGCAAGACTCTGTCTCAAAAAAAAAAAAAAAAAAAAAAAAAAGAAGAATCAAACAGACACAATCAGAAATTATAAGGAGAATATCACCAGTGACCCAAGAGAAATACAAACAACCATCAGATAATACTATAAACACCTCTATGTACATAAACTAGAAAATCTAGAAGAAATAGATAAATTCCTGGACACATACACCCTCCCAAGACTGAACCAGGAAGAAACTGAATCCCTGAATAAACCAATAATGAGTTCTGAAATTGAGGAGGTAATAAATAGCCTGCCAATCAATGAAAAGCCCAATACCAGACAGATTCACAGCTGAATTCTACCAGAGGTACAAAGAATGGCTGGTACAATTTCTACTGAAACTATTCCAAACAATTGAAAAGGAGAGACTCCTCTCTAACTCATTTTATGAGGCCAGCAACATCCTGATACCAAAACCTAGCAAAGATACAACAAAAAAGAAAACATCAGGCCAATATCCCTGATGAATGTTGATGCAAAAATCCTCAATATAATACTGGCAAACTGAACCCAGCAGCACATCAAAAAGCTTATCCACCAAGATCCAGTTGGCTTTATCCTCGGGATGCAAGGTTGGTTCAACATACGCAAATCAATAAATGTAATTCATCACATAAACAGAACTAAAGACAAAAACCACATGATTATCTCAATAGACACAGAAAAGGTCTTCAATAAAATTCAACATCCCCTCACGTTAAAAACTCTCAATATACTATGTATTGAAGGAAATACCTCAAAATAAAAAGAGACACATACGACAAACCCACAGCCAATATCATACTGAATGGGCAAAAGCTTGAAACATTCCCTTTGAAAAGCAGCACAAGACCACGATGCTCTCTCCCACCACTCCTATTCAACATAGTTTTGGAAGGTCTGGTCAGGGCAATCAGGTAAGAGAAAAAAATAAAGCGTATTCAAACAGGAAGAGAGGAAGTCAAATTATCTTTGTTTGCAGATGACATTATTCTATATCCAGAAAACCCCATCATTTCAGCTCAAGAGCTTCTTAAGCTCATAAGCAACTTCAGCCAAGTCCCAAGATACAAAATCAATGTGCAAAAATCACTAGCATTCCTATACACCAAAAACAGGCAAGCGGAGGGCCAAATCATGAATGGTCTCCCATTCACAATGCTACAAAAAGAATAAAATACCTAGGAATACAGCTAACAAGGGAAATGAAAGACCTCTTCAAGGAAAACCACAAACCACTGCTTAAGGAAATCAGAGAGGAAACAAACAAATGGAAAAACATTCCATGCTCATGGATAGGAAGAATCAATATCATAATATCATGAAAATGGCCATACTGCCTAAAGTAATTTATGGATTCAATGCTATTCCCATTAAACTACCACTGACATTCTTTACAGAATTAGAAAAAAACTATTTTAAAATTCATATGGAACCAAAAAAGAGCCCCAATAGCCAAGACAATCCTAAGCAAAAAGAACAACGCTGGAAGCATCATGCTACCTGACTTCAAACTATACTACAAGGCTAGAGTTACCAAAACGGCATAGTACTGGTACAAGAACAGACAAATGGACCAATGGAACAGAAGGGAGAACTCAGAAATAAGACTGCACATCTACAGCCATCTGATCTTTGACAAACCTGACAAAAACAAGCAATGGGGAAAGGATTCCCTATTTAATAAATGGTGCTAGGAGAACAGGCTAGCCATATGCAGAAAATTGAAACTAGACCCCTTCCTTACACCTTATAAAAAATTTACTCAAGATGGATTAAAGACTTTAATGTAAAACCCCAAACTATAAAAACCCTAGAAGAAAACCTAGGCAATACTATTCAGGACACAGGCATGGGCAAAGGTTGCATGATGAAAATGCCAAAAGCAATTGCAACAAACGCAAAAACTGACAAATGGGATCTAATTAAACTAAAAAGCTTCTGCACAGCAAAAGAAACTATCATCGGAGTGAACAGGCAACCTACAGAATGGGAGAAAGTTTTTGCAATCTATCCATCTGACAAAGGTCTACTATCCAGAGTCTACAAGGAACTGAAACAAATTTACAAGAAAAAAACAAACAACCCTATTAAAAAGTAGGCAAAGAACATAAACAGACACTTCTCAAAATAAGACATTCATGGGGCCAACAAACATGAAAAAAAGCGCATCATCACTGATCATTAGGGAAATGCAAATCAAAACAACAATGAGATACCATCTCACACCAGTCAGAATGGCAAGAAACAACAGATGCTGGCTGGCGAGGCTGTGGAGAAAAAGGAACACTTAGACTGCTGGTGGGAGTGTAAATTAGTTCAACCACTGTGGAAGACAGCATGGTGATTCCTCAAAGATCTAAAAGCAGAAATACCTTTTGACCCAGCAATCCCATTACTGGGTGTATGTTCAAAGGAATATAAATCATTCTATTATAAAGATGTATGCACGCATGTGTATGTTCATTGCGGCACTATTCACAACAGCAAAGACATGCAATCAACCCAAATACCCATCAATGGCAGACTCGATAAAGAAAATGTGGTACATATACACCATGGAGTACTATGCAGCCATAAGAAAGAAAGAGTTCATGTCCTTTGCAGGGACATAGATGGAGTTGGAAGCCATTATTCTCAATAAACTAATGCAGGAACAGAAAACCAAACACCCCATGTTCTCACAAGTTAGAGCTGAACAGTAAGAGCACATGGACACACTGTGGGGAACAACACACACTGGCGGCTGTCAGGGGCGGCGGGGGAAGGGACAGCATCAGGAAGAATAGCTAATGAATGCTGGGCTTAATACCTAGGTGATAGGTTGATCTGTGCAGCAAACCACCAGGGCACACATTTACCTATGTAACAAACCTGCACATCCTGCACATGTACCCCAAAACTTAAAATAAAAATTGAAGGAAAAACAAAAATCTTATCATTAAGGTCTTCTATAAATACTGTTTATTTCAACGTATCTCAAAATATAGTGAAAAGAGTATTAAACAATTACCATCATTAATTCCTTCTTAGTTGCCTCTTTCCTTCTGTATTTCCTTCTTAGTTGCCTCTTTCCTTCTAAATACAGAAGAGGCAAGAACTTTCATATGTTTGTTGGCCGCATGAATGTCTTCTTTTGAGAAGTGTCTGTTCATGTCCTTTGCCCATTTTTTAATGGGGTGTTTAGAAGGAAAGAGGCAACTAAGAAGGAATTAATATCCTGTTATCTCTGCATTCACTTTGTCTAATTAGTCTTCATTTTTTCCCGCTGGCTTGGTGAGGTCTCTGCCCTATTTACCTCCACTTCACTCAGTGCCCAACAACAGGGAATGAATAAAATCTTTCTCAAAGCAGTTTAAATAGCCACTTCCATGAAGTCTTAAAAATATAGACTGGATTGTTTTCTTCAGAGTGGGATAGGCTGAAGAAACACAAAAAACTTGCAAAAAGAAAATGCAAAGAAGAACGTGTCCATCCTTTTTTGACTTTAGTAGCATGACTATATTCATTCAACAAATATTTATGGAGTGACTGTGCCAAGCAACACAGTTCTTACTTTCCATTTTCAAACACCTGCTACTACTAAATGCAATTAAAATCAAAGTGACTATATTTCCAATTGTTAAGTAATCTTTTTCCTCCTCCCATGATCCTGTCACCCCTACGATATATTAGCTTTCTAGACAATTGTACAGGTTCATCCCCAGGATGGATGAATTGATTTGTGTGCCAATTTATCACCTGTTGGTCCATGTTTCTTTACTGGACACGTTTAATATGCCAAATATACCTGTGAACAGGTGGCCTTTGTCTCCTGTGTGCCTCACAACCCCACAAGAGAAGAGGCTCCTGCCAGTCAATGCAGACCCCTCCCTTTAATGTCTCGATATGAGGGGAAATCAGAAAATCCAT
Source organism: Homo sapiens (assembly GCF_000001405.40). Lineage (NCBI taxonomy): Eukaryota > Metazoa > Chordata > Mammalia > Primates > Hominidae > Homo > Homo sapiens. The sequence continues at coordinate 48,396,512 of NC_000004.12, read as the reverse complement.
TTTGGCCTTGGATCCAAAAGATATTCTCCATCTCAGCTTCATCAATTATTAAGCTAATATTTTAAATCTTACCTTATATCTGTGTCCATTTCTCAACTGGTTAAAAATTTACAGAGAAGAGGTAGGTAATGATAATGCCCACGTCACAATACTAATCAGAAAATATAGAAGTCTGGATCAATTTAAATAAGTAAGGGATTAAACAAAACAGAATAGCACACCCCCTGCCCCTCCTCCCCCTTCTTTACCTTTACTAAGTCAACAAGACAGCTAGAGATGCCAAGAATTCCAGTTCATAACAGTTCCAAGTTTGGGCTTTCCTGTTATCTTATCAGAGAGGATAGGTAGTTTGGTAGCTTGGAGTGATAAAAATAATGTAACCCCTATAGGCAAATTTTAAAAATTCAGCTAGAAGTTATGGTTTTCTTAACCTGATCAACACAGCAACATGAAATCTTTAGGTAAAAATTTTAAGTTATGTAAACCTACTTAATTCCAAAAAACATTATGAAACAGCTTACAGAGGCAAACAACAAAATTTATATAAACTTAAAATCTTCTACTCTTTTATTATGGTATAGTGATCTCCTGCCCTAGTTTAGATACCACAGTGTTTTCAGGTTCATGTTTTTATATGCCTCCTACCCCTAGCCATGGAAGTACTAAAAAATATTGAAAAGTCTCAAAAAAAAAAAAAAAAAAGCCTAAGGTTCCCAAATAAGTCCACAAAAACCCCTTTCTATAATAACCCCTATTAAGTCACCTCCTTTCCCATCAAACATAATCTATCCAGTCTATTACTAACATACCTGACCATGGCACCAAAAAACATTCATATTGGAGGCCCATGGTCAACTTCTGATATTCAAAATACAAACATTCATACATTCTGCTTTTTTATTTGCCTATTTGACTTACCTTCAAATCCTATTATCTAAAACTATTTCCTTAAATTATACTCAATCCAAGAAATCAGTGCAAAAACATTTGCAGTAATAAATTTGCCAAAACTTCTATTATAGCACTTTTGTAAACGTAACCAAATTTTTTCTTTTCCTTTTTTTTTTCAAAAAAAATCTAATTTCTTCTTCCTGCGTAATTTTCTTTAGTGCTTTATCTCTGTTACATATTTTGGTTGTTTAGTGAGATCTAAAGCTATCAGAAAACCTACATGTTCTGGATAGGAAAAATACTTTTCCTCTTTGTTTCATACCATTTCCTTTGAGGCCTCTGTTTGTTTTTATTACTGTTGGTCTATCCAATCCCACTGTTTTCTCTTAATTCTACTTCCATCTAGCTGCCCATACATTCAGTGTCTTGGAACCAATATTGGACAGCTTTGATGTCCGACCTTCATATATTTCTTCAACTATTATTATGAAAGCTACCACTCCATAAACATTCCAGACCTATCAATCAACCACAACTTGTGATTTAACTTCAACTACCTTCTAATGTGGAAGTGTTCCCATTTTACACAGGTAAGTAAAAGTAAAAATTGAAGTCTGAGGAAAAAACATCAACATACAGAATGTCTGACATTTGGTTCATTTTAAAGCACTTATGAAGTTCAGTTGGCAAAAAGTTGAAATGATGCCCTTTCATTTTAAGTGGGTAAGAAAAATATATTCTCTATATATCATTTACTCCTTTCAGAAAAGCAACCCAATACATACCTCTGTAGAAAATGTTTCTTCTGGATTTATCCAAATAACAGAATAAATCCTCATTATTTTATTATTCTTTAAAATAAGACTAAAATGTGCCTTACAGACACCACTGACTCAGTATGCCAAATGGCTTAAGATTTAACTAGATCATTTGCTGAAATTTTAAACTGAGTAAGAGGCTGTAGTTACCTCTTTTTGTAGATGAAGTTTGAAGCAACTGTTTGGCTTTGAGGGAAGTGCGAGGCAAATTTTTCAGCCTTTGCGAAGCTGTTGAAAAATAAGGAACTGTAATATTTGCCTGGAAGTACAAGACAAAGGCTACAGCGTCTGTAAACTTGAATGTTTTAATACAAACTTAAAAATGTATCAAAGAACAGAAGCCATAAGGTGCAAATATGTTAGAATCCTAGAAGCAAAAGAATTTTAAAGTGATGCTTAGTGCATTAAGTTGGAAAGAAAAGGGGATAGAACATAAACTTTAAAAAAGAGTTTCTTACAGGTGAGAAAATCTCCAATATGTCTATTGGTCAAAATATCAAAGAGAAAACAAACCACCACAAACATGCTAGGGATACAAAGAATACAAAGAAAAAAGTGATGAACACAAGCACACAGTATGAAGTGCAGCACTTGTTCAACGCAAAAAAAGCAGATTTTGGCAAAGCGGTTATTGTTAGATGAATTGCCCTAATGTGAAACCATAATCTGCATACTCAAAAAGGAGAAGAAAACTCAGAACCCAGCAGGTCCTTGGCGAGTCACAATCTAGTAACTTTAATATGTTCAATATCATCTTGTAGAGTACAACTAATTTTTTACCTCAGACTTTGGATATCTAAGCTGTGCACATACGTATGCAAGTGGGGAGCATGCTATGTAATGCTGGTGTGGGTTGAGGGGTTTGGAGGAGTCAGACCATCTCTACCTTTTAAAGTTTTCCATGAGGAAAGCTAAGCTTTTTTCCAAACTCCTAATCTATTAACTGCACTGAAACTCAAAATTAACAGGTAAGCAGCAGCTCAGGGCCATCCAAGATAAAAGTGGTTCCAATTTCCCCAATATACAGTTACTATGGCTCTGACAGACTGATGACTCTCACACCTACCAGTGTATTTAAGCAGCTCTAAAATATTTTAGTTACTCTGCTGATTTGAAAGTCAGACTTCATATACCTTTAGTGTTTATGTGCAAAAAAAGAGAGCTCTTGTCACTCTAAACCTAGCTAGGCTGCATAAATGTTATTGGGCTGATAAAGGGATACTTGATATATTATCAGAAAGAATTAAGATTTCTTGGCCAAGTGAGGTGGTTCATGCCTATAATCCCAGCACTTACAGGCCTTTGGGAGGCCAGGGCAGGAAGATTTGCTTGAGCCCAGGAGTTTGAGATCAGCCTGGGCAGCACAGGGAGACTCTGTCTACACACACACACACACACACACACACACACACACACAAGCCAGACATGGTGGTGTGTCTGTGGTCCCAGCTATTCAGGAGGCTGAGGTGGGAGGAGTGCTTGAGCCCAGGAGGTTATGGCTGCAGTGAGCTGTGACTGCACCACTGCACTCCATTCAGCATAGTCGATGAAGCAAGGCTCTGCCTTAATTTTTGTATTAATTTTTGTATTTTTAGTAGAGACGGGGTTTCACCATATTGGCCAGGCTGGTCTGGAACTCTTGACCTCAAGTGATCTGCCCGCCTTGGCATCCCGAAGTGCTGGAATTACATGCGTGAGCCACTGCACCCGGCCAATGGGTTATCTTACTTCTATTGCACAAAAATACAGGTTACTATCAGAGTATTTTTCATCTACATATATATTCATACATGTTTTCAACCATTTATATTTTTATTCATCTACTCACTTGTTCCTGTTTTTTTCATTCATTCAAATAGTTTATTATCTGCTTTATTCCAGGTACTGTTTTAGGTATAATGTATCCAGTAGGCAACTAGATGGCTACAGTCCCCACTCTCATGAAACTAATATTCTAGGAAAGGGGAGACAGACAATGAGGCAGTAAAATATATGGCCTGCCAGATAGTGATAGCTGCTAAAGAGAAAATTAAGTAGAAAAGAGGGACAGGAAGTAGGCGATTTAAGTTGCAATTATAAATAGAGTGATCAGGAAAGATTTCCCTAAGATGACATTTGCATAGAAATCTGAAAAAAGATAGGAAGTAAGCTATGTAGATATGTGGGGAAAGCATTCCAGATAGAGGGAAAAGCAATTGAAAAAGATACTGAGATAGGACCATGCCTGATATGTTTGAAGAACAGAACGTAGGCCAGTTGTTGGGTGGAATAAATGAGGGTAAAGGTAACCAATTGAACATACACTACAGTCCACATCACAGTCCACACTGTTAACCATTAAAAAAAAGTTTAATAAGGATTCAATATTAAATAACGTCTATAATGAACTCGTCTGGAAGGATCCTATTTGAATTAATAGCTGTGGCGACTCCAATGGACCCCACCCCTATTTATCCCTCAAGTTTCACATGTGATTGTAATAACAACAGTTATCTACAGACAAGCAAAAACTGTGAACTGGGAAATCTGAAGAATCAGATTACACACAGAATCAGGCAGTAAACTCTAAATTCACCTGATACAGAAAGAATGAAATGAACGATTTTCCTAAAATACCACAGTCATATAATGTTACTCAAATAACAAAAATCCAATGTTATTCTGAATTATCTTAATTTGATTAGTTTTCTAAGACAAAATCACTTTTAAATGACAAAGTGTAGTAGTTTAAGTGAAACTCTGAATCTTTCTAATAATAGAGTTCAGTGTGTTGGCTGTTCGAAAATATTTATGGTTTAAAACTTTCTTTGGTTATTTTAATATTTAGATAATTCCACTTCAGCAATACCTTACTGTGAGAAGCAAAGATGCTAGTGCAAAACAATTATTGTTTCATGCTACCAGTATAATGTCTTCCTCCACAAACCAGCTCCTTTAAAAATCTCTTTTCTGTTAAAACACCATTTTCCAAGTCATTCTAGCTCAAATTTTTCTTACTTTAAATTCCATTTATTAATCTCTGGTCATTTCTTAAATCTATCGCTTCCTTTACATTCCTGTTGTCTCCTAAATAACCAAATTCAGGCCTTCATCACACCCTATTTCTGGAATTCCAATCAGTGTTTTTTGTGGTCTCCCTATAGTTAATCCTTTTCACTCTGCTCATGTACATCAAGGGAAGGGTGGTGAAAGTGCTGCTCACCTCCCCAAGAGTAGGCAATAAGTGGGTGTATTGTCTGTAGGCAATTTGGAAACAAAAATAAAACCAAGTTGGTCGGCTTTCTATTATCATCATGCCCCAGCAATAATAAACATCAGTTATAAAAGCACTCCTCCCTGAAAAATAGTTGGTCTAAGCTATAAACAACTGTTGAGTTTTAATAACACACATGTAAGCTTTAAGTAAGCACATTTTATGACTTATACTTTAATAAATACCGCACTTCATGTAAGACTTAATTAGGAAAGCTCCCAGTTACAGTCTTCTACTTAAAGTCTCCCCTGATACAGGTGGATTCCACTACACATGTTCCTTTCAAGAGAAAGTTGGTAGCAATCTGAAATTATTCAAGCTCACTTCAGCGAAATGTGTGCCTCCAACCCTGTGGTACAATATATTATTATATTTAAGCATATTAGAAATAAACAACAATGGTACAGTGATTTTTAAAGTCAATGAAAGGATTTGGAGTTGCCTCAATTCTGTCATTATATGCGATTTTGAGCTTGTGTTTAAAATATTTTAACTGCGAAGACACTGAAAAATCATTAGACTTGATCCTTCAAAAACAAAGGCAAGGAAAGTATGGCAATTTCTGGAATTTACTGGAGGATGGAATTTTAAGAATCTCTGCTGAACTTATCCTTATGCTGAAGATTTTCTCTGTGTAGCAGTTGCTTCATGAAAAAAACTTTCAAAATTAAAATTTAAAGATAGTGTTCTTCCATCAAGTAAGAGTAGACAGATTGATAAATCTGGCTATGATGTACTAAGCCCCAATATCGAAAGATCAATTCTGAAGAAGCTATTGATAAGTTTTCAAAAACGAAAGCTATACTATTCACCACTGTGACAGATCAATATATAAAAACATTTTTCCTTTTTAAAAAAATGATCAATGTAACTTCAAATTATTAACCCATTGTCTATTTTTGTATTATAATGTTGATTTTATTATTTATTTTTTACTGACAGTTATAAAATACAATTTCAATAGAAGAATATTTTCACTGTCTGCATTTTTTTCCTGGCCATTAGTACTATAACTAGTTTCATGATAATTGAAAATGATTTTTTCATATATAAGAGGATGTTAAAAATTAGCTTCTCTAGGTGCTAAATACTAAGTAAGCACAGCCTCTGTGAGTGAAGATTAATTACTGCTAGGTAAAATACCCCATTGTCCCATAACCTCATTTTTGTTTAAATCTTTTATTTCTTAGAAGTTTTGATTTAGAGTCATTTGGGAGGCCGAGGCGGGAGGATCACTTAAGATGAGGAGTTCAAGACCAGCCTAGCCAACATGGTGAAACTCCATCTCTACTAAAAATACAAAAAATTAGCCAGGCATGGTGGTGCGTGCCTGTAATCCCACCTACTAAGAGGGAGGCTGAGGCAGGGGAATTGCTGGAACCTGGGAGGTGGAGGTTGCAGTAAGCTGTGATCACGCCACCGCCGCTCCAGCCTGGGAGACAGAGTCTCAGGAAAAAAAAAAAAAAGAAAAAGAAAAAAAGAAAACAAAATTCATCCAGATCTCATCACCCTCACTCCCTCACTGCTGTGTCTTCAGATCTTAATTTCTTGCCTAGATTATGCAATAATAGCCTAAGTGGTTTCTAGTCTCACCTCACTGAATCTTTTCTCCACACTGATATCAGAGTGAACTTCCTAAGAAACCACCTTGATTAAAAGCCAAATATGGCTCCTCCCACTTACAGGATGAAATTCAAACTCCTATGATATTTTAAAACTCCTACAGCCTGTCCTGTCTCTATAGCTATCATCCCCTCATGGGATGCTGTACCCGCTCCCTTACCCATCATACACCCTACACTTTAGTTATACAAAACCACTATACTCAGGCTGCCATTCTCAAGACTTTTCATTACTGATCCCACTGTTGGGAAAACCTATATCTCCTTTCTTTGTTGGGCAACTCATATAAGCTCCTTCTGAGCTGGCTGAGATATCTTTTAATATCTTTCCTGAAAATCCCTTCACACTGCTGAATTTAATGCCTCTCCTCTGTTCCCACAGAGGTTCCTGTCTAACTCTCCCTGCTACTGGAAGGCGTGGGCTGTCTTAACATTTATATTCCCAATGCTGGAAATATAACATATACCCAATAATATCTACTGAATAATTAAGGAACACATAAGTGACTGACCACTGGATAAAATCCAGAACTCTATACTAAGCATTCAAGGTCCACCAAAGTCAGGGTTTAACCCACTGGTTCTCAAACTTGAACGTGCTCCAGAATCAACTGAGATGCTTCTAAAATACACAATCTGGGTCCCTATCCCAAGGGCATTCAATCAAAATTTCCAGCGGTAAAGGCCAGAAAAACTACCTTTATAAAGTGTCCTTGTGATTAGATAACTGAGCCAACATCACTGTACTACTTAAATAGATGTTCTATAAATGTTTCATTCATTCTTAGATTAGCACATTACACATATTAATCATGACTTATTTATTTCAATTTGTGTTTCAAAATTATGTATATTTCAAGTGTAATCTACTAGTGTTTTGGTAGTAAGTGAAATCTGGATGGGAATTCCTTCCTCACTGGTCTCATAACAGGATGGCTATGCATAAGCTGACAACTGCCCTGGACAGTCGTCCTTCTCTCTTCAGTAAGAGGTCCAAGTACAATGTTGATGCTATATGCATTTTCTCTGGGGTATACTCTGTATTCCATGCAAAAATATTCTTTTGTTTGGCTAAATGTAAGCAAATGGATAATATCTCACTAAATTATTTTACTCGTCTGTGGTAATTCACAAAATACTTACAGTTAATCTCAAATCATGGTCTGACAGTCATTCAAGAATGTTTTCCAAGATGCACTCATTTGTAATTAGGTCAGCATGATCTCATCCAAACAATGAGGAAGAGGAAAATAGGAGACTCAGGGAGGAGCTGGGAAGAGGGAGAAATCTGGCCTTGCTTTTACCACTTCCCTAGTTATATGGCCTTGTACAATTCATTTAATTTATATGGATCTCTGTTCCCTTTCTATAAAAATAAATGATTTCTGATGTTTAAATGAAATAATACACTTAAACATTTACAAACAAATAAAATTTGGGTATCATTTTTTAAATCAGTAGATTGTGTTGGGTTTTTCTCCCTTCCCTTATTTCTCAACCAATTATTCCTATGACTTTCTGGAAACTAAACTTTCTGCTAAACCTGTGCTTTAACAGTCTTAGAAAGCAAGGCATTAGCCTTTTGAAAAACTCTCTCACGAACATTCCTTCCTTTAATTGATGAAACTAAGAAATTGACATGTATCCATGACCTCTGCAATGCTCTGGTTTTCTTAAACTTTTTAAGTTATATTTTCCAAATATAAAAGTCAAAAATTGGTAATAGTTATAAAAATGAAGATACATTAGAACTCTCATAAATCTCATATTTCAATGCCAGCATCCACAATAATGCAGCCACAGCAAATAAGCATATAAAAATAGTGATTGGCATAGTAACAAGGCAAAAGAAGTGATCCCTTAGGTGGAAGTAACAGCAACCTTGCAAAGTTAGGTTCATGCAGACCAGCAAGTAAGAACCAAAGCTTTACCACTTAAGAGCTGAAAAAATAAATACTTAAAACAAAATGCAACATCTGTTACACTAACAACTGAAGTTTACACAAAAAATACAAAATACCAATTCATGTATAAAGTATATAAAGCTTATTATAATAATTGTACAAATTATATAAAGACTATTATGAAAACTATGTATACTAATTTAAAAAATGCTTACATATATATTTTCATGTATCAAATATATATGAAATTTCAAGATAAATTGGTAACACTTTTTTTGCTTCATGTTAACTTTCAACAAAGTTTTAAACATTTTAAAGTAAACTTTACTAAGTTTTAAACTTGCTAATATTTTGAATTTCCTACTTTCCAAATACATTTTTGAGAACAGTATAATTCTATACCAAAATAAATATGTGACATTTTAATTATAAGCTTTACTACAGCTACAAATATAAACAAGTACATACAATTGGAAAAAAAAAAACATGGTACCTTACTTTCTCTTCTGCCTACATATTCAAGTACTGAAATACACCATTATGAAATTGCATACATACTTTCCACTTAAAAGTAAATCAATGATTGGAATCCCATTGTGTTTTCCCTATATATATTCCTTAATTATCAACTTCTGGGAAAAAAAGGAAAAGTAATTCACCTACAGAAAAAAAATTATAGGGTATCAGCAGGTGATTATAATTACAAAATGGTAATTCTACCACTAGAGAAGGCAAGCAATCATTGTGAAGTTTAAGACACAGACAATGCATTATTTCTATTAACATTTTTATCCTAGGTTCCCAACCTTTTGTTTTTTCTTCTGTTTTTGTGAAGAATTATTTTTCATTTCCATAAAGCTTTGACATGCTAGAATAGTTCAAATACAGAGCATGTATGAGGGGACGAGGTAGAGGATATAGATATAGCTAGTTTTAGAAAGTATCTGGGATGCTGTTTGGACATGTATCATGTAAACTTTTGAGAAATCCAGAATGTAACAGTTCAAACTAAATATGAAAGCATCTTTGAAAGCCAAGTACAAACATTGTTTTGGATCATCTGTTCACATGCTGTAAAAGCATGGCTTATAATATACATAAGTTTTATTATTTAACCTTCTTAATGATTTACTATTTTTCTTTCCTGTTACATTAACATTGTGGGTGGTTTTTTTTGCATCAGCCAAATGTGTCAGGGGAAAAAAGAAGCCAGAAACAGGATATTCTCAAGTGTCAAATTAATCTGTATCACTCACGATTTCAAAGATAAAGCTCAAATTCTATCCTTCCTTTCAAGTGTTTTGTGAATTCCTGTTTTCTATACTATTTATTAGTACTACAGTGAGTATTATAATGGCACTCTCAGTTACAGAGTTCACAATAAGACTTGGAGTACTAAGTTTAAAATGTAATTTGCTATAAAAACAGGTTTTAGCATATATCTAGCTGAATAAATGTGGTTTACAAATCTCTGGGTACCAATTTTCTACAGTGCTTTAAACGTTAGAATTTTAAATCTTAGGAAAAATGGAAATTATATTTCTGGATAAGTTTTATATCATGGTCTAAACCATAGATGTGACAACTCTCACTAGGTGAATTTGGACTCTCACCTATTGAGATCCAGTGCTCAAGATGAATCAACATGGGTTTAAATTCTAACTTGCCGCTTATAAGCTGTATAATCAGAGATAGGTTATTTGGCCATTCAAAGCTTCAATTTCTAATCTGTAAAATGTGGTAATAATCGTACCTCCTTCATAGAATTGTTCTAAGGATTAAATAAGATTATGCATCTAAATACAGTATAATATAAATTTGTTATATAAGTAATATCATATGCACCTTGTAAATAAGGAAAATTTGTCAATATATCACAGAAGTCATTTTGATTCAAATATAGTTTTTTCGTAGCTTTTTTTTTTTTTTTTTTTCTTTCAATAGACTGGAGTGCAGCAGCATGATCATGGCTCACAGCAGCTTCAAACTCCTGGGCTCAAGCAATCCTCCCACCTCAGCCTCTTAAGTAGCTGGGACTATAGGCATGTGACCATCATGCCTGGGTAATTAAAAAAAAAAAAACATTTTTTTAGAGACGAGGTCTTGTGTTGCTCAGGCTGGTCTCAAACTCCTGCTAGCCTGTTGATTTTTGAGCCACTAAGTAACAACAGCTTAACATGAAGTATATGAAGTCAGCTAAACACAACAGGGCCAAGGAAAAGTGTGAAGAAATTAAATTAGCTGGGCATGGTGGTGCACGCCTGTGGTCCCAGCTACGCAGGAGGATCACTTGAGCCCAGGAAGGTGAGGCCGCAGTGAGCCATGATTGTGCCACTGCACTCCAGCCTGGTGACAGAGTGAAACCCTGACTCAATCAAAAAAAAAAGAAAAAAAAAGATGAAAATGAAAAAAGGGTTAAATATCTTCAAATTTTTAACTGCTTAATAAACAAGTTATAAGTGAACAGTCAACAAACTCGTTTGTATCACTTCTTCATAGCCTTGAGAAAATGAAAGAATATAACACAGCTACCACTTCAACCACTGATAGTAATATGCCACAAGGATCTGAGACAATATGCATCCATTGTGTACCTACAAGGATCTGAGTGAATAAGCATCCCTTGTGTCCCTACAAGGACCCCAGTGAATATGCACCCTTTGTGTCTCAGAGCTCATATACGGGACTGATGTGAGCTGTGAAACACATGGGATGAATACTGAGCGTTCATAAGATCATAAAAATAACTGTAATCATTTATTTAAAACCGTTTTGACTACACGCTCAAATCTATCCTAGCTAAAAAGTAATTTTTTGAAATTCCTTTAAAATCAACTTGTACATTAATATACACAATGCCCATTTACTCCAACATCACTACTTCTTGGCTCAGTTTGGCTATTTTGTCCTAGATGATCTTACTGTATGATTCTCTCTGATCTTCGTCTATGCTGCATATGTTTCCTTAATTCAACAGTCTCAACCTTTCCTTTCCATCACATTACCTTCAAATCTTTCTTTAAAAATGAAGTTCTATATCTCCTGGAGTATTTAATAAAGATTTAACATGAATTTAACTGTGCTAGTATCATTATTGTTTTTATTAATGCTTTCTAAGAAAGTTGCTTGGGTTTTCAGTGGTCTGTTCCAGGACTATTCCCTCCACTCCTCATCATCCTATCATTTTTATTGTGTAATACTGCAGAATGTGAGGTTTTTAAGGAGTGCATATTTTGTGCTATAGTAGAAATGCCTGTATTGATTTAACATACTACTTGCCACAAAATAAAAACTCAAGTATCTATTACAAATAATAGTTGAATACAAATACTGTCACATTCATGGGTTAGTAACCACCCAATGACCAAAACTTATTAAAAATTATAATCTACATGTGTTCTTTCTACTATACTTCTAAAATTCACCTTCTCTGTTTAAGAGTTTAGCTTTAACTCTAAGAATTTGTTTTCTGAAAGATAATTTAAAGAGACAAGTCCTGATCAATTCTTAAAAAGTGATGGTTTCTGGCAATTTATCTCAAATTTTAATCTATAAGTAGGATTAGGACTATGAATTAATTTGGCATACATATTGATTCAATATTGTATTTTTTCATTAAAATAGCCTTAACAAACACAGAAAATCAAATCAAAACCAGAAATCTTATCTCAACAGATGCAGAAATAAAATGAGATCATCCAAGAGTTCTCCTGGTATACTTTTGTTTTGGAAAGAAAAGAACTTCAACAATTCAACTTTGATAACAGATTTAATATATTGCAGGTTTGAACAATGGATTATTTTGAGTATGATTCTAAAATTATGTAATAATCAAACTTTTAGGTATTTTTAAAGTGGAGGTTATTAAAGAAAATTTACGTACTAAGGGACATATATTTTTGGATGCTCTACTGGTTTTTATTTCTAATTCTAGTATCTATAAGCAAAAGCTACACCTACTTTTTTAATAGTTACATTTTGCTTATTTTAAAATTCTGGAGAGACCAGAGTTTTGTATAGACAGATGTACTGGCAGAATCAAGTATCCTACATAGAAAATTTTAAATTGTAATATAACTTTGATTATCATCCAGCAACTAATAAACACTAAATTTTACTATAGCTATGGTTTAAAACGGTTTTTCAGCATAAAAAACGGTTTTTCAGCATAAAACAAATATCTAAAATTTTCACTTCTCTTTAAATAACTGATACATGAAAGCATAAGAAGGATACTTACTGGCTGAAGCCTGAGGTTGCATACGAGGTATTCCTCCGTTTGGCACTTGAAAATTTGAGTCACTTCTGCTGCTTTTCACTGAGTCAACTTGTGTATTAGATGTTCGGGACAGGTTTGGAAGACTGCGTCTTAGTTTTTCTGCAACAGAATTTTAATTTTAAAAAAATCATATTCTTTCAGATGGAGAAAATTAAAATATTAACTAGCATTCAAAAATCAAATTGTTTATCAAACATTCTGTTTATTTTAGATGAGAAAATACAAAGGACTTGTCTTATTAAAAAAAACAAACAACTCGATCTAGGATCTGTTAAGTGGGTAGAATAAGAGAACACTTAAAGATAACCACAAATTTTATATTTAAAGCAAAATCTAAATACAGGTAACTTCATAAAACAATAAAGCAAAAACAACATAACCAAGTAAAATGAAATTCACTTTCTCTTTTATTTTTGTAATGATTCACTATTAATAAAATAGTAAACCTGACTACACTCTTGATTTACTTATCTGAAATACAAAAACTTAGCAAAAATTGTATTACTTTCATAGTGAAATATAAAGGACACTTTTTCTCTTTTTTTAATCTAGAAACTTTTTTTTTTTTTTTTTTTTTGAAAACAGGATCCTGCTCTGTTGCCCAGACTGGAGTGTAATGGTGTGATCACAGCTCACTGTAGCTTTGAACTCCTGGGCTCAACCAATCCTCCAGCCTCAGCCTCTCAAGTCACTAGGACTATAGATGTGCACCACCATGCCCAGCTAATTTTGAAAATTTTTTTCCTAGAGACGGGGTCTTGCTATGTTACACAGGCTAGCAGAAACTGTCTAATTATTAGTAAAATCTGCTATTTTACCTTCATTTTTAACATTGCTTGTCTGTAAATCTGTGGGATGGCCTTGAAGTGAAAGGCGAGGTTGCTGTAAGCGGCTAATCATAGGCTGTGGGGACACTCTACTATATTCTATTCCCCGAGCAGGAGATCGTGAACGAGGTGAATTTCTGGGTGACTGCTTAGGTGACGGTCGAGGTGAATTGCGTGGTGATGGTGAAAACCTGTTAACAGCAGGGTATACTGCATGATGCATATTGTCATCTTCATCATCTAAACTTTGTGCATCAAGTTCCTGATCACTAAAAGTACCCCGTCTTGTAGAATTGCAAGATGAACCAGAACTGCGCCGAGACGTGGTGGCTGCATATTCTTGCCGGAGACCTGGCAACAATGAATGTTATTTATTTAAACAATATTTTTAAACATTTAAATAATTTTAAAATTTAAAGTAAAAGATTATCACTGAAAAATTCAAAGAGGGTGTAAAGTGTAAAAGAAAACTCCCTTTCTGCTTTTAGACTTATATAGGCTTATATGTCCATATAAGGAGGCATAAATCACATCTGAAGGTTATTTTTAAATTGAATGAAATCCCATAAACCACTGCCCAATTTCCAGATTTCTTCTTAAAGCTGAAATCTGTCTCACATGGTAGAATCATAAATTTAAAAATATTTCTACCCCTAAAGACAGTAATCCAAATTTGAGACTAATATTAAAGGAATATTGAGGGGAAACAATTACCATCCAACCAGTGGAAAAAGAATACGTATGTGAGTAAATAAAACTTCTTGGATACTTAATTACTGAAATAATCTTACTCATGAAGATGATAAAGTACCAAAGAAACTTCTAACCCACTTATAGGAATTCAGTACTTGGGCACAAACGAAATCTTGATTGCTTCACTACCCAAGAGACTTCCATTTTTATTGTTTTAAGCTTGTTTTCAAGCTTAAATTCTAAGTCTTCAAGTAAGAATTTTCAAAGAATTCTCCTATATAGCTTGATACCTTCGAAAACACCCAAGCAACCTTGGGAGCCCTTCAAATAGTACAGATGCTTCTAGAACAACAGAAAAAAAAGTTGATACGTAACATAGTCAATGAAGAAACAAACTGCAATGCAAACGTATAGAATTTAGGTAATATTCTGAGCACAACCTGCTAACTATTAGCACTCCAGTCAAAAAGATCTGTTATAAAGTGGTATTCAAATCCTAAAGTCATGTATTCACACACAGAAAGTGCTATCAACACGGTTCATCAAACCAGTGGATGAGAATCACCCTAGGGTATCTTTAAAACTATAAATTCCTGGAGTCCACTTAGCCCTTCAGTTAGTCGGGGAACCAAAATAGTAACCAACAAGTTACTTAGTGTCTAGTTATAGCCAACATGGCACTAAAGTCACCTAACAAAAGACAACAGACCAATGAAAAGAGCACTGTTGGATCACTATAGGAGCTTGCATTTCTCATCTTAAAAACGAATGACCTTGACCAGGTGACTGCCCAAATCTGTAGTTCTACATTTCTAATCATTACAAAACACAATGTTGTAAAAAGGAAAATCATCTCTAAGACAAAAAAAAAGCTGTAGTTTTCAAGAAGTATCACATATATTTTTATTACTATTTTTACTCATCAGGAAAATAAATATTCATGCATGTGGATGGCTTAGAAAAAATTATTAAAGTAAGACTAAAATTTCTATTGTTACCAAAACACAATACAAAACCAAAAGCAAAGAGCTGGTTGAGCTTCTAACAAAATACTAGGATCTAAAAAGCCAGGGTTCAAAGAAATGAGAGAACTTGTTCTAAAGTACAGAGTTAGGCAGCATTCTTTATTTTTTCACATCCACAACAATAACCACCCCCTAACCAGCTGACAATACCACAGTCTCACTGAGGAGTTAATTAAAATTACAGAAGAAAAAGAGTACTCTGCTATTAGGTTGCAGGGCTAAATAAAGCAAGCACTAAGTCCTTCTATCTTCCTAGGGGAAGCTATATGGAAATGGGAAGTGAATCAGCAGAATAAGAAACACTTTAGTTTCTTAATAAATGCTACAGCTTGATAAAGCCTACTACATATTTAAAGAGAACCTATTACATACACAGACAACAGAAAGTTTTTGAACTAAACCGTAGCAATGCTCCATTAACCTCAGCCACCTGTCAAGACTTGTCAACATATGTATTTCAAGGATTCTTTTCATTGTAAAGGTTGAAGAGATTGCTTTAGAGAGATTTCTTACTTCATAGTTATGCAGATGGCATCTTCTAATGAAATGCACTGGCAAGAATAAGTACCTTCAGATGAGTACCAGGGCAAGTAGCCATGAACCCTTTAAAAAGTATTAAAAATTTTGTGCATATGTACACTTTGATGATAAAAGGATTCTCAAAGGTATCTGTGGCCTAAAAAGTTTTCATCATTCACTCTGCAAAGCACCATCACATGCTTCATTTAATTTAATGTCACAATTCCAATGTTCTCCTAAAGGTCTTTTTTACAGTTTACACCATGTATTCTCAAGTGAGGAGATATTCATTCCCAAGAGGGCAAAAACTGGTTCTTGGGGTGTGAAAAAATTCCTAGATGTCATAATTGTATATGGCCCTCATAGTACTTAAACATATATAGAGTATATCTTGTGGTAT
Organism: Homo sapiens; assembly: GCF_000001405.40. Lineage (NCBI taxonomy): Eukaryota > Metazoa > Chordata > Mammalia > Primates > Hominidae > Homo > Homo sapiens. The sequence continues at coordinate 48,380,281 of NC_000004.12, read as the reverse complement.
TAAGATTTCATGGGGAGTGTGGGAGAAAAGGAAAAGAAGTTTTTAACAAGGCTCCTTAGGGGAGCAACCGAAAAGAAAAAAATTGAGAAACGCTGGTTTACACTAAAACACAAAGGGTAATAGACTAACAATTACAAGAGTTAAGTGCTAGTGCAGAGTAACATGCAGGGTATAAAAACCAGTCATAGAAGCAGAGCAGCATAAATGCTGTTCTTTGTCCCTCACACAGCATAACTGCTCTATGTAAAAATGGACTCTGAAAACAAGTTGATGAATAAACATGTACATATGTTGACTAAGTCTCTGAAATGTCCACTGCAACATTTCTACTTTCACTACATTACTACCCCCACAATACTTTAAGACATATTTAATATACAACAAAATTATGCAATAGTAAAAAACCTCAACTCTTAACAATTAGAATACTTACTTTCTTCCTGCATCCGGGCTAGAATCTGTACATCAGTTACATCATTTAGCTTATAATTGGATCCAATTGAATCTTCATCTAATTCTGAAGCACTTAACTCACTATCTATAGAGGACTGAGGACTGAGTGGAGGATTTCTGTCTGAGCTTTTCAAGTTACCTTAAAAAAAAAAAAAGAAAAAAATTCAAACTCTGGTAAAGCAACTATTGAATAAATGCCTACTGCAACTAACTTGATATTATACCCTTTGATTTAATTCATTCTTGTTCTGCCTTTTCTGCTTAAAAAATTCCCTGAAATTAGAAATTGACCTCATTAAGAAAAATGAGGGCTACTGAGACTCCTTTATATGCTATGGCATAAACATATTTTCATCTAAGTATAACTTATCTATTCTCTTATGTAACAATTCAGCTTTCAGCACAGTGCCTGGCAAGTAATTGGTGTTCAATAAGTATATGTTAAGGATTTCAACTTGCACAAGATAGCCAATGAAACTGCTCTATAAATAGATGAGTTTATGATGTAGTGTTTTCTTCTCCCGAATTCACAGTCATTGACAAACACCATCATCTTTTCCCTCATTTTTCTAAATGAGAAAACTATAATTTGAATAAAATTAGATTCCTTAGAGATTTTAGGAACAAAGACCATGAGGCTTGTTTCTCCTACATTATGCCATGTTTAAAGTACTTTATCATTCTAAACCAAAAGGAAGACAGAAAACAGGCCAGAGGAATAAAGAATACACACATCCAAAAAAGTCTAACTTGTTTCTAATGAAATATTTTCATCAGATCGTCAACTTTTACTAAATAATGAAATCCCAACACTGTCACTAATATTTCTATTACAGATTTATCTGAAACACTTGTTTTCCAGAATTCTTCACCATAACAGTCAGCTCCAACATGAAAAGCATGTAAGGAGAGCAAGAAGAGTACAAAATAATTAATCTTTATACTATTAATGAAAAAAGAGCAGAGTGCACATGATAGGAAAAGTACTACAAGGTCAGGCTCAAATAATGCCTGAACGAAATTACCTATTTTAAACAAATATTGCAGCTTAAACTTTTTAACATGGTATCATCATAGGTGAAGTAAGTAGCAAGTAACAACCTATATACTACACAAAGAATAGGATCATTAGACTAGGGAGTGCACAGGTCAAAATTTGAGGTGGTTAACCTTAATTTTTAAGGAAGTTATAATAATCAGTCATAACAACAGCTTCAGCGACAATAAGAGTAAATAAATGGGTGAATTGTGAATTCGTGAAGAGTAAGCTACACAATAACAGTCTCAGAGCAGAACATTCTTTCCCTGGTTTATAGCAATCTGGCTTTCCCACATCATTTACTGCCCCCTCACTCTGCTGGTACATTCACCTCTAACCTCATACTATTATTTAGCTGCAGTATCAAAGTTTATTAAAATTCCTATAAAGAGGTTTTAACTCTGTAGTTTTTACAACCCAAGTAGGCTGTTCAATAAGGATCTATTGATTAAAAGAATCACATTTGTAACCCATTTAATTAAGCCAGACTTACAAACTTTTAGGTACTTGCTAAAGAAAATTTTATGTATTTAGCACACTGGCTTATGTTTATACCCCTGGTGCCTAATATAGTACCTGGTGCTAAGTTGCTCCTCAACGATATTTTCTTTAACCAGTTAAAAGTTTCATAAATAAAATGAACTCGAACTGCAGATGAATGTTATTTTCTGATACAGTGCAGTAAGCTAAAAAACATTCCTTAATAGCTCCATATCATTTTCTCCTTACCTGAATTTCCAGGAAGTATAAGCTGTTTGACTATAGGAGGTCGCACTGGGGTTGAGGATGGAGAATTGAAGCCACTGCTGTATGGGCTACTGGCATTTGGACTGTAAGGACTGGTGTAACTCATAGAGTTGAAAGGATTATTATATAAATTCTGCCTCTTGAGAGCTGCATTAATGAGAAGGGGAAAATCAAATTTAACAACTGAGAAAAAGTTAACGTTTCATTTCTGAAGTTTTCCTATTAGAAAACTAAATCATTATCTCAATTTAAATGAAGAAATATTCTTATGGTAGTGGGGGAAAAAATATAATAATCCCAACAAATTGTTTCTATTATCTTAAACTGTGTATGCAAATAAAACAGTAGCCACATCAAACAACAAAAATAATGCAGGAAGAGTAACTCCTAAACAGATTATTGGCCACTTAATTCACTTCTACTATGTTGGAAAGTTTATTCTTTGATACTTGCTGTATCAATCCTGAGTGACCTTTAAAAATAAATGGAATATAAAAGCATACTTATGTTTTCTCATTTTTCTGTAACAAATGTATTACTTTTTATTTTAAAAAATATTCTTTGGGCCAGGCACGGTGGCTCATGCCTGTAATCCCAGCACTTTGGGAGGCTGAGGTGGGCTGATCACTTGAGGTCAGGAGTTCGAGACCAGCTTGGCCAACATGGTGAAACCCTGTCTCTACTTAAAAAAAAAAAAAAAAAAAAATTAGCCAGGCATGGTGGTGCATGCTACTTGGGAGGCTGAGGCAGGAAAATCACTTGAACCCGGGAGGCAGAGGTTGCAGTGAGCAGAGATCGTGCCACTGCACTCCAGCCTGGGCGACAGAGTGAGACTCGTCTCGAAAAAATATATATATATTTTTTTGTAGAGATGTGGTCTCACCATGTTGCCCAGACTGGTCTCAAACTCCTGGTGTCAAGTGATCCTCCTATCTTGGCCTCCTAAAGTGCTGGGATTACAGGGGTGAGACACTGCACTCAACCTATTACTTTTTCTAAAAGCTATGAAATAAGTTGTTTAAATCGCCTTTTCAAAGTTTGGATTTTTTTTTTAAAGCAATACCGACTATTATTAAGCCAGTTTAAGGTCAAGACATGGGAAATCCTTAAAAAAAAAAAAAAAAAAAAAGTCGGCCGGGCGCGGTGGCTCACGCTTGTAATCCCAGCACTTTGGGAGGCCGAGGCGGGCGGATCACGAGGTCAGGAGCTCGAGACCACGGTGAAACCCCGTCTCTACTAAAAAATACAAAAAATTAGCCAGGTGTGGTGGCGGGCGCCTGTAGTCCCAGCTACTCGGAGAGGCTGAGGCAGGAGAATGGCGTGAACCCGGGAGGCGGGGCTTGCAGTGAGCCGATATCGAGCCACTGCACTCCAGCCTGGGTGACAGAGCGAGACTCCGTCTCAAAAAAAAAAAAAAAAAAAAGTCAACCTGAATACTTCTGTCAAAAAAAGAAAAAAAAAATGTGCTATGCATGTAAAATTAAATAAATAGTACAACAGTAGGACTAAGATATCAAATGCATATATTTAAAAAATTAACACTTAAAATACTATTTCTTCCTTCAATCTTTTTTTTTTTTTTTTTTCTCTGAGACAAAGTTTTGCTGTCACCCAGGCTGGAGTGCAGTGGCGTGATTTCGGCTCACTGTAACTTCTGCCTCTTGGGCTCAAACGATTCTTGTGCCTCAGCCTCCCAAATAGCTGGGAATACAGGCATGTGCCACCACGCCTGGCTAATTTTTTGTATTTTTAGTAGAGACAAGGTTTTGCCATGTCTCCCAGGCTGGTTTCGAAATCCTGAGCTCAGATGATCCGCCTGCCTTGGCCTCCCAAAGTGCTAGGATTACAGGCGTGAGTCACCGTGCCCAGCCCCTTCCTTCATATTCTAATATCCACAGCTTATTCAATATTTATGAGCACTGGCAAGAGCACTTTATAGAATATATACAAGAAACAGGATATGGTGCTCTCTCTCTTAAGAGGCTTGCAGCCAAGTACCACAGGCAGAGTCAACAAACATTGCAAGGCAAAATGAAATGAGTACTATCATAAAGGTGCAAAGGGCAATGGAAAGGAAGAGTTAGGAGTAATTCATTACAACTGAGAGAAACTGGGTAAGGCTTTTTGGAAGGAGAGGCATTGAAGCAGTCTTGAGAGGATGAGTAGTAACTTGACAGGATGGGGAAAGTATGTGCTTTACTCAGTATTTATAAGATGAACAAAAGCAGTGTCTCGGAAATGCAGAGCATGCTCAGGTAAGTGTGATAAAGCACAGGGCAGGGACAAAACAGATAAAACCAGCTGGAGCCAGGTCATGGAAGGCCTGAGACACTACGCTCAGAAGTCTGAAACCTAGTTAGTAGGTTTCTAAACCTATTTAGTAGGCCACTAAGCCTATTTAGTAGCAGTGATAAAACTATCTGTGATTTTGATCAAGCATATGATATGATCTGATCAGTGTAAGGAGAAAAAATGACAGAAATCTTGATGTTTAATAAGTTAGACTGAACTAGGTAGTACACGGTGACTAGAAAAAAGGAAAAAAAAGAAAAAAAGGATAGATATTAAAAACTGGAAAGGATTGTTAAAGAAAAGAAATCAGCTGAATGAAATGTCTGGTTTGCCTACTGGTAGTAGTGGTTTTGGGGAGGAGGAACATATGTTTTCTGTTTAGTTAGACAGTGCAGTAATTTGGACCATGTAGTTTTGTACATATTCACCATGAGACAAGATGCAAGATAAAACAATATTTTATATATATTTAGTATGCAGTATGTGGCATGATCTTGGAACTATCAACCTGTGCAGAAATACAGTTGCTAAATTCTACCTTTTTCCTCCTCCTCCATCTCCTCTGGAGTTTATTCTCTTTTACTTAGTTATTAATCACTAGCATTCCAAGTTCTAAGCCTTTTTATCTTCTCAGTCTATGCCATATTCTTTCTCCTAAGGAATCTCAATCATACATCAATTATTATCTATATGCTAAACATTCCTCATTATTTAAATTTCTAGTCTTAAGTTTTCCTCTGAGCTTCAGACCTATATACACCACCCATTTAATGTCTCTCCCCTTGGGTATGGCAAATGTATCTAAGTCAACATATAAGATCAACTCATGATCTTCGCACTAACATCTAATTCTCTTCCAAGGGTCCCTCTTCCAGAATGATCCCAATATTCATCTTGTCGCAGAAGCTGGCAACTTAGAAATCACTACTGATATTCTTGTCCACCATTTCCTCATATTTGGTTCATTCCCTTTTATTACCATATCTACTATGCTTTCCATTCAGCATACATGGCCTAGCTATCATTATCAACCCTCTTCAAAGGCATCCTACATTCACTCTTGCCCCTTTCCAACCTACTTTCCATACTACTACTAGAATAACCTTTCCAAAATAAAATTGATGACGTCCTTCCTGTCCACATACACTACACCCTTGCAGAAAACCCTTCGATATTTTTCTAGTGCTCTTAAAAGTCCACAATTGGCCGGGTGCCAGTTGCAGTGGCTCACACCTTTAATCCTAGCACTTTGGGAGGCCAAGGCAGGTGGATCACTTGAGCTCAGGAGTTCAAAACCAGCCTGGCCAACATCGTGAAACCTCGTCTCTAGTAAAAATACAAAAAAAATTAGCTGGGTCTGGTGGCAGGCACCTGTAATCCCAGCTACTCAGGAGGCTAAGGCAGAAGAATCGCTTGAACCCGGGAGGCAGAGGTTGCAGTGAGCCAAGATCGCACCACTGCACTCCAGCCTGGGCAACAGAGCAAGACTCCGTCTCCAAAAAAAGAAAAAGAATAAAGTCCACAATCTTTAACATGGCCTATAAGGTTTTACAGAGTCTGGTTCCTATGTATCTTTCTGGCCTTATCTCACATCTCTCCTTTCCTTACTCTTCTCCAGCAACTTCTTCGTATATGTCATGCTTCATCCCACATGGAGCCTTTGCACATGCCTTTCTTTTTATCTGGAATGCTCTACTCCATCTCCTTTTTCTGAGATGGAGTTTCACTCTTGCTGCCCAGGCTGGAGAGCAATGGCACGATCTTGGCTCACCACAACCTCCACCACCGGGGTTTAAGCGATTCTCCTGCCTCAGCCTCCCGAGTAGCTGGGATTACAGGCATGTGCCACCACACCATTAATTTTGTATTTTTAGTAGAGACAGGGTTTCTCCATGTTGGTCAGGCTGGTCTCGAACTCCCAACCTCAGGTGATCCGCCCACCTTGGCCTCCCAAAGTGCTGGGATTACAGGTGTAAGCCACTGCGCCCGGCCACATCTCTTTCTTAGCACACTTAAGTTGTTCTGAATCTTAAGGTTTCAGGTCAAACATCATTTCCTAAGGGAAAATTCCTATTTCTCAAAGCACTATACCTTTATTCCTTTATTATATATATATACCACTAAAAAAATTATTTGTAGTATGTTTCCCCTACTAGATGATAAACTCCATTAAGTGCCAGTACAGTGTTCATTTTTCTTTATAATGTACCCCACCTCCACCCTTTTCCCAAAGCCTGATACTTAACAGGTTTGCATTAAAAATTATTTGAATATATGCATGAATGAATGTGATTCAACAGAGGTGATACTAGACACCATATAAACAGATGAAAACACCAAAACAGGGAGAGACATGAGGCAAAAGAGAGATCTGGGGCAACCTAAACCTAAAACAGGCAGAGAGGAAGCAAAGGGAATGGGAAGTTATTGGTTAACACGGGTACAGAATTTCAGTATGGGATGATGAAAAAGTTTAGTATAGGATGATTAAAAGCTCTTTTCACCTGGATATGATAGTGACAGTTGCACAGTAACGTGAATGTACTTAATGCCACAGGACTGTACATTTTTAAAGGGTGAAAATGGATAATTTTGTATTATATAATTTTATGACAATTTTTAAAAGATGGGTAGAAAAGGAAGAATCTTCAATGAAGACTGAAAAGAAAAGAGCAGGGAGGGTAAATGAGGGTTAAAAAGACAATACACTGTCAAAAAAAACAAGTGAAGAAAATTTTAGGAACGAGTGATAGTGCGCTGCAGCGAACCTGAGTGTGAAGGAGTAATAACTGTTCTGCTGCAATACAGCACTTAAGTTCCTAGGAAGCTCTGCCTTACCAAAAAAGTGTATTTAAAAAAAAAACAATCTCCTTGGGAAATGGGGGATTTACAACTACAAAGTTCAAACTTGTAAAAGCCAAAATTTTTCCTTAAAAGATTTTAAATATATATTTCAAATATACATTGTATTTATAGCTGTAGCTATTGTTCTATGAATACAGCTATAAAATTTAAACAATGTTAAACAGATGCAGTACTTAATTACACCTAGTTATGGTTCAAGAGTAACTGCCTCTCTTACACACTCCTAATATCCTCCTTGCAATAAAGCAAAGAGCCACTCACTCAAAATTGCTATTTTTGAGGTGCAGCAGCTTTACTTTTACCCAAGTCCAGGTTGCTAGTCACCAATTGCTAATAATTCATACTCCTTAGGACGTTTTAAACCAGGGGTTGGTAAAATATAGCCTTCAGGCCAAATCTAGTCCACTACCTGTTACATTAAGTAGTTTTACTGGAACACAGCCATGCCCACTCATTTATGTATTGTCTATGGCTGCTTGCATGCTACAAGAGCAAAGTTGAGTAACTGCAACAGAGATCTTACAGGCAACAAAGACTAAAATTGTTTATTATCTGGCTTTTTGCAGAAAAAGTTTGCCAGAGTTTTATTTATTTGTTTACTGTCTGACTCCTCTTATAAGAATATAAGCTCCAAGAAGTAAGCCATTTTTTGGTCTATTATATTCACTGCCATAACTTCAGTGTTGAGAACAATGCCTATTATAGCAGATTCTCAATACATGCTGTTCAATGATGAAAATTCCTAATTAAATTGTAAATTATATTATTTCTAAGGTGGGGTACTGAAAAACAGTTTCTAGGGATATATATGTGTGTGTGTGTATATATATATATGTATATATGTATATGTATATATATGTGTATATATGTATATGTGTGTGTGTGTGTGTGCGCGCGTGTGTGTGTGTGTGTGTATATACTTTTTGTTTGTTTTGTTTTGTTTTGGCAACAGGGTCTTGCTCTGTCACCCAAGCCGGAGTGCGGTGGTGCAAACATGGCTCACTGCAACAACTTCCTGGGCTCAAGGGATCCTCCTGCCCCAGTCTCCCGACTAGCTGGGACCACAGGCGCACACCATGCCTGGCTATTTTTATTTTTTTATTTTTTGTAGAGGTGGGGTCTCACTATGTTGCCTAGGCTGCTTCTGAACTCCTGGACTCAAGTGATCCTCCCAATCAGCTGGGATTACAGGTGTGAGCCACTCTACCTAGCCCTCTAGGAATATTCTTTTTTCTTTCAATCATGCTCCTTCTATAGGAATATTCTCAATATATAGTCAGAAAATTTCCATACTTAATGTTCTGTGGCATTAAGTACATTAATGCCAGAAATTGGTCAGAAAATGTCCAGCTATTTAAAATGGTCTACTAGCTTGTCTACATATTTCTAATAATCTCTTATGAATATAACTTACATCAAGCTTCAGGGTATAATTCAAACAAATAAGCTGATAGTCATACTAAACATTTAAAAAATCACATAAAGGCTATTGCTTTTTCAAAAGTGCTTCTTTGGCCAGGCATGGTGGCTCACGCCTGTAATCCCAGCAGATTGGGAGGCTGAGGCGGGCAGATCACCTGAGGTCGGGAGTTCAAGACCAGCCTGGCTAACACGGTAAAATCCCATCTCTACAAAAAATACAAAAATTAGCCAGGAGTGGTGGTGGGCACCTTAGTCCCAGCTACTCGGGAGGCTGAGGCTGCAGTGAGCCAAGATCACACCACTGCACTCCAGCCTGGGCAACAGAGTGAGACTCCATATCAAAAAAAAAAAAAACAAAACAAAAAACAAAAAACAAAAACAAAAGGGCTTCTTTTCATAGAGGAAAAGTAATACTTTAGTGTCAAAACTGACCCAGATTCAGAACCTCTGTAATAACATCCCGTAAGTTATTTGCATGTAACAACCACTACCCCTTATCACCAAATAAACTTCATTTTATGTATGCCACTTTAACTGTCCCCTCTGCTTCCTGTGACCATTTTCAGCTTAAACTCTAACCACAAAGCACATACTGTTTTCTATAATAAAGCCAAAATAAGTAATTTTAAGTACATGGCTGCCAAGTAAATAAAAACCAGAAAAACAACAACAAAACTAATCATGCATCCATCTTTTACTATCTGAATATTTCATAAAACAGACTGAGAGAAATACAAGAAGAAATGAACAATATTTTTCCTACATTTCTGCCCACACTGGCATGCTACATTAAATGTTATAAACAGCCACAGACACATTTTGTCAGCTTTGTGAATGCTATTAAACAAAAGAGCATAAAAGCAATTTAAACCTAAAATGTCAAGTAGTTTTACATAACAAGGGAAATGAATACATTTACTCAGCACTTACTGTTAGCCAGAAAACATGCTAGGCTCTTTCACATAACACTTAACCCTGAAAATTACCTTTCAAGGTTCATCATTCTTATGAGACAACTGAGCTCACACAAGTCAAATAATGCAGTGACAGAGCAATTAAGGGCTAGAGTGAGAACAAGGTCTCTGTAGCTCTCCACTTGTATCTTTCTACCACACCAGTTTCCCCAAAGAGTGGAATGTGAGAGGATTTTATACAATACCAGACATTTTATATTTTAATAGTTATTTAACTTGTATTAGAAAAAAGCTTATCATACGAAATTCATTATTTCATGGATATTATTCTTTAGGATGAGGCTAAATAAAAACAAGATTTTTTTAAAAAGCTATTAAGTAAATGATAGAACAGGGTTATGTGAACATGGGAAAAACTCTCATGATGATATGAACAATGAGATTTGAAAAATGCTCCAAAGAATTGCTTCCTAAAAACACAATGCTCAATATTTATGGTTTTTGACTAAAGAAAGCAAAGAGATGAATTTACAAGCAAAATTATAGACATACCTGACATAGTTTGATCAAGTTTGTGGATAAGAGATTTTTTAGCACACTCAACATCAGGACTTGGGTAATCCAAAACTTGCCTGCACCAAACTAATGGACTAACCGATTTCTGCATTGGTGTAAGTTTTTTCTTTGGTGATGAATACAGCCTAGAAGAAGACAACAAAAAACAGAAAATTCCTTATTAAGCACAAGGTTATATAAAACAGGGATCCTTTTGGATCGATTTAAATAGGGGAGAAGGGAGTAAAAGTCATGGAGTATATTTTAAATCACCCACATTTACTTACTGCACAGGAAGAAAATTATAGTAAAACAATCAATATAAATCCAAATTCCAAGTACTAAGTGAACCCAAATGAGGTATTCCTAAAGTAGGTGTTTTACTAAGACTATGAGAAAATACCTGTATTTCCAACAGTTTATTCTGTTTTCAACACTACTTGACTAACTCCCTAATATAGCCAGATTATTAAATCTACTTAGGAAGCAGAAGAAGGAGCTAAATTCTTTGCTCTCCACCTATTTCCCTTCCCACGACATACACAAACATCTACCATTAGTGATTCATTCCTTTTAGTTAAGCAGTATCCAATTTGTAGTCCTCTTTTCAAACGACAATGTGTTGGAGAAAAGCAATACTTTAACCCTAAATAACTAAATGTGAATCAATTACTAAATTGCTTCAGTTTCAGAAAAGGACCAAGAGACAGTATTTTATAAGCTAACAGGGAAAGTATACAGAAAGGAAAAGTTGAGCAGAAGATAAGGAAGTGTGTACATAAATTTTCTACTTCATGTTTCTCAGATTAATCCAGATTATGTCAGTTACTATTAATTTATTTCAAGTGTCACTCCATATGAAAAATGCAAATAGCTATTGATTTCTAACCAGGGTGATTTTCAAATAAGACACTTTAAATGGAATTTATGAAGCAAACAAAATTAGGCTTCGATACTGTATATCTAGTGAAAGGTTTCAATAAGGAGTCAATAATCTCATTTACATTAATCAAGTTAGTGTAATAACATGAAGTGTTGTTTCACTGTAAACATTTAAATAAAGATGTATCTACAGAACTACAATAGACAAACTACTTTTAGTGGCAACAGTACCTTTTCCATCACTTGTCTCTTTTCCCCATCTATAACTTAGGTCTGTCTCTCATATGCATTATTTAGTTTTGATCAAGATCATCAAGGCTAAATAATGGGGTAGATGACCATTTCTTTAGTCTACAATCCAAATTCATTTGGACAAAAATAGTGAAATAAAATCTCAATTTATGGAATAACTATCAATTCAAAATGAAATCAATGGGGTTCATTCTCTTTCCAATTTAAATACTGCAAAGATTCCTTAAGAAAAATCTCTACCTCAGCAATTACACTTTAAAAATTGTGGTAAATATTACATACTGATATCCTATGTCAGCAAATGTTTAGCAAGGTAAACCTCTATAGATGAATAATAACAATAATAAAACCATTTTATGATATTATCACTACTCTTTCAATATATATATTTTTCCTACACTGACTGGTTTTACATAATTTACCCACATGGCTCACATGTACTACATACATAGTTACCCTACTGCTGGCTATGAAACTCCTTTTTAAAAAGTGCAAAGCAGGGCCGGGTGCAGTGGCTTATGCCTGTAATCCCAGCACTTTGGGAGGCCAAGGCAGGTGGATCACCTGAGGTCAGGAGTTCAAGACCAGCCTGGCCAACATCTCTACTAAAAATACAAACCCCATCTCTACTAAAAATACAAAAAATTAGCCAGGTGTGGTGGCGGGCACCCGTAATTCCAGCTACTCGGGAGGCTGAGGCACAAGAACTGCTTGAACCTGGGAGGTGGAGGTTGCAGTGAGCCAAGATCACAATCACACCACTGCAGTCCAGCCTGGGCAACAGAGCAACACTGTCAAAAAAAAAAAAAGCCTCAAAAACACTACGTTCAGTGAATGCATACTGACACATAAGAATCCATTTATATGAAATGTCTAGAAAAGCATATGGAGCAGAAAAGAGATTTGTGGTTGCCTAGGGCTGGAGGTAGGAATGGGAATGAGGTTTCTTTTTAGGGTGATATAGATGTTCTAAAATTATATGATAGTGATAATTATGGTAATGGTTTGATCATTGTAAATACACTAAATTCACTAACATATAACGACTTTTATGGTATGTTGATTATAAGCTATGAATAAATTTTATGGTATATAAATTATATCTTGATAAAGCTGTTTTTAAAAAGTTGCAAAGTGCTTTGGCATCTTCAAAAATACAGAAACTACTACAAACTAAATGAATACAACAATAATTCAAAACCAACTAAAACATCACAACTGCCCCCCCACCCCCAAATCCCTCATTTCTTTCCTGTTAATAGCATTATAATTCTTTCAGTTATAAAGACTAAAAATTTGTAATTTAGGATTGCTCCATCTTATTTTCTACCCTTATCAATAATCTGTCACCAAGACTTGCTGAGCCTACCTTTATAAACTATTTTTTTCTCCCATTCCTGTACTTGCTCCCTTAATTGGGAATACAGAATGCTCCTTCCTTCCATTAGCAGATTAAAGCAACTTGTCCACACTTATTCATAGTGATGAAAAGGGAGACAATGATTCAGTAAGCCCTGGGTACACCAACTTTCTATATCACTCTATCCTCTTATTTCAGTGTCCCTATGTATTACTACCTGAAGTCTAGAAACAAAGGGCGTTGGCCCGTATGATATTGGCACAAAATTCCTTGGTCAGGTAACCTTTGGTTGAGGTTTCAAAGTACATACTTCTAAACCTGCCAGAGGACACATGAGCTGAGCTGTACCACATAACTGAATTCACCTTTAGCAGGACAGAGTTGTTTAAGTCTCTCAATTTAAAAGGAAATCCTAAGTAAACTCTCATTACAAATAAACCTATTTGTAATAACAATACATATCATATTCTTTGCTCATTTCTTACAAACACATGGACTTGTTCAAAATATTTTTCCCACTAAAGACATTTTTTTCATTTTGACACTTTAGAATTTCTTAAATCATAGAATATGATTTAATCAAGAGGGACACAATTCTGATGAACACAGCAAGTTTATTTACAGTTAATGCAACCTAAAACAGGTTGAGATTTAACAAGTTTTTACTTGCTTAAAAAAACAAACATTACTTCATTATCCTATTACTACTAAAATTAAGTCATGGAGGCCCAATGGGGAGCTCAGCCTCCAACGTGGCAAAACAAGGAACTGGGACATCCTATTCAAATGCAGATAGACTGGATTAAAAAATAAGACACAACGAAACGTTGTCTACAAAAGAAACATCTTAGATTCAAATTCATAAATAGGTTGAAAGTAAAAGAATGGGAAAAAATAAGACCATGAAAAAGTAACTACAAAAACTGGAGTGGCAATTATTAGACAATAGACTTTAAGATATAAAAGATTACTAGAAACAAAAAAATTACTGGAAACTAAAAGGAAGATATAACATTATAAATTTAAACATACCTAACAACAGTAATAGAACTGAAAAGAAAAACAATTCAGAAATTTTGTTTTGGGGTTTCAATAGCCGACTCTTAATAACTGAAAAAAGAACTACATGGACAATCAGAAAAAATACAGAAGACTTCAGCAACATTATCAACCAACTTTACTTAACCATTTATGGGACACTCCATCCAACAGTAACAGAAAACACACTCTTTTTAACTGCACATGGAACATTCTCTGGGACAGACCATGGGCTAGGACATAAAACAAGTCTTACTGAATTTTTAAAAACTGAAATTATTTAATGTATGGTTTCTGACCACAGTGGAATTAAATTAGAAATCAGCAACAGAAAGCAATGTAGTAAATTCCAAATATTTGGAAATTAAACAACATACTTACAAATAACAAAGGTCAAACAATGTATCACAAGGGAAATCAGAAACTACTGTGAACTGAATAAAAACAAAAATACAACATACCAATATTATGTGATGACGCTAAAAAAGTGCTTAGAGAAAAATTTGTAATTTCAAACACTTACATTAGGAAAGAAAAGAGGTCTAAAATCAATAATCTAAGCTTGAAAAATTAGAACAAGAGCAAATTAAACCCAAAGTAGGCTGGGTGCGGTGGCTCACGCCTGTAATCCCAGTACTTTGGGAGGCCGAGGCTGGTGGATCACCTGAGGTCAGGAGTTCAAGATCAGCCTGGCCAACGTGGCAAAACCCCATCTCTACCAAAAAATACAAAAATTAGCGGAGTGTGGTGGCAGGCACCTGTAATCCCAGCTACTCGGGAGACTGAGGCAGGCAGAATTGTTTGAACCCGGGAGGTGGAGGTTGCAGTGAGCCAAGATCCCGCCACTGCACTCCACCCTGGGCAACAGAGCGAGATTCCATCTCAAAAAAATAAAAATAAATAAATAAATAAACCCAAAGTAGCCAGAAGGAAATTATAAAGATTAAAGTAGAAATCAGTGAAATAGAAAACAGAAAAGTATAGGGGGAAAAAGTGCTTTTTTTTTTTTTTTTTTTTTGAGATGGAGTCTTGCTCTGTTGCGATCTCGGCTCACTGCAACCTCCACTTCCCAGGTTCAAGCTGTTCTCCCTCAGCCTCCCGAGTAGCTAGGATTACAGGTGCCCGCCACCACGCCCAACTAGTTTTTTGTATTTTTAGTAGAGACGGAGTTTCACCATGTTGGCCAGGCTGGTCACAAACTCCTGACTTCAAGTGATTCGTCTGCCTCAGCCTCCCAAAGTACTGGGATTACAGGCATGAGCCACTGCACCAGGCCAATTTTTTTTTAAAGACAGAAAAAGGATAAATTTTTAAGTGAGACTGACCTAGGAAAAAAGAAAATATAACTTACCAAAAACAAAAGAGAGGACATCACCACAAACACTACTGTGATTAAAAGGAATATAAGCGAATATTATGAACAACCTAATGCTAATAAAATAGATAAAACAGATTAATTCCTAGGAAACAAATTACCAAAAAAACTCTAAAAACTCAAGAAAGAGAACCTGAATAGACTTATAAAAGAGACTGAATTAGAAATTTAAAAACCAGCTCTCCCTCTCCCTCCCCCTCCCCCTCCCCCTCCCTCTCCCGTCTCCGTCTCCCCACGGTCTCCCTCTCATGCGGAGCCGAAGCTGGACTGTACTGCTGCCATCTCGGCACACTGCAACCTCCCTGCCTGATTCTCCTGCCTCAGCCTGCGGAGTGCCTGCGATTGCAGGCACGCGCCGCCACGCCTGACTGGTTTTGGTGGAGACAGGGTTTCGCTGTGTTGGCCGGGCCGATCTCCAGCCCCTAACCGCGAGTGATCCGCCAACCTCGGCCTCCCGAGGTGCCGGGATTGCAGACGGAGTCTCGTTCACTCAGTGCTCAATGGTGCCCAGGCTGGAGTGCAGTGGCGTGATCTCGGCTCGCTACAACCTACACCTCCCAGCCGCCTGCCTTGGCCTCCCAAAGTGCCGAGATTGCAGCCTCTGCCCGGCCGCCACCCCGTCTGGGAAGTGAGGAGTGTCTCTGCCTGGCCGCCCATCGTCTGGGATGTGAGGAGCCCCTCTGCCTGGCTGCCCAGTCTGGAAAGTGAGGAGCGTCTCCACCCGGCCGCCATCCCATCTAGGAAGTGAGGAGCGCCTCTTCCCAGCCGCCATCACATCTAGGAAGTGAGGAGCGTCTCTGCCCCGCCGCCCATCGTCTGAGATGTGGGGAGCGCCTCTGCCCCGCCGCCCCATCTGGGATGTGAGGAGCGCCTCTGCCCGGCCGAGACCCCGTCTGGGAGGTGAGGAGCGTCTCTGCCCGGCCGCCCCGTCTGAGAAGTGAGGAGACCCTCTGCCTGGCAACCACCCCGTCTGAGAAGTGAGGAGCCCCTCCGCCCGGCAGCTGCCCCGTCTGAGAAGTGAGGAGCCTCTCCGCCCGGCAGCCACCCCATCTGGGAAGTGAGGAGCGTCTCCGCCCAGCAGCCACCCCGTCCGGGAGGGAGGTGGGGGGGGTCAGCCCCCTGCCCGGCCAGCCGCCCCGTCCGGGAGGGAGGTGGGGGGGTCAGCCCCCCGCCTGGCCAGCCGTGCCGTCCGGGAGGTGAGGGGCGCCTCTGCCCGGCCGCCCCTACTGGGAAGTAAGGAGCCCCTCAGCCCGGCCAGCCACCCCGTCCGGGAGGGAGATGCGGGGGTCAGCCCCCCCACCCGGCCAGCCGCCCCGTCCGGGAGGGAGGTGGGGGGGGTCAGCCCCCCGCCTGGCCAGCCGCCCCGTCTGGGAGGTGAGGGGCGCCTCTGCCCGGCCGCCCCTACTGGGAAGTGAGGAGCCCCTCTGCCCGGCCAGCCGCCCCGTCCGGGAGGGAGGTGGGGGGGTCAGCCCCCCGCCCGGCCAGCCGCCCTGTCCGGGAGGGAGGTGGGGGGTTCAGCCCTCCGCCCGGCCAGCCGCCCCGTCTGGGAGGTGAGGGGCGCCTCTGCCCGGCCGCCCCTACTGGGAAGTGAGGAGCCCCTCTGTCCGGCCAGCCGCCCCGTCCGGGAGGTAGGTGGGGGTGTCAGCCCCCCGCCCGGCCAGCCGCCCCGTCCGGGAGGGAGGTGGGGGGGGGTCAGCCCCCCCGCCCGGCCAGCCGCCCCGTCCGGGAGGTGAGGGGCGCCTCTGCCCGGCCGCCCCTACTGGGAAGTGAGGAGCCCCTCTGCCCGGCCACCACCCCGTCTGGGAGGTGTGCCCAACAGCTCATTGAGAACGGGCCAGGATGACAATGGCGGCTTTGTGGAATAGAAAGGCGGGAAAGGTGGGGAAAAGATTGAGAAATCGGATGGTTGCCGTGTCTGTGTAGAAAGAAGTAGACATGGGAGACTTTTCATTTTATTCTGCACTAAGAAAAATTCCTCTGCCTTGGGATCCTGTTGATCTGTGACCTTACCCCCAACCCTGTGCTCTCTGAAACATGTGCTGTGTCCACTCAGGGTTAAATGGATTAAGGGCGGTGCAAGATGTGCTTTGTTAAACAGATGCTTGAAGGCAGCATGCTCGTTAAGAGTCATCACCAATCCCTAATCTCAAGTAATCAGGGACACAAACACTGCGGAAGGCCGCAGGGTCCTCTGCCTAGGAAAACCAGAGACCTTTGTTCACTTGTTTATCTGCTGACCTTCCCTCCACTATTGTCCCATGACCCTGCCAAATCCCCCTCTGTGAGAAACACCCAAGAATTATCAATAAAAAAATAAATTTAAAAAAAAAAAAAAAAGAATAAAAAAAAAAAAAAGAAATTTAAAAACCAGCCTGGCATGGTGGCTCACACCTATAATCCCAGCACTTTGGGAGGCTGAGGTGGGCGGATCACAAGGTCAGTAGATCGAGACCATCCTGGCTAACACGGTGAAACCCTGTTTCTACTAAAAAAAAAAAAAATGTAGCCGGGCATGGTAGCACGTGCCTGTAGCCCCAGCTACTTGGGAGGCTGAGGCAGGAGAATCGCTTGAACCTAGGAGTCAGAGGTTGTAGTGACCCAAGACTGAGCCACTGCACTCCACCCTGGGCGACAGAACAAGACTCTGTCCAAAAAAAAAAAAAAGAGAGAGAGAAAGGGAGACAGAGACAGAGAGAGAGAGAGAAATAAATAAATTTAAAAACCTTCCCAGAAAGAAAAGTTCAAGTCCACATGTTTTCACATATTAATTCTATCAAATATTAAGGAAATAATGCCAATACCAATCCTACACAAACTCTTTCACAAAAACAGACTTAATGGTAAAAGACCAAATAGTTTCTCCTAAGACTAGGAACAAGATCAAGATGTACACTCTCATACTTTTATTAAATAATATACAGTACAATAAGGCAAGAAAAAAAAAAACTAAAGGCATCCTGATTGAAAAGAAAGAAGTAAAACATGTTTAATCGCAGACATGATCCTGCATATAGAAAATCCATTATAAAACTCTTAAAAAGAAATAATAAATGTGTTCTGCAAGGTCACAAGACACAAGATCAATAAGCAAAAAATTGTATTTCTAAACACTATCAATAAATGACCTGAATATGAAATAGATATAACAATTTCATTTACAACAGCATCAAAAGGAATAAAATACTCAGGAATAAATTTAACACATGAAATGCAAGATGTACACTGCAAACTACAAAACACTGCTGAGAGAAATTAAAAGAAGACATATGAAAAAATACACCATGTTTATAGATCTGAACATAAGACTGACAAGATGTTAACTCCATCAAACTGACCTTTAGAATCAACATATCCCTAGAAAACCTCAGCAGGCATTTTTAGCAGAAATTGACAAGCTGATCCTAAAATTTATATAAAAATGCAAAGGCCAAAGAACGGATAAAACAATTTTGGAAAAAAAAAATCTTTTTAATTTTGCAAATCTCTGGACTTGCCTGCTCTTCAAATTCATCTTGTACACTGCAGCCAGTGTTTTCTAAAACACAAATCTGACTTTATTAGTATTCTTTTGCTAAAAATTCTGTGCCAGTTTCCCTCTGCCCTTAAGATGGAGTTTTTTTCTAAAAATGATCCCCACAGCTCTAGAGACCTAACCAATGATTTAACTGTTGTAGTTCTTCTTTAGCTTCATTTCTCACCTTCCTCCACCACACATATTTAAATAGCAGCCATATGGAATTAATTTCTATTCCTGGAAAGCTCAACACTTTTGCTTCTAGGTCATTTGTGCATGTTGTTCCCCTTGCAACAAGTTTCATTCCACTTTTTTGCTTACCTCACCCTCCCCTGCTCAAGTTCATCCAGCTCTTCTCTATTTTCTATTGGGTATCAGCTTAAATTTCAATTCTTCAGGAAAACCTTCCTGGAACATCTCCAGTAAGATCATATTAAGTGTCTCCACTATGTACAACATTGATGCAAAATGTTTTAAGAAAGAATCTTTGTAGACATTTAGATTGCCCTGTCAAAAAGGAAATTCTATCCCTTACGCCCATTCTAATAAGAGACTATATTTTATTCATTTTTGTCCTGTTTGAATTTTTTGAGTTGGTATTTATAATTTGAAAAGAGACATTTAAAAATGTGTTGGAGGCAATAAAAATGCTACACATGAACTTCAAACATTATGCTAAGTAAAAGAAGCCAGTCACAAAACATCGCAGATTGTATGATACCATTGATATGGAATGTCTAGAATAGGCAAATCTGAGACAAGTTGATCAGTGGTTGCCTGGGGATAGATGAGGGGGTGGAGAGAAGGAATGGGAAATGACTACTAATGAGCACAGGGTTTCTTTTCAGTATGCTGAAAATACTATAAAACTAAATTATGGTGATGGTTGTACTATTCTGTGAATACGTTAAAAACTACTGAACACTGAAAACCACAGTACACTTTATTTCTTATCTATTTATGTTTTTTTTAATTTTTTTTGGAGACAGAGTCTCACTTCATCACCCAAGCTAGAGTGTAGTGGTACAATCTCAGCTCACAGCAACCTCTGTCTCCCAGGTTCAAGTGATTCTCATGCCTCAGGCTCCTGAGTAGCTGGAATTACAAGCGTGCACACCACCATGCTGGCTAATGTTTGTATTTTTGGTAGAGACCAGGTTTTCCCAAGTTGGCAGGCTGGTCTCAAACTCCTGACCTCAAGTAATCCACCCACTTCAGCCTCCCAAAGTGCTGGGATTACAAGCATGAGCCACCCTGCCCAGCCCACAGTACACTTTAAACGTGTGCATTTTATGGTATATAAATAACATCTTGATAAAGCTGTCAAAATGTGATAGGAATAAACTGGCCTTTCAAAATGCCACTTTTTCCCTTAGAACAATCATTACAAGGGAACTAACCACTATTTTTTTTTTTTTTTGAGACAGAGTCTCGCTCTGCCACCCAGGCTGGAATGCAATGGCGCGATCTCAGCTCACTGCAACCTCCGCCTCCCAGGTTCAAGCGATTCTCCTGCCTCAGCCTCCTGAGTAGCTGGGATTATAGGTGCGCACTACCATGCCCAGCTAATTTTTGTATTTTTAGTAGAGACGGGGTTTCACCACGTTGGTCAGGCTGGTCTCGAACTCCTGACCTCGTGATCCACCCACCTCAGCCTCTCAAAGTGCTGGGATTACAGGCGTAAGCCACCGTGCCCGGCCTAACCACTATTAAATACAATTTAAGTATACTGTTAAATACTGAGTTATTAGAAATGTAATTAAGAATAAAGTTATATAAAGCTTACAATAAGAAGTCATATTTTGGCCCATATGTCACACATACCTGTATAATATGGTGATTAAAGACAACTAAGAATATAACTATTTCTTTAAGTGTAATAACTTTCAGTAATATGGAAATGTACAAATATAAGAAATGATAATAACCTCCCTTTCTCTACCAAAATTACACTCCAAAATTATTTACAATTTGGAGTATGTCTCTCCAGACTTTTCTTCACATTGTTAATATATTTCTTCACATAGACATATATTAATAAGTAAATAATGGGGAGAGGAAGGGAGACAGGAGTTACTTTGCTGAATCTGTGGTAACCGCAGTAATCACTTTTCATATTGTAGCCAGCTGAAAGTAGGCTACTGAAGCCAAGGACAAAAATGATTTAAATTTAAGATAAAAATAAAAGTTATATTAAAAGCATTATTGAAATAAATTTCTTTAGATGCAAATTTTTTACAGGCTGAGGAAAATAATCAGACTTTTACTACCCCTAAATCATCCCCCTCTACCTATTCACTGAGTAAGGTACATTCAGTGCAAAAGAACAGACACTGTCTTCACAACGTTCAATGCAGAATCCCCAACACAGACACTTATACATGTTCAAATATTTGGATCTGAATTCACACTGAATAAAAAAGCAATATGAAAAGAGATAAAGGGAGGATACCAAAGTAAATTAAAGTGGCCACTTTGAGATTGTAATTTGTTTCCATTTTAATAATTCTATCATTAAAAAAACTTTAATAAAAGTTTATCTTATTATCTTTAGGCTGGGCGTGGTGGCTCATGCCTGTAATCCCAGCACTTTGGGAGGCTGAGGCAGGCGGATCACCCGAGGTCAGGAGTTCAAGACCAACCTGGCCAACATTGTGAAAATCCATCTCTAGTAAAAATACAAAAATTAGCCAGTCGTGGCTGCGGGAGCCTGTAATCCCAGCTACTCAGGAGGCTGAGGCAGAAGAATCGCTTGAACCCGGGAGGAGGAGGTTGTAGTGAGCTGAGATCACACCATTGCACTCCAGCCTGGACGACAAGAGTGAAACTCCATCTCAAAAAAAAATAAAAATAAATAAAAAAATACAAGTATCTTTGGTTTTACTCACAAGCAAATATAATTTAATAATTCTAAACCATTAGGATACATTGCTTATAATGCTTTAACAAGCTTTGTTGGGCCGCGCGCAGTGGCTCACGCCTGTAATCCCAGCACTCTGGGAGACTGAGGCAGGCGGATCACCTGAGGTCAGGAGTTCGAGACCAGCCTCAACATGGAGAAACCCCATCTCTACTAAAAATACAAAATTAGCCGGGCATGGTGGTGCACGCCTGTAATTTCAGCTACTCGGGAGGCTGAGGCAGGAGAATTGCTTGAACCTGGGAGGCGGAGGTTGTGGTGAGCCAAGATCGCGCCATTGCACTCCAGCATGGGCAACAAGAGTGAAACTCCGTCTCAAAAAAAAAAAAAGCTTTGTTAGTCAATGTAACAGTAATTATTATAATTTATACTGTATCAAATGCTCATTACATGTCAGGCACTGCTTCAGTGTTTTAAATATAGTAACTCTTTCAATCTTCATTACAAAATTATAAGATATGTATTATTATAATCTCCATTCTACAGATGAGGTCACTGAGACAAGTGAGGTAAGTAACTTGTCCAAGGTGGCACAGCTATTAAATGGCAAAACCAAAAGTGCTCCAGAAGCAGTACTCTTAAATATTATACTTTACTGCCTAATAGCATTGCTAAAAAAGAATATAAAAGATTCCTAAGTTAAAGACTTTAATAGGGCCAGGCGTGGTGGCTCACACCTGTAATTCCAATACTGTGGAAGGCTGAGGTGGGAGGGTCACTTGAGGCCAGGAGTTCAAGACCAACTTGGGCAACATAGTGAGACACTGTCTCTACAAAAGTTTTTTAAAAACATCAGTGGGGCCGGGTGCGGTGGCTCATGCCTGTAATCCCAGCACTTTGGAAGGCCAAGTCGGGCGGAACACCTGAGGTTGGGAGTACAAGACCAGCCTGACCAACATGGAGAAACCTTGTCTCTACCAAAAATGCAAAATTAGCCGGGCGTGGTGGTGCATGCCTGTAGTCCCAGCTACTCAGGTGGCTGAGGCAGGAGAATCACCTGAACCCGGGAAGTGGAAGTGGAGGCTGCGGTGAGTCGAAATCATGCCATTGCACTCCAGCCTGGGCAACAAGCGCAAAACTCCATCTTGGGGGAAAAAAATAAAAGTCACCTGAGCACGGTGGCAGGTGCCTATAGTCCCAGCTACTTGGGAGGCTGAGGTGGGAGGACTGCTTGAGCCCAGGAGTTCAAGGCTGCAGTGAGCTATGACTGTGCCACTGCGCTCCAGCCTGGGCAACAGAGAGAAACCCTGTCTCTTGAAACAGGAGGAAAAAAAAAAAGACTTAAATATAATCATTTTAACAGCCACAATGTTCCCTGCTCTCTTAAGCCTTACCAACTATAAAATATAAGGTTTCAATCAATCCCACCTACTACTACAACCAAAAATCACAATTAAGTTGAAGAAAAACATATTCAGTTCAAATATACGGCGTCTTTTTGAACTTCTAGATTGTTCATAGTGCTATTTTATTATTATATTTGGCCCATCAGCTAACTAAAAGATATATAATACTATACTTATATAAATATATATATAATATGTTCTTCTGGTTTTTAGAGGAATATTAAAAATATTATCAATAATACTAATAATTATTAGCAAGGCAAACTCATTAATAAAGTTTTAGAACAGAGCTATTTTCAAGCACTGAAGTGACATTAGTTGCAGGGTAGAATATATGTGTATATAAACAGTATGTGTGACAGAACACAACACAACACAGTGAACCCAAAAAACAGTGCAAAGCAAGCAGAGTAAACTGAAGATAACCTTTTAAAATATTTCAAATTTTTAGAAATAGCTATTATGATTCCATTTTCATTTCATGACTCACTTTATTCCCATTCCAGTATGGCATGGTTTTTTTAATTTTAAGAGAATCAAAACAATTTTGATATTCCTTGAAGTGTCACTAAACTTGAGGTTCAGAATTAAGTCTTTAAAAAACAAACTTCTAGTGCTGAACCATAACTATGCACCTGGGAATGCTGGGAAACACTAGTTACAGTGAGACCAACCTAGACTGCATCAATCAGAAACTGAGTTGCTTCTTTTTGAGAGAAGACATCAGGAAGACAGGGAGTCTCAAACTATTCCAGACTTGCAAATTGTGGCAATAGCTGCAATACAGTCTTTATGTATACTAGCACGTATCTTTTCAGCTACTAGTACAGATCTTTTCAGCTACTAGTACATATCTTTTCAGCTACTAGTACAGATCTTTTCAGCTACTAGTACAGATCTTTTCAGCTACTAGTACAGATCTTTTCAGCTACAACTGCATATATAGATAGCAATTACTAACACAAGAAGTTTTTAGTCCATAGAAAACACACATGGGTATATGTATGGATATGTGCATATATAATATATACATATAAACATTACAAACATGCATAATCCATGCAGTTTATTTTAGAGTACTTTGCTTTTTAGTGGCTAAAACAGGATCTTACCCATAGAACATGTTAGTTCCTGGCTAAAACGTCATATTTTCAGCAAATGATATATTCTTCAAATCCAAGATGATAATGCATACTGCTATAATGACTTTTAATAGTTTGTCAACTTAATGATTTAGGTTTAAAAAATTAACACTTTTTCATACTGTTGATAAAGCATCTACAAATAAATTATCTTGGAAAAGATACAGAAACATAAAGTTCGAACCCACAAAACACTGATAACAAAGGTTTATTAACACAGTAAAGATTAAAAAATTGTCATCTCAGAATTTTCTATCTGTAGTATTCCTATAGATTCTAAAATTATTTTGAGTTATAATAAAATTAAAATATTTTACCAACTTTGTGAAAATATAAACCAGGTAAGAATGAGAAAAATATAAATATATGTAATTAGATATAATCTACATTTATATATTTATAAACATATAAAATGTGTATATTAAATACGTGTTTAACCTTAACATTGAAGTGCTAAAGAAAGTTTAACATATTTTTATGTTACATGCCAGAGTAGGAGGTAAGAGAGACGGGTATACTGTATTCTGTTTATACAACTAAAGTTAATATTTAAGAATACCAGGCTAGACATTCTCTTCCTTTTTTCTTTTGAATTATATATAAAAATAAGAACAGGTATGTGAGGATTCCTGAACTATACTGTATTCTGAGATGATCAGAAAGCACAAAATACACTTGGGGGGAAGAAGGAATAGTATTACTAGAATTGACATTGTCCTAAAAGAAAACCTAATCTAATTCTCCATTGTTAGAGTTTGTGATTCTGCGTATATACCCAATTTCTATATAATTTTATAACAGTCTTCACATGGGATTCTAAGCTTCTCAAGAACAGGAATAAGAATATTTCACATCATCCCTTATGCCTCCTCACCCCCAAAGAAAACTTCCTGGCACACAGTAGAAAAGGAATGCAAGGAAGTAAGTATGAAGAATCATAAGAGAGCGTGGCATTTTTTTCCTGAAATATAACAATGAAAATTTTTGGCTGGGTGTAGTGGCTCACGCCTGTAATCCCAGCACTTCAGGAGGCTGAGGCAGGCGGATCACGAGGTCAGGAATTAGAGACCAGCCTGGCCAACATGGCGAAACCCCACCTCTACTAAAAACACAAAAATCAGCCAGGTATGGTGGCAGTCGCCTGTAATCCCTGCAGGAGAATCGCTTGAAATCGGGAGGCGGAGGTTGCAGTGAGCTGATATGGTGCCACAGCACTCCAGCCTGGGTGACAAGAGCAAGACTCCTTCTCAAAAAAAAAGAAAAAAAGAAAAGAAAAGAAAATTTTACATTTTTTTCTTGGTCCTAACCATTCGGTTACCAGCTGTAGATCAACTGAATCAAATTTTTCCTATTTTAATTCATAATCATTTCATTATTTGTTCCTTTCAAAATACCCATAACAGGCTGGGCACACTGGTTCATGCCTGTAATCCCAGCACTCTGGGAGGCCGAGGTAGGCGGATCATCTGAGGTCCGGATGAGACCAGCCGGGACAACATGGTGAAAACCCATCGCTACTAAAAATATAAAAATTAGCTGAATGTGGTGGTGGGTGTCTGTAATCCCAGCTACTCGGGAGGCTGAGGCAGGAGAATCGCTTGAACCCGGGCTGCAAAAGTTGCAGTGAGCTGAGATTGCTCCACTGCACTCCAGCCTGGGCAACACAGCGAGACTCAGCCTGAGGGGGGAAAAAAAAAAATATCCGTAACAATTAACGAGGATCTCTCTCTCAAGTGACAGTAATCAAATTATAGCCCAATTTCTCTAAGAGGCTAAGTTTAACCACTCTAATCCCTTAACTTTTTCCCTTTCCCATCAGTTTTTTCTATATCACTTACAACAGTTTAATCACCCAAGCTAGAAGTGATGATTTGAGGGTCTGAAAATGCACAGAGTGTAAAAATGAGCTCTTCTATTCCTTCACTTTATATAGCCCAGGATCTTTTTGTTATTCTATCAACTCTTAAGATACAACTAAATACTTGTTCCTACTATTTTATTCTATGTTTATCAGATAACTTTTTTTTTTAATTTGAAAGTTTTTGTTGCTGTTTTGCCATAACCAACTATTGGTTTTTGGACATACATAATTTTCTGATAGTTCTAATCTTTCTCCTTGGTGTCAGTCACAGAGCTCTAAACTGCTTCTTACGGACATCCCCCCAAAAACCCTCAAAATAGCATCATCTTTTCCAATCAATAAATGAAAATTTTTGAGCCAATGTCGACTGTTTTCTCTCTACATATTCAATTAACATATCCTATTGATTCACTAATCCTTATTAAATCCATCCCTTCCTTTTCATTTCCACTGACCTTGCTCTAGTCTAGGCCCCATCTCATCAAGTACGGACTGTTACAATAATCTTAACTGTTTTCTCCATACCTAGCAGACTTTCATATTTCCAATCTATCTACACTCTACCACTTATACTCTGAAACACATATATACATACCACTGTTTCACAGCCTAAAAACTTTCCCATCAGATATACTCCACAGCTTAGTTTTCAAAATCCTGTGTTACCAGATTCAAAACTATGTCCTTTGATCTTTACTCCAGTAAAAAAAACCTTCTGTTTTCAGCCAAACTGACCAAATAAATGTTTGTTTCATGCATCGTGGAGAGTTTAACCCACGGATTCTTTGTTCATAGTTATTTTCACTATAAAGGAAAAAAAAAGTTTCCTTTTTTTTAATCTAACCTAGCCTTACTTTGCCTTTCAAGACTGACCATGAAGTCTTTTTTGAAGCTTTCATGAAGCTTTCCAACCATCAAAGTTCTTATGACTATTTCTTACCATGATAGATAGTGCTCCACCTATGGCAGGTACTCAATAAATGTCTGATGATTACTTCTTGGGTGACCATTCATTCCAGTTTCCCCAAGGCAGTTCTAATTTAAATCTACTGTTCTGACATCTCATCTGGTTAGTGCTCCATTGACTCTCAAGTAGTGCCCAATCCCTTAACTTATTCTTAATTTTCAGAACCACACAGTATTAGTTGGTTTTCACACTGCTGATAAAGACATCCCTGAGACTGGGCAATTTACAAAAGAGGTTTAATTGGACTTACAGTTCCACAAGGCTGGGGAAACCTCACAATCATGGTGGAAGGCAAGCAGGAGCAAGTCACATCTTACATGGATTGCAGCAGGCAAAGGGAGAATGAGGAAGACACAAAAGCGGAAACCTCTGATAAAACTATCAGATCTTGCGAGAGTTAACTCACCATCTAGAGAACAGTATAGGGGAAAACGCCCCATGAGTCAATTATCTCCCACCAGGTCCCTCCCACAACACGTGGGGCTTATGGGAGTACAATTCAAGATGAGATTTGGGTGGGGACACACAGCCAAACCATATCAAGCACTATTTTTGACTTAGAAAATGTAAATGGAGCAAAGTAACTAGAATACGAAACTTATTACTGCAATACAGTACTAGTTATTTCTGGTCATGTTGACACCATACCATAAGTATCCTTTAAGGCAATGGTTCTTAACCTGTGGTAATTTTGCCCCAAAGGGACACCTGGCAACATCTGGAGACATTTTTGATTGGCCAGGGATGCTGCTGGACATCCTACAACACACAGGATAGCACCCACAACAAAGAGTTATCTGACCCAAATGTCAAGGTTGCAGAATCCTGTTTGGGATTATCCTTACAATAACATTAATAAGATCAAAATGACATTTTTAAACAATGTGAATGTTTTTTAAGAGGAACTAAACAATCTTGAAACCAAAATGATATCTATTATTTCCTTCATAGGTAAATGGCCTAATCTTTAATCATTTAGCTTGATGTGATGTGATGGTTTTCATGCAACATATTATAAGTAGTTGGTATGAAATGGAAAGAGTATCACTGTGGACTCAATAGTTTGGTTTGAATTCAATACTTTGGTTTGAATACTTCAGGGCAGAAGAGGTGGACACAAACCTCAGAGGCTGTTTTCTAGCCAATAAAGGTAGCTATGACTTGTGTTCTCGCCTACATACTATTGCCACACTAACCTCTCCAAAATGCCATTTTGTTAAAAGCATTCCAATATTCAAAAACTCTCCTCCTAGATTTCACAGGCCATTCACAGTATGATCTCCAACCCAATGATTCAGCTTTCTCACTTGTTCCCTAACAAACATCCCTTTAGTTAAGATCTTCACAGGCCTTTTCTCTACCCTACTCAAATGTATCACTCGCTCTTTTCCCTAAACTTGTTGATTCTCACAGACAGCAAAAAATACCTTTCCATGTGTGCCCAAATCCAAAGTCCCGGCTCTCACTTTTAAGCCCATATACACCTTTCTTCTAGAAAATATTACTGGTTTCAGAGAGAACAGAATTCTATGTTCATTCTGTCTCCTAACCAAACTCTAAACACCTTGAAAGCTTATGCTCCACTCAGTAATTTAAACAAATATTTATACAGCAGTTACCACTGGCCAGACATGGCGTTAGACAGAAATGTGAAGATGAATTAAGATATAACTAGATTATTACACCTCACATAAAGGTTGTTAGCCTCTTTCACTCGCAGGCTGCACTACCATCAAGACTTACCGTGCCTGCTCATCAAGTTCCAAACCTCTAGATTCAGGTTTCTAGGATTCATCAGTTTTTTGGGTTTTGCTTCTTAATCCACTCCACCATCAGTCCTAAGTATAACCAATGGCAAATAAGAGTTTCACTGTGACAGGTCAACACAAGATTCATTATCTCCCACTCAGAGGAGAAATGAGCAGGCCCACTCAAAAGATATAAGCATTCAAAGCCTAAAATTACTAAAGTACTCTTTCTGTATCTACTAAATAGGTATTAGCAAAAACACACAATTTAGTCTGATTATCACTATAGAATATAGTACCGATTAGGTATTAAATGCATACTAAAAACCTAACTTGAGAGTACCTATTAAATCCCATTCCTCAAGCTTATTGGAGTCAAGGGTCACTTACAGACTAGCTTGGCCCACTCCTGGTTCTCATTCACACTTTTCAAACAAAATAAGCCTCAAGAGCCACACATAATTGGGTACTTTCTTACTGTCTCACAGAGAGAGGAGCAGAAGCTCCTGAATGGAGTAGGAGAGGGATGTGTGGGGGAGGAGTTTCAGTCTAGTACACTGCAGAAGTGGGAGATGATTTGATTCATCCTCATGAATTATAAACCTGATTTTTAACTAAATACAACTTCCTTTGTCTTATCTTTCCAAATACTTTCAAGAATTTCATATCTGATACCGTGGTACTACATTATATTGCATCTATTATTCTTCATATTTCAAGGAGATAGAATCAATATTTTTTTCTCTAAAGTCTCTAATTTCTATTTTATTCCAGAATGTGAGACCTTTCCCAGATCAAAGTAAACTGTTCTGCAATTTCTGAGCCACTCCTAAAGACCTAGTTTAAAGCCTTCCTCTTAAATAAGCTAGTTTGTCCTAAAGTTGTTCATTTCCTCCATAACTTCGATCCCAAAAGATCTCAGAAGACGTAATTTTGAGTAAATGAAAGAGGTGAAATAAGAACTTATTATTACCAAAGCCTTAAAACCTACATTATTTTACAAATTCATTTTTGCTACTGAAAATTAGCCCAACAGGAGTCACATGCAATGTGCTCTGGGTAGTACAGATAATTACTACAAGGAATAGTGTATTCAGGTAATGCAAACCATTTATATTAAGACACTACTTAATTCTGCTATTTACTGCCCAAATTGCCATTTTAAAAAATAATGTCAAAATTACATGAATTTATATAGTTATAGATATGTTCCTAGCAGAAGGGTAAGGAGGCAGGGGTCTGCGTAAGTGGAAGTAGAAGGCAAGTAGCCTTTTTGGGCTACCAGGGTATCAGCACCAGGTTCCCTGGGCAATCTGGCATAGGAATTTGAATACACGGAGGCCCCAAAGATGGGGACTGAGGAGCAGTAGCAACATCAGTGATCCAGAAGGCTCACAGGATGTGAGCTATACAACTTTGGTGTTCCTTATCTGATATTCCTAAAAACCAAAGTTGTGTTTTTCATGAAAACAGACTACATGATTTATTTAGGTAGATCTGATAAATGTTTTAATAGTTACACTTGTGGAATTTAATTTTTTAAGTGTAAAGTTAAGAACATTCTAAGAAGCATTCTAAATCACTTTCGGTCCTGGGTGCTACCCAGTTCAATAAATGTTTTTTTTGCCCAATTAAATTGTTAAATTTAAAACAAACAAGAATAATAGATCATAAGATCAAATACATATCTTGGGTTCCAATTCTATCAAAAATGTGCTATCATTACAGCACAGTGCTCCACCTATGGCAGTTACTCAATAAATGAAACCATATTTGTTGAAGCCAAAATGTATCCATCTGTGATATATAATCTTACTACTACTAAGTAACAAGGAAAACTACAAGTAAAAAGGCTTCTAATGTATCATGTTATATTATGATCCCCACATGATCACAGAGTAATAAAACTGACTTAAATTTTATCAATAGGATTTTTTAAATTCTAAAAGCAATTCATGTCTTATCAGAAAACTTGGAAATCACAAAAAGTACAAAGAAGTTTAAAACAAAGTGCTTCTGTAATCCTACTAAACAGAGCGATGCCAGTATTTTGGCTAATTTTTAAACTTATTTTAAAAATCACACACTACATCTAGACAGTATTTTCTTCTTTAATTCATCATGGGAAAGTATACATTCAATACTGCCATTATTCAGAATCTGTGAAGTATCTCATCTGTAACTGGCATAAGCGTCATGTAAGAAATCTGGTCTCACTGTTTTACAGTTTTGCCTCATTTTAACCTAACATCACTGATAGATTGATTTCATTTAAATTAATGTCACTGAACTCTTACTACACTGTGGTCCTGTTCAGAAACATAAAGATGAATATGCTACTATCCTTCTGCTTAAACTGCTCACATTCTAGACTACACAGACCAAAGCACAAGGTGGTTGCGTTAAATATACTCTAAAAAAGGGTATATAAACAGTGATAGGTTAACAATGAAGAGGAAGTAAACCAAGTTAAAAATTCAGGAGAATTTCACAAAGGAAAGAAAATCTGCATTGTGCCTGAAGAATAAGTAAAATTTTGGTAAGAGGAGGAAGAGAAAAAAACAGATGAACATCAAAAGCCAAAGGGCATAAATGTTCTTGAAGGTTCTGGCAAAAGCAAGTAAATCTAGGAAAAAAGTAAATTAGCGCTGGACTGCTGAGGACTTTTAAATACCCTGCTAACTCATTTTTATTCACCAGGCAAGATAATGACTTCTAATGGTTTTCAAAATTCAAACCTACCCTCAAGAGGAAAACAACTGGCCATTACTGAGGATATTCAGAGAAATGTGCCACAGACTTAAAGGGAAAACATTCATGATGCTTCCGCTGCTAAATATCTCCTCACACTTAAGCTTAGCACTCTGTCTTAAAGGTATCTTCTTTTTTTTTTTTTTTTTGAGACAGAGTCTTGCTCTGTCGCCCAGGCTGGAGTATAATGGCGTGATCTCAGCTCACTGCAACCTCTGCCTCCCGGATTCAAGCAATTCTCCTCCCTCAGCCTCCCAAGTAGCTGGGATTACAGGCGCCCACCACCATGCCCAGCTAATATTTTTGTATTTTTAGCAGAGACAGGGTTTCACCATGTTGACCAGGCTAGTTCTGAACTCCTGACCTCAAGTGATCTGTCTGCCTTGGCCTCTCAAAGTGTTAGGATTACAGGCATGAGCCACCATGCCCAGCCTGTCTTGAAGGTTTCTTATGCTCCCACATAGAGTGCAACAGAATTAAAAGAACACTCAGAATTCACCCAATTCAACTTTTTTACTTCTTTGTAACATCGCCTGCCACAGGAGCATTCAGCAGTCTTTTGAAGGTTATTTCCAACAATTTTTTTAGGGTAGTGCATATCATCCAAAAACAGCTCTATTAAAAAATTCTTCCTTCTACTAAAACAAAATTTGCCTGCCTCTAATTTACACCTATTAGTCTAGCGATGAACAGTTAGTTATATAAGTAATAATCCTTATTAGAGTCCTTCAAATACTCAAAAAGTTCTCTTCCCCAAGCTAAATATCTATAGGCTAAATAAATCAAGATCAATCGTACTTCATCAGACTTGACTTTTAGGTTTGGTGTCAATCTCAATTTCACTTTATTAGCTATGCGACTTTGGGTTTAGTTTCTTTTGCTGTAAAATGGGGATAAAATGACACATTCTACCACATGGATGTACTGTGAAAACATAATGCTAAATGAAATAAGCCAGACACAAAAAGACAAGTATTGTATGATTCTACTTACACAAGCTACCTAGAGTGGTCAAATTCATAGACAGAGAAGCAGAATGGTAGTTGCCAGGGGCTGGCGTCCATGGAAACAGGGAAACTGTTTAATGGGTACACAGTTTCAATTGAGGAAGATGAAAGGTCTAGAGATGGATGGTGGCGATGATTGCACAACATTGTGAATGTACTTAATGCCACTGAACTGTAAACTTAAAAATTATTAACATGGTAAATTTTGTTATATTTTACAATAAAAATAATAATAATTACAACTCCAAATTGTACACATTAAATGATTTAACATGTGTAAAGGAGCTGAGCACGATGGCTCACGCCTATAATCCCAACACTTTGGGAGGGTGAAGCAGGTGGATCACTTGAGCCCAGGAGTTCGAGACCAGCCTGGGCAACATAGTGAGACCCTATCTCTACAAAACATAAAAAATAAATTAGCCAGGCATGGTGTCACGCGCCTGTGGTCCTGGCTACTCAAGAGGCTGAGGTAAGACAATCACTTGAGCCAGGGGTGGGGGAGGGGGGGTGGTACTGAAGCTGCAGTGAGCTGTAGATTATACCCCCACCCCTGGTCCACAGAAAAATTGTCTTCCACGAAACCGGTCCCTGATGCCAAAAAGGTTGCGGACTGCTGTCTTGCAAAATGCTTGGCATATAAAAACATGGGCACACCACAGTGACTGCAATATACTTTTATCAACCATGAGGCTCTGCTTGGCCAAGTTCTATTTTTTAAGAACTTGCATTATCATGTCTCTCAATGTTCCCAACACTGTGCTGCACACAGGTACTCTAAGTATTTGTTCCATTAAAGAAAAAAAATTAAAGCCATTTTAGAATGACTGGAAAACCACTGCTAACAATGGAATAGAGGGCAAGGCACAGTGGCTCATGCCTGTAATTCTAGCACTTTGGGAGGTTGAGGTGGGCAGACTGCCTGATCCCAGGAGTTTGAGACTAGCCTGGGCAACATGGGAAGACCCTGTCTCTTAAAAAAAAAAAAAAAAAAAAGGGAAATAGAAAGCTTATTAGATGTCTAACTTCTGATTCATCTAACCCACACACATACACAAACCACATTACTTTAAAGTAACATCTCCTTGGTACAGAAGAGTCTAGAAAACATAAAACTTCCCAAGATATTAGTATGTTAATCAGTGAATGACTGCCAAACTATTCAGATAAGTGGTGATAATTACACAAATTGCTTTATTAACTTAGGCTTACCAAATTAAATTACAGGCAACTTTTACCAATGGCCCTCTACAAAAAGCATACATAAACAAAGAGGTCATACAATAAATCAACTCTCAGCAGTGAAGAGCCACGAGTGACAAAAAAGTATAAAAACCACATTACCTACCTAGCTCTGAATTGGGACATTTATCAACAAAGGTTATCGATGAGAAGTCAGTATGAATTTGAAGTGTCTTCATAAACCTAAGATAAATTGATCTAGTGAGCCAGAATGTAGCTTAAAATGGGCTTAGGCCTACCACTCCAAATGATGGAAAAGAACAGAAATTTTATCACTAAGATCATGGTGAACACGGGCAGGATCAAAAGTCTGGATAAAAGGAAATATGGTGACTTCTAAAGAGAAAAATAAGCAGTGTCTAGAAAGTCCAGACCAAACTGATTCCTTGCAAAATTCAAAATTGGATGAAAAAAAAGTTTGTGAAGAAAGGAAAAGTGGATACATGAAATGCTAGAACATTCATCATGAACAAGTCCAAACAAATCAACTGCAATGGCTATTTTAATAGGTTGGTGATAGTAATGTAGTATTCTTCATTGTAGGTAAGAATCTTGTAGGCAGAGTATAGCTTAATTATAGCAAGGCACTTTACAAAATCATAATGTCTACACAAAATGTTATATGGGCCTGACGATAATAGATAGAACTAGCAATTATTGAACAACCATGTGTGTTGATTAATGGACTGGTATTAATCCAGAGTGAGTCTAGCTGACATGCCCACTTCAGAGTAATTTATTATGTCAATTTAATATTTTTATCAACAATTTGAATGAAGACGTAGTAGATATGCCTACCAAATACAAAGATGACCAAATAACTCAGAAACATAATATTAAATGTGTAAATAAAAACTAACAAAAGGAAATTTAAAAGCCTTATATTTAATCTGAGCACGCCTAAAAAAAAATAAAATAAAAGCTTTATATTTAAGCTAAAAAAAAAATCCGTTACACAAAAACTAGGTTAGGAAGACACAGTTTAACATCTTATGTATAAAATATATGGGAGAGAAGTTGATACTTCAGGCTCATATTAAGCATAATAGAAGTTAAAACTGTCAATGAAGTATTTGGTTAAAAAAAAAACAGCATTTGATTCACACCCACCACACTCTCCATCTGACCAAATATCATCTAAAATGCTGGGTACAACTCTGGGAACCATGTATAATGACAATGAGCAACTTAGAGTTAATTAAGAAAAAAATAACCATGGTCGAAGGATCAGAGAATTACATTATCTAAGGAATGATAAAACAAACTGGGATTATTTACTCTGAAGAAGAGAAGGGAATGCTCACAGTGTGTGGCAGGGAGAAAGGGTCAGCAGTGACACCACAGTAGTCTTCAACTATGTGAAGAGGCCATTCATGTGAAAAGGACATTATACTTGGAAAAAGCAAAATACTGTGGGAACAGCATAGTCTATGATGTATAAAGACCTGGATTCAAATCCTGGTGCCATCATTCAGTGCGCATTATTTGATGCTTGGAGAGAGATTAGTTTTCTTACCTAGAAAATGATACCTATCTCATAAATGTATAAAATTAGAGGCAAAAAATATTTATAAGCTGCCTGGCACAGACTGACACACTGTGATGCACAACGAAGTTAGTTCTCATCCCTAAACTTTTCTGAGTTATTCTAGAAACAGTGTTTTTCAAGTGAGAATTGCAACTCTTTAATGGGTCACAAAATCAGCTTAGCTGGGGAGTAACCAGCATTTTTTTTTAATGAAACAGAATAGAGCGGAAAATATCCAAGCATACCACTTGTAGTAAAAGTAATCAACATTTTGTGAAACTTTTGCTTCAGTTATTCAGATACATGTGAATTCCTGATTATGAGTTAAAATGTATTTCTTATCATGAAGCTGGGTCCAAAAAAAAAAAGAAGAGTATGAAAGTGACTGCTGTAGAGCACTGTTTTCTAAAAAAGATACTAGTTCCTTGGGAGCTCAATTAAGTTTAGGACCAAACCATACTCCCTAGAGATTTACTATGTTCAAAACACATTAGCATCTCCAGGAGCCCAGCATTAAAGAAAACTGTTTATTTTTGTTGAACCCAGTTTTTCCCACATTTATTCCATCCCAGAACCCACCCACTTTTTTTCTACATAACACTTATTGACATCTTCAGAACTAGCACTTTGCGGCACATACACTCGGGAGGAAACATTCCTCTAGATGAAAAGGAAGGTGCAATAGCTAGAAGTTACAAAAGGTAGATTCTTAGCTTGCTAAGAAAGGAAAAAATATTGACTTTGAATCTTCCTGCCACTGACATCCATCCCCTACAACTTTTACCCTAATCACATACCCCAACGCATTTTAAATATGATTTATATTCAACTTTCAGTTCACACAAATCTCAGAAAAAGTATAGGACACCTATAATATCAAGATATGAAGCCAGGATCAAAGCAGTAAGCAGGAATCATCTGGTCAAAAGAAACTCCTGGAACAGTATTTAAGGAAGACTTGCTTTACCTTAACAAACTCATGCTCAGGAACCAAAGCAGCCAAAGACTTAATCGGCTTCCCCAAGTGGACTCAATGTGTTCTAATAATACATAATCTAAAATGGGCTGATGGGTGCAGCTAATCCTCATTATTATGAGCATCATTTTATTATCATCACTTGCAAGAGCCATGTGACAATATTTACAAGATTCTGGGTTCTTTTAAAGTGCATACATACCCAAGATTCCTTTGGGAGAATGCAATTTCACATTTATATCAAAAACTGTCACTACCACAGTCAGCTCTAATATTTGATATCACTTGGTAATAAAGGTATGTCATCATATACTCAAGAGTAATTCTGTTACTCAAATCTTCCTGAGAGTTACAAATACCTCTGACTCTGCTCTTGTAGCTGTCAAGAGCATAAAATGCCCTTCCCGCTCTTTCCTCACTTTCAGACTCCAAGCCACCTCCTCCTCAAAGTCTGGCCCAACTACTTTGGACTACTATTTTTTTCCCAGTTACTGAGCACTGTCAGTACTCTTTGTTCTATCACTCTTTGGGTAATTCACTGTACACTTTCTAGTTTATTTAACTGCACAAAACTTAGTTCTCAACAAGACTATAACTGCCTTATGAACAGGGATCAACACTTAAGAATCACCAGAATCTCCTACAACATCATATAAGAACTGTTTCTTGATTTAAGTAACTAGGCTTAAGAGTAACAAATAGCAGCTTGTTTTAGACAGTTTACTATGTGCCAGATCCAGCGCTAAATGCATACATAATTATCTTACTAAATTTTCATAACTCTATAGAGGTAAGTGCTATTATTTTCTCCATCAAATACAAGAAGAAAGTGAGCCTCAGAGTAACTTGCTCAAGGTCATACTGCTAGTAAGTGGCAAAACCAGGGGCGAACCCAGGAAAGCTCTTAACTACCTCAGAACACTGCAAAGTTCCAGCCCTGCAATACCAGAGTCTATGAATGATTTCGATTTCACTGTTAGAAGTTTTAATTTCAATAGAGCAGAGACATTTTAGCTAAAAGTTAAAACTTTAAGAAAAATGAATTAAGACAAATAATTGCCCACACACATCTTTATAATAAAACGAGAGGAAAAGCCTCCCATGTCCTATTTATGAAAGTGATATTAAGGTGGGGGGGCCACAATTTCATCAAGAAGTGGCTTATGACAATATAGCTTTGGTTTAAATTTTTAAATAGGACTCTTTTTCTCTGCCCCTAGAAGGACGTGGAAATGAAAGATGGATGTGATAACTGTCAATTCAGAGCTCTGCAAAACGCCAGACTCAATTCTTGTTTTAGAAAATAAGAGCCAGGGCTCGTTCCACCCTTGACTCTTCACACAGAGTAACAAAAAAAAAAAAAAAAAAAAAAAAGCAGCACCATCCTCTGCCCTCTCTTCACACAAAGCAAGGTTTACCCCACTACCCAAAGGGGAGTGCTGATTCATACGGTCTCCCCATCCCCGCCAGAAATGGGTCCCAAACACCAACCGCTGCATAGACGTAGACGACTCTGGTCTGCCCCTGACCCCCACACCTGGTGATACCTCATCAAGCAGACCCCTCTCCTACATCCAGAATGCCCAGGGCCACCATCCGAAAGCCAGTATCTTACACAAAGCAGGATCCCTGCCTACAAAGCAGTTTCCCACCTCCGACTCCTCCCCAGGCGAACAGCCCTTCTCAAGCTGCCCCAACCCACAGACCCCAATAGGGTCCAGCACTCAGAAGGTCCACAATCCAAAGGACAACGAGCTACAACCCTGTTACTTGCGCACGCCTCGAACCCCCAACTCCAGCTGACGTTCCCTCTGCCAAAGCAAGAAAACCACAAGTCGCCACAGGAGAGCGGACCCGGCTACACAAAGCGAGGCGCCCGACCAGAGGGACCCTCAGAGGACGCTCTCCGCCCCCGGGCCCGTCCCCGCCCAGCTCCTGCCCGGCGCCTCGCGCTCACCAGCTCTCCTCCTCCTCCTCCCAGCCTGACAGGCGCTCCAGCTCGTCGGGCCGCAGCGGCTCCACCTCGTCCAGCAAGCCGCCCTCGCCCGCCGCTAGCAAGGAGGTGGCGTCCCGCAGCTCTTCGCTACTCGTCCGCCTCGGGCCCGACCCGGGCCCGCCGCCCGACTTGGCGCTGAGGCCCAAGGGGAAGCCCCGAGGAGACGCCGCGCCGGAGGAGGGAATGGACGCGCCGGCCCGAACCGGGCTGCCGGGCCCAAGGGAGCCGGCGCCCTGCACGGCCCCCGAGCGGCTCCTCAGCTGTTCGTTCTGCTTCTCCAGCTTCTTCACCAGCTCCTGCAGCTTCCGCACCTCCTGGTCCGCGTTCACGTTGGAGTTAACGTCCTCCATCCCGGCCCCGCCGCCGCCGCCGCCTCCGCCGCCCGCTCGCTCTCGCAGCGACAGGGAAAGAGACGGAGGAAAGAGGCGTCGCCGCCGCTCACTCTAGCCGAGGCGCCGGCATATAGCAGGACCAGGCCCCACCGCCAGGGTCCCCCCACCTCGGGTTCCAAAGCGCCGCTGGCCCCAGCCGAACTGCCTCATCTGCGCCGGCTCCGGGATTGGGGGAGGCGGCGCCAATATCCGGCCCCTGCCGCCATCTTCCCTCCGTCCCTCCGCCCCCCGCGGGCCGGCCCAGTCGGTGACCTCAGAGCGTCGGGGGTGGACGCGGCCGCCGGCGGGCGCTGAGAGGACCCGGCGCCAGCTCGCGGCGGGGCGGGGCCACGGACGGGGCCTATGGGGCGGGGCCGGTGCTTGAGGGGCGGGGATTAGGCCGGAAGGGGCGTGTCGGCGGATGTGGGACGCGGCCGGGCTGGCTAGGGAGGGTCCCTGCAGAACGGGAGGCCAGCAGAAGGCTCGCGGCGGGCGGGGCTGAGGTGGCTAACAAGGTCCTCGAACAGCCTCGCCTGTTGGTCTGGGCGTGTGGGCGTGTTCTCCACCCCTTACAGGGAGTGTGGGACCCGCGGGCCAGTCTCGCCCTTGTTCCGGGCCGGATCTCGAGTGGGCGCTCAGCCCGGCGGTGGAGAGACAGTTTACTTTGTTCAGCAAATATTTAATCGATGCCGACTTTTAATTGGAGATTGTCTCGGCTGGCAGGAGCCTCTAGACTGCCTGTGTCCTGTTTCTTCCCCTGAAAATAAGAAACCCCAGTTTCAGACAGTTAAGAGAGGTCTAAGGTCAAAATAATCATAATTTCTTGAGTGCTTCCTACTGGCCAGACAGTGTGCTAAGCACTTTTAAAGGCATTATCTCATCGGTTAAAACATAGTTTTCCCGACTTAAAGTTTACAGCACACTGGGGCGGAAGCGGGGGATAGTAAACCGCTTCTCTACTCCCTTTCTCCGTTTATTGACTCACACTCTGTTCTTTGGATCACTTCCTTCGGAAAAAGTTCCTCGTAGTGTGTCTTGACTTTTTTAAAAGTTGTATGTTAAAAGTAGTTAAACACGCTGACAGATACTGAAGAATGAAGAAAATTGTAAGAATGTGAAGTCTGCCTTTAGAATGCGGCAGGAAACCTAAACAAAACTTAAATGCTTTGTTTTGATCACATTATCACAGTCGTTGGTCTTCAGAGGTCAATTGTGAACGGCTTTGGCTTGTGTTTGCAGCTTTTCTTCAGTTGCCGCCTCCACCCTTAGTTTAATAACAATGATCCAGTCCTGTTACACCTGAGTGTGGACTCATGCCATGACTGACTTGCTTCTACCCTTTAGCTTTTCTAGTGCCATATTCTCCGCCTGCCATATCTGATTCTTTTCTTAAATCCCATACTCTCTCATTCAGGAAACCTCTTCCCAACAATTCCACAAAGATCTAATTATTCTGCATATTCTAGCACTACGTGATCAATAGTTCTCAATAGGTGTTTGCACTTTTTTTTAAATTGCTTTTTTCTCTAAGAATTATTTTTCGTTTGTTTTTGTCTGTTTACTTGATTTAAGGACACTTCATTTTTGCTTCCCATGTCTAGTACACTGACACAGTGGACACTCAATACTTGGTTTGTTGAAAGTTAAGTAGACTATAAGTTCTACTTAAAACCACGTAGCTATTTATTCGTAGCAAAAAACGTATTTGTGTTAAAAGTTTGCTGGCTAACTATAAGTCGAGTATTTTTCTAGCTATACAGACCTAGTCAAAGGATGTGATTGTTTGCTAACATAATTGTCAAGTAATATATATTATCTGTGTAATGCTCATCTAAATATCATTGCTCTTTCTGACCAGTCTGAACTTGTTGCCGGAGGGTTAAAAATCATGACTACTTCACGTGTAGCAGTTTTCACTTGCATTCAATGCTTTGTAAAATAGATTCCAACTAGTCAGTTTCTATAAGGCGAACCCTTCAAATATACTCCTTGAAAAGAACAGTTCACCGGACATTATGAAGTTAGCACTAATGTTTGTGGGGCAGGAAAAGCTGTTGTAGTGTGGAACAATGAATTAAGAATCAGAAAGCCTGATGTCGGGTTCTAGCTGTAGCATAAATGCACTTGACCTTGATCGCTGCTCTCTAATCTCTGGTCCTTAGTTTACTTTAGAATGCGTGAGTTGGAGGATCTCCAGTATCTCTTCCAGGATGAAAAAGTAAAGGATTCTGGTGAGGCCTCATGGTTGCAAAACATGAGAGTGAATATACTTAGATATATAGAGAAGTTCATAGTGGATAGATATACTTGGATTTTTAAATTCTATTGCCTTACTCAATGTCTTACCTTTTTCATTCAATAAATATTGAATATATCTACTATATGGCAGGCACGAATTTAGATATTTGGATGTTTAATAGGCCTCTTAAGTATCAAACAACATTCAGTTCATACACACACATACACACTACACAGCATATACACACGCTTAAATCTGCTTGTCCTGTAGTCATCACCATTCCAATAAATGACAGCTCTTCTAAATGCTCAGACCAAAAACCTTAGGATAATCCCTACTCCTCACTTTCTTTCACCCACCAAATCCAATCTTTAAGCAGGTCGTGCTGGCTCTACATTCAAAATATGTCTAATTACTTCCCAGCACCTCCACTGCTACGACTCTAATTCAAGTTGCCATCTTCTCTTGTCTAGATTACAGTGGTACTCTTTTAATGAGCTATTCCACTTTGCTGCTTTACAGTCTCTTGTGTACATGGCAACCAGATGATCTTTTGTGTAAGTCACATCAGGTTACTCTCCTGCTCAGAATCCTCAGAAGCAACTGGCTTCCCAACATACTTCAAAGTCTTTTCCCTGGACTATAGGGCTCTGGATACTCGGCAACTTCTGCAAGTATCTCATTAACTAACACCTTCCCCATCACTCTACCACACTGGCCTTCCTGATTTTCTTCAAACAAGCCAAGCATGTTTCTACTTTAGGAACTTTGCACTTGCTTTTCTGTCTAGGATCTGGTTGTCATTCACGTTATCACATGACTGACTCCCTCACTTCATTCAGGTCTCTGCCCAAATAGCACCTAAATTCACTATCCTCATTATGATTCTCCATAAAATAGCATCTGTGTCATTCCCCATCCTCTTAATCCTGTTTCATTTTTTCTCAGACACATCTCTCTCTCTTTCTTTCCTTCCTTCCTTTTCTTTCTTTTTTTCTTCACTGCCTGTCTCTCACCAGTAGAGTGTGAACTGCAGGAGAACAGAGTTCACTGTTATATCTCCAGTGCTTAAAACAGTGCCTACAACAGTGCCTAGTACATGGTAAGTGCTCAATACATGTTTTTTGAACGAGAGAGTTAATGGATTTACGCTAAGTGAAGTCTCCTAAAAGAGAATTTCAGATAAATATGGTTATATCTCAAATCATTGAAGTGGAAATTTGTAATTATTTTGAATGGTTGACTTTTAAAATTATATTTTCTCCTTCCAAAAGAGCAACATGTCATACCATATATGTCATCCTCAAAACTAGGTCACTCTCTACCTCCTGAGAGCCAACAGCCCTTAAGAATTGCTGAGGAGAGAGTTTTAAGTTCTCACTGAGAAGCATAAGGACAAGAATATTTCCTTTCTATCCTTAACCTTGCCAGGATCTTCCTCTTTCAGGTTAGCTGTGATACCCTGTCTTCTCTGGTGACTCAGAAGTGTTACAGCATGTTTTTAAAAGTCACTCTAAGAGTGACTTTTATATAGCTACAAGGAGCAGAGCTAGTAGGTGTCTGAAGTATGCATCACAGTTAGCCCAACTAGTTTTTCAGGTGTTGTGTTTTATGATAAGCTTGGTTTGTTGCTGGAAGAAGGATTTGTTTCTTTTCTAAGCAGGTGTGGCCCATTTTCATAACTTGCTCCTACATGCATGTTAGCTCTTAGTGAAACTCCTGACAAAGTGGAAAATATTACAAACCACTAAAAGTATTTGGAATGAAAAACTGTTACTCAATGGCTTAAAGATATTTAGCCATCCTAAAATCCTAAATCAAGGTGTGTGTGTGTGTGTCTATATAAGCACATGCTAAAAAGTAGTTTAGAAATTGCTAGACACAGAAATATTTGCATTTCCTTAGAAAATGCTCAGATTCTTTGACAAAACCTTTGCTATCCAATCCATCCATTTTTTAACATAACAGATCATTTCACTAGACAGTCCATCCGTTTAATCTTCATAGGTACACATGGTCAGTTATTTTCTACTTACCCTCTTTCATCTATTCCTCACCAGCATCCCTCCTCCAGATGTGCCTCCCTTTGATCTATCAAACGGCCCCTTCTTCACTGTCTTGGTACAATACAATTTTACAAAGGAGTCCCAGGAACCTTAAAGGTTAAGTATATGAGAAATTTTGAATTGAACGCTTGGTGGCAAAATGAAGGGGGGCTTTTTTAGGGAGATTCTCTGTCTAGAGGGTGGTCCCCTATCACACTGTTGGGGGCATATATTATATAGATGTAGGGGTGGGTAAGTCCGTGATCAGAGCAAAGGGTGAACAGGTTCTTGAACTGTTAGGAAGCTACCCAAAATGAAACAATACCGTGTCTTCCACCCTTTTTCTGGCAGCAGATGGGAAGATAAGCTCTTAAATAACATTTATTATTTCTTTTTTTTTCTTTAAGTAGTATATCAGTAGGACAGTGAAGTTGGAAGAGTGGAATATGAACCACTTCTGAACGTGTTTGATGTTCTACAGAAACTACTATTCAAAGATGGAAGAAAACTTGGAATAATCCAAATATTCAAGTCAATAAGATAAGTCCCAATAATCTGCCCTAGGATTTAAAATACATTATTCTGAGTATTGACTTAGAGATACAGTGGAGAGAGTAGATTATACATAGAGACTTGTATCAAGCAAAAGTAAATTAAGCTGCCATTGAGATACTTAAATAATTAGTCTTCTAGGAAGCTGTAGAGAATTCCATTTCTGAGTCTTTGGAAAACTCCTGGAGTATTACCCCGACTGACATCATCAACTATTCAATTTGCCCAAGTATGTCTACAAAGTTACTTTCTATTCATCATCCTTCTTATGTAAACAGTTATATGTGCCCTGGAAGTTTAATTCTATAAATATCCAGTTCTCCAAATTGGCCCAATAATAATAGTAGCTAATAGTTGTTAACCACTTTTATGACATGTGATAATTCATTTAAAACTCACAATAGTCTTTGGAGGTAGCTGCTATTCTCATCATCATCTCCATTTTACAAATGAAGAAACTGAGATATAGAGAGGTTAAATAATTTCCAATACTATAGCCAGGAAGTAGTGGAGCTAAATTAGACCCAGCTGGTCTGACTTCAGAATTGCACTTAGAATCCCCTTTGGCCCATGAGCATGATGAGTTCTCCATTCTTTTACTTAAAAGAGTATTGATACGTAGTCAGCTACCATCTGGGGTGGGGATTGAGGGATAATGTTGAGAACTTAAGCATCGCATTTGCAATACCAACAACACAATCTTCCTCTAACAGCAAGTTTGCCAGATTTGGTGTCTCAGCAACTCTGGAACCCAGCATTGAAGCAATCAGTTCTTTAGAGAGGGAGGTAGTTCGGCTGGATATCGTGGCTCACGCCTGTAATTCTAGCACTTTGGGAGGCCAAGGAGGGGGTGGATCACCTGAGGTCAGGAGTTCAAGACCAGCCTGGCCAACATGGCAAAACCCCGTCTGTATTAAAAATACAAAAATTAGCCAGGCATGGTGGCGGGTGCCTGTAATCCCAGCTACTTGGGAGGCTGAGGCAGGAGAATTGCTTGAACCCGGGGGGTGGGGGTGGAGATTGCAGTGAGCCAACATTGTGCCACTTCACTCCAGCCTGGGCATAAGAGCGAAACTCCATCTTGGGGGAAAAAAAAAAGAGAGAGAGAGGGAGGTAGTTCCTGGACCTCTTGCTCAAAATTTGGCTGTATACTTGGGCACTAGTCCAGGTACTG
The DNA here is from genome assembly GCF_000001405.40 of Homo sapiens. Lineage (NCBI taxonomy): Eukaryota > Metazoa > Chordata > Mammalia > Primates > Hominidae > Homo > Homo sapiens. The sequence continues at coordinate 48,335,708 of NC_000004.12, read as the reverse complement.
GAGAGATAGGTAGGAATGGCTGAAGACCCATCAGTCAGTGGTTTGCTAAAATAAAGCTTCAGCATCTGAGCTTCTCATTGGAAAAGTTAGTGAACTAGCCCAGCCTGTAGGAGTTTTATGGGGGCAGAAGTTAGCAGAAGGAGTCTTTTACCCAAGGCAGTAATAACACCATAATCAACAAAGCAAGAAGATCTGAGAGTCAGAATTTAGCGGCAAGAGTCCTGGGCCTCTTGCCCAGACTCTGTTCGGCAAGAGTCGAACAGAGAAGAAAAGTTCGAACGGGTCCTGATATAGGGAAGACTAGAAGCAGACATGAAAAGCCAAAGTATAGAGCCTGGGAAACAGACGAGAGCCAGGTGTACTGGGTTCAACACTAGGTAACAGGGTGATTCCTTGTGAATGCCAAAACAAAGTGGTTGCAGGCAGCTGCAACCTTTGTTTCCATGCCCTTTGCAAAGGGCATGTGGAAGAAACAGTTGCATTTAAGGGTTAGGGATTCTGTGACTTGGCAGGGTTGTGAGTTTCCAGCATTGAGACAAATTGGTAACCAGATCTGCTGGACTAGAGCCCAATCTGCAAAGCTCCCTAATGCAGAAGAGTCCACCGTTGTGTAAACAGATTCTATCTTCCCATAGTTCCTGGAAACCGGATAGCCTTCATCTCACATCTTCACTGTATTCTAGAGAAATGAGGGTAATGTGTTGGGCAGGGCAGAGTAGAGATGAATAGTTGGGTATGGCACAGGCGGCTACCTGTTGTATCAGTGGGTATGGTTTACCTCACATAGGGCACCTACACGTGAAGAAATGGACAACAGAACTGCTTTGTCTGTTGGCATGGTTGTCTTATTGGAGGACTGCATTATTGGAGGACTGGTTTCCTCTTCCCTACCAGGACAATCCTCCGAAGTTCTTTGAGCTTTTTCTACTGCCTATTTTTGCAGCCCAGGTCAGTTGATCAGGAGGTGTGGCCTTGTATTTGGTCCACCTTGAGTCAGATGCCGCTCTGCTTACTGAGTATTTTTATATTGGACTCAAATCATGATATGGAATCATTTGTAGACAGCAGACCCACCAAAATTCTGCTGCGCAGTGACAGCAGGGCAGATCACGGTGTTAACTGTAATCATCCTGGTAGGGAGAGGGTATTTATATACTATAGGACAGATGGAGAGTGTGTACTGCTTTCAGAGGTGGAATTGCAGGCTACCTGGGAGGCAATGAATTTCCGCAACCTCTCCAAAAGCAAAGATAGAAGACATGCCTTTCTATCTCTTCACCTCTGATGCATTCAGAGCTACATCATAATGTTGCACAAGGTCCCCTTTAAGAGTAGGTGTAGCCTGTTAGAGTCCAGGCAGGGCATATGAACATAGAACAAGTAACTTCTCCTACACTCAGTCGAAAGGCCACAACCTCCACACAGAAGGTGAGGTTCTTCCTGAGCACAATAATGTAGTTGCCAGATCTTCCACATGGCTGTATCAATGGGCTTGACTCTGGAGCCTTAGATTTGGGCAAGAACATTTAATCATCCCTTGAAGGACCACCAGCTAGGATTGTTACCATGAGAGAATATGGGGAGGAGCTATTTAAGAGGATCCAAAATGATGTGCTGCAGGGCTCCAGGCTCATTTTATTGTGTCAGTCTTATTTAAAGGTGTAAGTTTCTCAAGCAGTGACTAGTTCAGGGAAAAAGAAAAAAAATAAAGGCATAAGGCTCAAACAATCCTTTAACTGACCTCTAAGCAGGTAATAAATATTACTACTTTTTTTCTTATAGTTTCTTATTTTTTACCTTTTTTATGTTCAACTCTTTAGTCCACTTGAGATTTTTTTTCTGGTATGTTATGTGAAACATAAATCACATGGACACTTTTATATGGGGCACTGTCACGTGCAGGATTACAAATACCTGTTGTATTTATTCATTCAGTCATCCATTACCAGTTCAAGGCACATTGTTAGGGACCAGAGATGATAAACATCAAAAAGAATGTGCTTCTTAATCGGTAGCAGCTTATTGTCCATTTAAGGAGATCAGAGGTACATAAATTACTGTATATACAAAGCAGCATGTAAAAAGTGCCATGTGAGTGATGCGAACAAGAAAGAATATAAAATATAAGGATTGTTTTTTATTTTTACCTGAGGGCATATTAGGGAACTAGCAGTAGATTCCTTCTGCCTGGAATAAGAGTTTTCCCAGAAGAAGTGTCACTTGAGATGTACCTACAGGGACAGGTAGCAATCTTAATCATGACTTGTTGGATATAATGAACAGAAATCCTCTTGTATCATCTCAATTTAAAAAGGGAGCTATCCACTTATCTTGCTTCTAAGAATCTATTCTAAAAGTAAACTGGCTAAAACATATAATGACCTATGCACATAGCTATTTTTTATGGTATTACTTGCAATAGCAAAAGACTGAGAACAACCCAAATATTATCAATATGGGGCTAGTTTAAAAAACTATGATACATCCACATAATGGAGGACTGTGCATCAATAAAAAGAAAAGAGATGAAGATCTCCATGAAGCTCCAGGAAAGCTGGTTCAAAATGGTGCTTATGGTATACACCTTTAGCACAAGAAGCAGGAAAGGATATGAAAATGTATACATAAATGCTTATGTTTGTAAAAAGATACAATCGAAAGATAAACCCAAAATCAATAAAAATGTTAAACAAATGGAGAAGGAGGGAATAGAGTGAAGGGCATAGAAATAGTGCTATGGAGAAGAAATACATCGAGAAAGGAGGATAGGGAATGTGGGTGAGGGCAGAATTGCAATTTTATTATTTATTTATTTTGAAACAAGGCCTTGCTCTGTCACCCAGGCTGGAGTGCAGTGGTGCAATCTCAGCTCACTGCAATCTCTGCCTCCTGGGCTGAAGCAGTCCTCCCACTTCAGCCCCCAGAGTGGCTGGGACCACAGGCATATACCACCGCGCCCAGCTAATTTTTCTATTTTTTGTAGAGATGGAGTTTTGCTGTGTTGCACAGGCTGGTCTCCAAATTCTGTACTCAAGTGATCCACCCGCCTTGGCCTCCCACAGTGCTGGGATTACAGGTGTGAGCCATTGCTCCTGGCCAAGATTACAATTTTATTTTATTTTTTTGAGAGAGAGTCTCTCTGTGTCACCCAGGCTGGAGTGCTGTGGCGCAATCTCGGCTCACTGCAACCTCGCCTCCCTGATTCAAGTGATTCTCCTGCCTCAGCCTCCCAAGCAGCTGAGATTACAGGTGCCCACCACCAGGCCCAGCTAATTTTTGTTATTTTTGTAGAGACAGGGTTTCACCATATTGGCCAGGCTGGTCTCGAACTCCGGACCTCAAGTAATCCACCCACCTTGGCCTCCCAAAATGCTGGGATTACAGGCGTGAGCCACTGTGCCCGGCCGGGATTGCAATTTTAAATAGGGTGCTCAGGGCAGGCCTCGCCTAGAAGATGATGTTTGAACAAAACTCTGAAGGAGGGTGAGGGAGCCAACCAGGCAGGAAACTGCGGATGAGCATACCAAGCAGAAGAGCAAGTACAAAGGCCCTGAGGCAATAATGTGCCTGGCTTCAGGGAAAAACAAGGTTGGATGACTAAACTGGAATGAGTGTCAAAGAGCGTGGTGGAAAATGAAGTCAGAGAGATGGAGGAAAGATTCCTTACAGCCTGTAGTCAGTTGTGAAGACTGACTTTTACTCCGTATGACATAAGACAAGGCAGGATTTGAGCCGAGGAGTGACAGGACCTAACTTATATTTTGATGGGCTCTCTCTCTGTTTCTTGCATGTTTGCCATTTGCCCCCTTCCCCCTTATTCTATCTCAGAACCCCTGCTTACTCATGTTCTGTGTTCTCTAACATCAGTCTACATGTGGCGTTGGGTTTGGTGTTGTAACAACTGGTGACATTTCAGTTCATGTGACTACTATGACCTAATCACTCAGTCTCTCAGTGTCCCAATTCCAGATTCTTGGGTGACATAATATTAGACTCACATATTATTAGACTAACTAATATTAGCCCACCATGGTACAGCATGCTGAGGCTGGAGTCAGAAGTGAGCAGAATCCTGTAATATTTCCAAGAGGGAATATGGGCAGACAGGCAATGGTTAGCACATCAACTTCATCAAGTACTTCAAATATTTTGGTTTCTCAATAAATATATACATGAGTTAATAAATCTAGCATATTTAGTAAACAACTTATAATCCTACCTACTGTTGTAATGCTCAGTAACCACTTCAGAGTAACAGTAATAATAGATGACTTTATACTAAATGATGGCTTTACACTAAAACAGGTTTCTAAAACTATCTGTGGTAAGAACCAGTTTTCTTATTTGTATTTCCAAATAGTCTCCATAGGAGAATGATGTTTTTGTAAAATATGCTAAAAATGAATTCCTTGACAAATTAAATTTTAAAAAGATATGCAAAATTGAAAAAATTTTTTTTGTTATTAGATTCAACAGACAGAAGATTGCTACGTCAAATTGCTCTAGGTTTCTAAATGCTTAGTCTCAATTTCTGTACTGATCACACACCAGTAACAGTTCCATACTTTAAATAGCACTGTACTAAAACTCACTTATCTAAATAGTAAATTTTATAATAATGATGGTCAATTAATGGCATTTAATATTCTGAATGAACATTAAAGAATGTGAAGTTGTTTTGCTGTTTTACTTCTCTGACTTTTCTCATTAGATAAGCTAGTGTCTTGCATGTAGATTCTAATGGATATTTGTTATTGAAATATTCCTCTAGCTTAAGAACATATTTTCTCACATGAAAAACAGTGTGTAATTTGTTCCACTTAGATTTGCTAGTAGATTGCTGGGCACGGTGGCTCATGCCTGTAATCCCAGCACTTTGGGTGGCCGAGGCGGGCAGATCACGAGGTCAGGAGATCGAGATTTGCTAGTAGATTAACTCTACTGCTAAATATGACTGAAATCATTTCATTTTCTCTTGGGTTAGAAATGGGAGAAACAAGGAAAAAACAGGGATTATCTTTCTTAAATTTCAGAGACAGACAAAAAAAGTATTAACACTGATTTAGAGGGAAGGAAGCTTCTAAATACTCATCCTTCACTGAGATCTAAAATCCTGGTATTGTAATTGATTTGAGGACCATTTTCTTAATTTACTATTTAAGTGCTTAATTGGTATGCTAAATTTTCTATAAAGTGAGTTAAACTAATTCAAGCCCAATAGTTTATGGCTTCAACAACTTAAGACAAATTACATATGAGCAAGTTGTTTGCCCTTAAGCAGGAAAAACATCAAACAATACCCTACTTGCCCCTTTACTACAGTTTCTCTTTAAGGAACAGAAACAGAAAATTAAAAATGAGAGGCCATTAATGAAATTATTTCAAATTCATCATTTGAATACAATAAACAAATAAATCACTGGTTTACTTACAAGCTACCATTCTACAACAATCAGTCAGAGAGAAATTATAGAGTAAGTTTAAACTGGTAGCAGTAAGCCTAGATTAGTGATTCATCTCCTAAGACTCTATGACTTCATCATCCACAGAATTGTGGCTAACCAGAATTTCAAAAGCATGTATAAATATAATAAAAATATCTGAAATGGTTATCAAGAGTTCCCAGGGTATTCAATCCCCTTAGTTCTGCCTTAGAATTTTTAAAAAGTATCTGTAAGTGTTCCAATTTTTTTTATTCATACAGAATCAGAATACTTCAGATTCCCTCAAGCAGGAAAAACATCAAACAATACCCTACTTTCCCCTTTGCTACAATATTTCTTTAAGAAACAGAAACAGAAAATAAAAAATGAGAGTCCATGAAAAAATTATTTCAAATTCATCATTGCCAGGAATTAAATTGTTCTCCTTCATATAGATTATTGTGACACATTAATATTGTTTTCAAAATTACCTTTTAGAGATATCAATATTTTTCTTAAGAAAAACAATCTAATGGTAAATGTTTTCTAAAATACAAATTAATAAATATTCCCTGAATTCATTTGTAACAAGTGCTAAACTTATTGCCTTAGTCTATGTAGAAGGTACCACAGCTCCAGAGATGTTATCTATGGTGGATATCTATAGTTTTTTCTGCTTAGCTCTTCTTCCACACCTGCTTGTTAACAGGAAGACATTTCTCCATGGATCTCTTGCATTTCTGCACATCTTGTGATGTGACACTGGCTACTCTTGTTCTGCAATATCATTTCAGGGATGTTTACACAGCAAACAGTTTTGGAACAGAGATAATTTCTCCCTGTGCAGCAAACAGCAGATTTATTTACTATCCAATATAAAGATAAAGGTAATGTTTCCCTTCTGAGCAAAGGTCAGGTACTTACTGACAATTATAAAGATTTGGGTTCCCTAAGCTCGGAGTTTCTCACTGGTAACACAACCCACTGGGTGTATAAGCCCCACCTGGCTTTATTCATGTCTCCTTGTGGGAACCAGAGCAAATGCTGATACTCTGGGTACTATTGCTATGAGTGATACATTGTCCTTTGTCTCTAATGCAGGAATCTTGTGTCTTCTGCCATGAAACTTGAGGCAGGCTAACTTGATAGCTTGCAAGTAGGGCAAAATCCTTGAGTTCTCTACCTTGCACTAATTCCTGCTTTGAGTTCTTTCCAAGACATACCTATGCTTTTGCCCTTCAGCTTCCTGGGAGAACCATGTGTCTGCATATTAAAATCTCTCTTGGGCTGGGCACTCACACCTGTAATCCCAGCACTTTTGGAAGCCGAGGTAGGCAGATCACGAGGTCAGGAGATCGAGATCATCCTGGCCAACATGGTGAAACGCCGTCTCTACTAAAAATACAAAAATTAGCCGGGCATGGTGGCACGTGCCTGTAGTCCCAGCTACTCAGGAGGCTGAGGCAGGAGAATTGCTTGAACCCGGGAGGCAGAGGCTGCATTGAGCCCAGATGGCGCCACTGCACTCCAGCCTAGGTGACAGAGCGAGACTCCCTCTCAAAAAAAAAAAAAAAAAAACTCTCTTTTATTTAGGCTTAGGTGGTGTTCTGTTACTTATAATCAAAACTGCCCTGATATGGCCAACAAAATCTGTTTCTTTCTGAAAATTGGACAATAGGGGGAAATATCTGTGTGGTTTTCTAAGTGCTTTCATTCATCAAACATTTGTTAAGCAGCTGCAGCATTCCAGGTATTATGCTGGATGCTGAAGCTACAATAGTGAACAGCACATGGTTCATAGAATTTCAATTTTTGTAAGGGAAGTGGTATAAACAATATGTAAACCAATACATAATAGCTGCTAAGAATGAGAAGTGCTATGAAGAAAACAAATGAAGAATGAAGGCGGAGAGTAAAGAGGAAAGCTTCCTTAGATAGAATGAGTGGGGAAGGTGACTTTGAGGGAGTGGCATTTAAACTGAAGTCTGCAAGATGAGAAGGTGAAGGATTGGTACCAATTGAAGAAACAGTGCATGCCAAACTCTTGAGATGTTAGCTTAGGGAATTGTGAAGATTGAGAAAAGAACAAGCATAAGTAAATGTAGTAAGTAAGGGGAAGAATGCCATTTGGTGCTGTAGGGAATTGGGAATTAGGTGGGGACCAGATTATTCAGGGCCTTACAGACCAAGGTGAAGAGTTTGGATTTATTGTGTGTACAATGAGAAGCTGTTGAAGAGTTTTAAGCACTTGAGTGACAAGACCCAATTTGCAATGAGCTTTGCTTTTGTGTGGAGGATAGATTGGAGGAAAGCAAAAGTGGAAGCAGGCCAGTTAAAAGGTTGTTGCTTCGTCCAGGGGAGAGATGATGGTGGCCAAGAATAGGTGGTGGCAAAGGTGAAACGGGAGAATTCCCTGATTCCCCTTGCAGAATGTGCGACAGGGGTGTGGCTCGCCCATTTGGTCTCCACCACTGCTCAAACCCCTGACAAGAGGCGGAGCATGCTTATGGGCAGGTGCAGGAATGGGGAAAGTGCTTTGGGCTCCAGCTCCATGGTAGTGTCTAGGGGTGGGTGCCTGCGGCCTCAGTGTTATAACGCTTTCTTAGCCTTGCCATCTGCAGACAGCTTAAGTGTTAACGAGCTCAGTGTACCCTCTGCCTTTTCTCAAGGAGGAGACCAGTGTGACAGCTTTCTGTATCCTAAGCTCTTGCCCAACATCCCAGAAGAATTGGGTCACATATGGGCTTGAAGGATGAATGCAGGGTTTTATTGAGTGGTGGAGGTGGCTCTCAGTGGCATGGATGGGTAACTGGAAGGGAAATGGAGTGGGAAGATGACCTTCCCTTAGAGTTTTGGCCATCCAGCGGCCGAACTCCTCTCTGACCACCCCCAGATGAGCTCCTGTTGGCATTCAGATGTTCCTTCTCTTGTCTCTTTCTCTGCCATGGCATTCGTCTGCTTGTCTCCTCATCTCCCCATCTCCTCATCTGCTTCTGGAGTCTGGGGTTTGGGGTTTACATGGGTACAGGATAGGGGGGTGTGGCAGGCCAAAAGCTAACTTTCTAGGCATGAAAGCAAAAATGCCTGTTCCCTCTTAGGACTGCAGGTCTCCAGGTTTGAGGGTGGGGCCTTTGCCAGGGAAATGAATGCCCTCCTCTGCCCAGTATTTCCCTGTCTCCTGTCCATATCAGTGGTGATAGAGAAAGTAGATTCCATGCTGAGGAGACTGGGACAGTGGATATGGGTGAGGGGTGGAGAGGAGAGAGGGTGGCCATCAGGGAGAGTGGTGGGGTGGAAGAGATTTAGGGCTGAAGAAATGAAGAATACCATTTGGAGCTTTGTTTACTTTGATCTTTCTGTGCAAGAGTAGACACCCAGTTGGCCATTGGAGATGGAAGCCTAGAGTTAGGTACAAGATTTAAGTTGGAGATATAATTTGGGGGTCATCGACATATATATGATACGTGGTTCCAGAATCTCAATCTCCAGGCTTCTTTCAGTTCACTCTCTCAGGCTTGGTGCTCACCCTCCCCAAATCAGGGCATACAGGAACTTCTGAATCTCCTGTAAACCATGCACAGGTCATGAAGAACTAGGAGCACCATCTCAGGCTTTCCCTCAGCCAACAGTACCACCACTACTTTTTTTTTTTTTTTTAACTGTGGCAATTCCACATTGGTAAATGTCTTACTCCAAGGTGGCCTTCTCACAGATACCCTGACAGAAAGGAGTTTCTGCTGACATAGGGAGTAGGATTCTGGGTTCTTTCTCAGGATCATATCCTTCCGTGTTCATGCCTATAAATGGAAATAATGTTCCCTTCCCACCCAAGCATAAATGTTTATTCTATTTTTAAGAGGGTTTTTCTTTTTCTTTCTTTCTTTTTTTTTTTTTTTTTGAGACAGGGTCTTGCGCTGTTGCCCTGGCTGGAGTTTAGTGGTATGAACTTGGCTTACTGCAACCTTAACCTCCTGGGGTCAGGCGATCTCCCACCTCAGCCTCCCAAGTAGGTGGGACCACAGGTGCCTGCCACTACACCTGGCTAATTTTTGAATTTTTTTGTAGAGATGGGGTTTCACCATGCTGCTCAGGCTGGTCTCAAACTCCTGGCCTCAAGCGATCCGCCCACCTTGGCCTCCCAAAATGCTGGGATTATAGGCATGAGCCACTGTGCCTGGCCAAGACTGCTTTTTAAAATAGCTTTATTGACATATATTATATACCATAATATTCACCCTTTTAAGTGTATAATTCAATTAGTTTGAGTAAATATGCAAAGTTCTGTAATCAACACAGTCACTAAGTTGTAGAATATTTCTGTCTTCCCACCAAATTCTTCATGCTTATTTGCAGTTACTCCTTGTTCCTTCCCAAGCCCTAGGCAACCACTAATCTACTCTTTGCTTCCTCAGATTTGCCTTCTCTAGAAATTTCATGCAAATAGAATCATACAATATGTGGTCTTTTGTGTCTGGCTCCTTTTACTGAGCATGATTTTGAATTTCATTGAAGTTGTAGCATATATCACCATCTCATTCCTCTTTTATTGCTGAATTGTATTCCACTGTGTGGATATACCACATTGTGTTTATCCCTTCTCCTGTCGGTGGCCATTTGGGTTGATTCCATGTTTTGGCTATTATGAAGAATGCTGCAAAAATAACATTTTCATTCACCAATGTCACTCAGTTGTTGGAAGAATTACTTAATTTTTAAAATTGTGGGATAAGATGGTATAATTTGGAGTTTTTCCTCTAGTTTCCAATTTCTCAGAAATTTGGTTACACTGTATTTATAGTTTTAAGAATAAATTTCATTCGATTTAAATTTTATCATAAAATAGACCAGGTGTGCAGTGGCTCACGCCTGTAATCCCAGCACGATGGGAGGCCGAGGCAGGTAGATCACTTGAAGTCAGGAGTTACCAGCCTGGCCAACATGGTGAAACCCTATCTCTACTAAAAATACAAAAAATTAGCGGGGTGTAGTGGTGCATGCCTGTAATCTCAGCTACTCGGGAGGCTGAGGCAGGAGAATCACTTGAACCCAGGAACCCAGGAGGTGGAGGTTGCAGTGAGTGGAGATACTGCCACTGCACTCCAGCCTGGGTGACAGAGTGAGGCTCTGTCTCAAAAAAAAAATCTACATCTATATCTATATATAAAAAATATATATAAATATACAGATATTTAAAAAATATATATATATACACTTTTTTTTTTTGCAATGTTTTGCTCTTGTCGCCCAGGCTAGAGTGCAGTGGCACGATCTCAGCTTACTGAAACCTCAGCCTCCCTGGAATTACAGGTGTGTGCCACCACGCCCAACTAATTTTTGTATTTTTAGTAGAGACGGGGGTTTCACTATGTTGGCCAGGCTGGTCTCAAACTCCTGACCTTGTGATCTTCCTACCTTGGCTTCCCAAAGTGCTGGGATTACAGGCGTGAGCCACTGCACCCGGCCCATAAATTTTATCATAAAATAGTTCAGTCGTACACAAAGGCATAAGAAGAATAACAACAAACCCATCATGTAGCCACCACAGATCAAGAAATATTCCTTTTCCAGGAGATAACCACTATCCTGAATTTGTGTTTATCATTCTCAATCATTTATTTGTATGTACTTTTACCAACATGTGCACATTCTTATACAATATACATAAAAATGATGGTGCTATGTACTCCTGTTAGTACTTTAGTACTAACTTATTGTAATTTTCACAGTAACTATAAGATGTGGAAAATATTATCCCCACTTTACAGATAAAAAATTGGAGGCCAGTCGAGGTTAGAGACTTGCCTGGGTCTTACTGATAGTAAATAGTGGGGGCACGTTTGAACCAGGGAAGTCTGACACCAGCACATCTGCATGACTATGCCACACTGTTTCAAATGCTGTTATACTATTATTGGTATTCTTATCCAATCTTCTTTTTCCCTCAGCATTATGTTTTCAAGATTCACCCATGTTAATACATGTAGGCCTAGCTCATTCTTTTTCACTACTGTATGGTATACTCTTCAATAAATAGACCACAATTAATTTGTTCATTCTTCTATTAATAGAAGACACAACCAACAATGTTGTAAGTACATACTTGTATATGTCTCCTTGTGCATATATGCAAGAGTTTCTCTAGGATATATACTTACAGGTACAATTTCTGGGTTACATGTGCATCTTCAAATTAACTAGATATCCCCAAGCATTCTCTAAAATGGTTACCATTTTAGTTTCAGGAAATAAGTTTGTAAAAAATTCTGCTGTCCATAGTTATCATGTATAAAATAATCAGATACTACAATAAAAGAGAAGAAAGTGTAATAAAAGTGACAAAAAATAGAAGCTAAAATAGAATAGCAAAGTAATCAAAATCTGCCATTTATAAATTCTCTCTTTTAAGTGCATGCAACAGAGGTGGAACAGCATTTCTCTACTCTCAACTTTCCCTTCCTTCTAAGCAATATTCAACTCTCAGACCTTCCCTGAAGAGTGTGGATGTGATAGATTACTACAAATATTAAAATCTCTGAATTCAACCTGAATTATCTTAAAGTGGATTTCCCTCACAAGTCCACGTTTTATTTGATCCCCTCCTCTTCAAGCATTGCCATAGGTTCCCTACCAGCTTGAAACTTGCTATTTAATTTTCATTCACAATTATGGAGTATTAATGAGCTGAAATGCTCTGTTTCATATAGAGATGTAAATACAATATACTGATATAGCTATAGACCTCAAGTAAGGTTTCTCAGCAAAGACCCATGATAGGCCAGGCGCAGGGGCTCATGCCTGTAATCCCAGCACTTTGGGAAGCTGAGGCATGCGGATCACTTGAGGTCAGGAGTTCGAGACCAGCCTGGCCAACATGGTGAAACCCCGTCTCTATTAAAAGTACAAAAAATTAGCCAGGCGTAGTGGTTCATGCCTGTAATCTCAGCTACTCGGGAGGCTGAGGTGGAAGAATTGCTTGAACCTGGGAGGTGGAGGTTGCAGTGAGCCAAGATTGCACCACTGTACTCCAGCCTGGGTGACAGAGTGAGACTCCATCTCAAAAAAAAAAAAAAAAAAGGAAAAAGAAAAGAATCATTGGGAAAACTGGAGGAGCAGGTTCAGGAAATGAGCAGGAACTGAAGGGACTAGGCAGTCTGGAACTCAGCCAGAGATACCACCAGAACAGTCTGCTTATCTTGGACACTTGCTCTCACCCCTTGACTCTGTTCTCACTACTGTCACTCCACTGGACGCTGGATATTGCCTCCAGCAACAGAATTAATGCTATACTATCCTGTTCTTGCTTCTTTGTATCAAAACTCTTAAGTCCTGAGCAGGGAACTTCCAAATGGCTGACCTTAGGTCACATGGTATTTCCCTAGCTGTGAGGAGTCTAGGAGAGCAAGTATCTGCTCTTTCTGGCTTCCTTAGTGGGAGGCAGAATCTGTTTTTTGCCAAACATCATGCAATGGGGCCTTCTCTAATGTATTAGTCAGTTCTGGAACTGCTATAAAGAAATACCTGACACTGGGTAATTTATAAAGAAAAGAGCTTTAATTGGCCATGGTTCCGCAGGCTATACAAGAAACATAGTGGCTTCTGCTTCTGGGGAGGCCTCAAGGAGCTTAGAAGCATGGCAGAAGGCAAAGTGGGAGCATGAGTCTTACATGGCAGGAGCAGGACCGAGAGAGAGGGAAAGAGAGAGAGAGAGACAGGAGGTGTTACACACTTCTAAACAAACTGATCTCATGAGAACGCACTCACTGTACAGTACCAAGAAGGATGTTATGAAACCATTCATAAGAACTCTGCCCCATGATCCAGTCATCTCCCCCCGGGCTCCACCTCCAACACTAGGGATTACAATTGAACATGAGACTTGGGTGGGGACACAGATCCAAACCATATCATCCAAAGAAAACATTTATTTGTATCATTAAGTATTAGGCAGCCATACATGTACAGAACGTCATAGAAGTAATACTAGTCTGAAAGAATGATTAGGAGATGGCCAGTATTATCAGTCAGGATAGGATACATTATGCTGCAGTAACAAATGACTGCAACATCTCAGGGGCTTACAGCAATCAAGGTTTATGTCTCATTCATATATATTCCAGATTGCCAATATTTTCATGTTAGGACCCAAGCTGACAAAGCAGCTTCTAGAACATTATTGATCTCATAGCAGGGAAAAAGAAAAACAAACAAAAACCCATAGCAAGTCACATTCTGGCTCGTGAAGTTTCTGCTTGGAAGTGATAAACATAACTTCTGCCCACATACTATTGGTCCAAACAAATTATGTGTCCAAACCTGATTTCTGTTGAGCAGGGAAGTAAGATATTACCCCAGGGATGGGCAATTAATATTTTTGAAAAAGAATATTTTGAATAGAATACTGCCCTAGTCATTATCAGAGAGGGAGGAAAGTTATGCTAGGTAGTGGGAACGAACAATTTAGAGGCAAGAAATAGAATGGTGTTTGGGCAGTAACTACCAGTAGTTGCTATTAATTAAGCATAATGTACAAGGAAGGAGAAAGGAAAAGATGAAGCAGTAATAACAGGTGCGGAATAAGTCAGGACACCCTTGCTTTCAGGAAAAATAGCTTCACCTCCATTCTGTAGGCAGAAGCATCCTTGAGGGTATTTAAAGGGAGCTTGTGGGGCTGGTGATGGCTACATTTGTGCTTTAGACAGATTACTCTGGGAGAAGGATGGACTTGAGGGAGATCTGTTAGGAGGCTATTGTGTTTATTCAGGTTGAAGGATGATGACAGCCTGAACTAGAGAACCTAATAGGCGTGGAGAGGTGGTGACAGAGAGGAAGCGGAGTAGCAGGATTTGTAGATTGATCAGATGTGAAGGGTGAGAAAAAAGGAGGGAGGAAGGATGTTCCAAAGTATCCATCCTCTGCAATCTAATTTCCTTCTCTTTCCTGTCAAATGGTAAGTTTGAATTCCAGCAGCACTGAGGCATCTTATGATTTCAGATCTTTTGTTTCCCTAGACGTGTACAAGACATGTTTTCCCTAGACAAGGCTAAAGGCCCCCAAGAAGATCAGAATGGCTAAATAGCCCCATCACATTCTCATGTAGAAGGAGAGAACTCAGAAGCTAACGTTCTCTCTCAAGTGACGGCCTGATCTCCCTTTTTTATTTACCTCCCCTTTTCATCATATTACTTCTTACTCTGTTTTTTAAGGTGCAATGTTTGGGGCGTGAAAAAGGCACTCACTCTCATACACAGCCCATGAAAGTGCAAATTACAGCAAGCTTTTCGAAAAACAATAAGGCAATATTCTCCAGTAGCTTAACTGTATTCACAGATTTAGGCCAGATAATTCTAGATCTGGCAATTTAACCTAAGAAAGTAATTATCAATGTGGAAAAATGATTTATGTACATAAATGTTTATTTTGGAAATATTTATAATAATAAAAAACTGAAAACAACCTCCATGTAAAAAATTTGTACCTTATGAAATTAGACACATCTATATTTTTATTAATGTTTTAAAAGAATTTTTAAATGGAAGAATGTTTATATTATAATGTTAAGAAAAAAACAAGGCTGAGGTGGAGGATCACTTGGAGCCAGGAGTTTGAGACCAGCAGACAGAGTTTGAGACTCTGTCTCTACAAAAAATATTTAAAAAAATTAGCTAGGCATGGTGGCTTGTACCTACAGTCCCAGCTACACAGGAGGCTGAGGCCAGGAGTTCAAAGAGGCTAAAGTGAGCTCTGATCATGCCACTGCACTCCAGCATTGGTGGAAGAGCGAGACTTTGTCTCTCAAAAAAAAGAAAGAAAAAGAAAAACAGTATAAAGGTTAATACTTATTATAATGTCTAGTTTATTTTATAAAACCATAGCAAAAACTGGAAAAAATTACATCAGGAGGTTGTGATATTATAGGTGATTTTTTGTTTTCTTCATTTTATTTTTCTCAAATTTCTATAATGTAATGATTTCTTTTATAATCAGAAAAAAGGTTACTTTTTTTTCCAACCTTACCCCACACCCACCTGTTATATCAACCCTGAGGTGGTAAAGCAAGGTGGTTGACAAAGCAAAATTGTTAAAAGACAAGTACGGTTCAACTGGACTCCTGGGTAAATTACTAGAAAGAGTGCAGCATCCACCTGAGCTACCCATAGAAGCTTAGCAATTAGTTAGTAGCTGATTAATACTGAATTTAATCCCTGCCAGAATAGGAGAGAAGAGCTGAGCTTTAGACCTTACCCATTAGAGATTAGGATTGGAAGCTAGAGGATAAGGAGCCCACCAGTGAGGCTGAAGTGATAGAAATGGCCTCTCACCTTCTCCTACTCCCTCTATCCTTTAATTAAAACAGCTCTGTCACCTGGGTATCATTCTCCCCACTTTGTGGGCCAGGACCAAGGCTTAACTTCTCATGTTCAATTCTTGAACCCCTTGAATAATTACTAGGACGATAACAAGCATGGCTGGGGAAATATGCTGATCTTTACCTATGACTAATAAGGCCCTTAATAATTTTTTTTTTTTTTTGAGTCGGAGTCTCGCTCTGTCGCCCAGGCTGGAGTGCAGTGGCGGGATCTCGGCTCACTGCAAGCTCCGCCCGCCGGGTTCACGCCATTCTCCTGCCTCAGCCTCCCGAGTAGCTGGGATTACAGGCGCCCACCACCACGCCCGGCTAATTTTCTTTTGTATTTTGAGTAGAGACGAGGTTTCACCGTGTTAGCCACGATGGTCTCGATCTCCAGACCTCGTGATCTGCCTGCCTCGGCCTCCCAAAGTCCTGGGATTACAGGCATGAGCCACTGCGCCCGGCCAACACTTAATAATTCTTAATAAGTCAAAAAAATTAAAGGGAGAGGGAGAAAGATTATATTAGTTATCTCAATGACATCAATGATTAACTAGGCAGTTGGCAAGGTTTTCCTAGTCATGCAATCACATAGAATATAGAGGAAAATGCAGATTCAGGAAAAATTTAGGAGGTAGCATAGTCAGGCCTTGGTGCTTGATCCTATGTGCATACTGCAGGGAAGGCAGGAATCATGAATGACTGGAGATCATTTGGGGTAGGGAGACTGATATCGTGTGCCTGGAAGTTTTAGAGGGGCTGGGGCTGAGGAAGTAAACTGTGGATATCGTGTGGTGGTTTCTGCCAAAGAGATAATTCACTTCATCTGGATATTGATTACCTACAGGGAAAATTAATAGATTAAGGACAATGAAAGACAACTTTCTTACAGAGTAAGGAGAACAAATACAGAAAGAGGAAAGGCTACAATAAACTCTGTGGTTGAGACCATCCTGGCCAACATGGTGAAACCCTGTCACTACTAA
The DNA here is from genome assembly GCF_000001405.40 of Homo sapiens. NCBI lineage: Eukaryota > Metazoa > Chordata > Mammalia > Primates > Hominidae > Homo > Homo sapiens. The sequence goes on along the minus strand of NC_000004.12, from coordinate 48,318,951 downwards.
AAATATAAAAATTGCTGGGCATGGTGGCAAGTGCTTGTAGTCCCAGCTACTTGGGAAGCTGAGACAGGAGAATTGCTTGAACCCAGGAGGCGGAGGTTGCAGTGAGCCGAGATCACACCAGTGTACTCCAGCCTGGCGACAGAGTGAGACTCCATCTCAAAAACAAAACAAAACTCTGTGGTATATGATTAGAATTATAGATACTTCTGTGAGCTCATAGTGGTGTTAATATGCAGATATAGAGGTTGAAATATATATAGGAATGGATATATATGTATTCTCTGGCTGTGTTTGGTAAGAGGGTCTGTGAACAGTGGCATCTTTGTAGCGATAAGCACACTTAGTACCCAGATCTTGGTTTTTTGTTTTGTTTTTTTTTTTTTTTTTTGAGACGGAGTCTCGCTCTGTCGCCCAGGCCGGACTGCGGACTGCAGTGGCGCAATCTCGGCTCACTGCAAGCTCCGCTTCCCGGGTTCACGCCTTTCTCCTGCCTCAGCCTCCCAAGTAGCTGGGACCACAGGCGCCCGCCACCGCGCCCGGCTAATTTTTTGTATTTTTAGTAGAGACGGGGTTTCACCTTGTTAGCCAGGATGGTCTCGATCTCCTGACCTCATGATCCACCCGCCTCGGCCTCCCAAAGTGCTGGGATTACAGGCGTGAGTCACCGCAGATCTTGGTTTTTAAATACCTTACTAAAAGGAACCAAGGCTCATGGAGAAGTCACCAGTTTCAGGACTGTGCAGACAAAAGTATAAGCTGAGTGTGAAACATCTTGCACCAGAAAATAAGAAAGCTCTCAAAGTAGATTTGAACCACATTAAAGGACAAAGGATTCAAACTGAAGGGGATCCCACTTGCCAAATACAAAACAATTTGAGCATCAAAATAAATAACGTTAGTAACATATTATAAGCCATTGAATAAAATAGAATCCATGAACCTATACTGATACAAAGAAATGAATAAATAAATGGAAAGCTCTTCTTTACAAGTTAAGCCAAATAGTTAATGTAGGAGAAATAATAGGCTGGGCATAGTGGCTCACGCCTGTAATCCCAGCACTTTGGGAGGCCGAGGCGGGCAGATCACCTGAGGTCAGGAGTTCGAGACCAGCCTGGTCAACATAGTGAAACCCCGTCTCTACTAAAAATATCAAAAATTAGCCGGGTGTGGTGGCGAATGCCTGTAATCCCAGCTACTCAGGAGGCTGAGACAGGAGAATTGCTTGAACACGGAAGGTGGTTTCAGTGAGCCTAGATCGAGTCATTGCACTCTAGCCTAGGCAACAAGAGCAAAACTCCGTCTCAAAAAAAAAAGAAATAATGGAATTAGAGAATCACCATTTGATAACAACCATACTAAAATAGGAGGCCAAAATAATGAGTGAAAGTTTGATGAGAGAAAAGATACTTAACATAGTCTCAAAGTATCTCCCCATAAAATGCTTTTTAATTATTTAATAATAGCATTAATAATAATAATAAATAAACATATTTATTTATAAGACTAACAGTGGACAAACAAAATGATAAAGGTTAATTTACCAGTAATAGGACAAACTGACATTGTGCACCTCCTAATATGATGCACTAACACAGTATCACTTGTGATAGTCCTGCCCTGCAAAATCATAACTTTAATCATGAAAAAATATCAGACAAACCCAAATTGAAGGTAGTATAAATATCTGGCCTTTAAAAATGTCAAGATAATAAAAGACAAGGAAAGCCTGAGGAACTGTCTAGATTGAAGAAGATATGTACATGACAACTAAATGCTGTGGATAATCCTGGGTTGAGTCCTGGAACAAAAAGGAAAAGGGGAAAGGGAAAGAAGTTTTTAAACAATTGTGGGTTTTTTGTTTCTTATTTTGTTTTGTTGTATGTTTGCTATAATGGATACTATTGGGATAACTGGTAAAATTTGAAAGGGGTCTGTACATTAGATAGCACTATATCCATGTTAATTTTCTGATTTTGATGGGTATGCTGTGGTTTTATAGAATAGTGTCTGTGTTTATAAGGCCAGTGGGGCATTATGTCTGCAACTCACTATTAAAAGGTTTAGAAATGTATATATATGTATAATATATATAAACTATATATCATATATTATATAATAAATACATAAATTAATATATAAATTATACAATATATCTATAAATTATATACATATCTATAAATTATATAATATATAAAATATATATAATATATAAAAGTATATAAAATAATATATATGGCATATATAAATTATATACATATGATTTAGAGAGAGAGAGAGAGAATGGTAAATCGTAATAAGTGGTGAACCTGGGGCCTAGATGAAGTGTATGAAGGATTTTCTTGTACCATATTTTATAATTTCAAAGTTATCTTAAAAAAGTTAAATAGAGAGCACAGATATTATGTGAAATAATTAAAAATAATAAGACTGTATTGAAAAATATATTCTTCAGAAAAATACCCTCGACACAGTATAGAGACAGATATTGTTAAGGAACTGAATAATGTAAGTGGCTAGGGCAAGCAGCAACTCTCAGAGATGTGTCCCCAGGGGCAACATAGTTCCGCAGCAGATACGGCTTTTGGGATCCCAGTGACAACATTCTGGTGAGGCTCTAGTCCCTAGTGCCCAGTCCGTTCCTCCAGTGATCCATCAGAAGTAAAAAGAGGAATGCAGCAATGTAACAGAAAACAATACAACAAACTACTCAAAAGCCAATAAGCACCATCTAGTGGCAAGGAGGTGATTTTCCCCATTTTGTGTGTGTTGTCAAATTCAAACTGCGTGGGCCAATTTGCATTCCTGGCAGCAGATTGTGAGAGTTTCCAGGGTTCTACATCTTCACTAAGCTTGCTAAGGTCAGACTCACTTTCTCATTTTAGCGAGTACAGAATAGTATTTCCTACAAACTGACAGTAAGATTTAGAGGTTTGTTTTTGATTCAGTTTTTAAGATTTATTTATTTAGGCAAGGATACTCTATATATGATGCTCTATACTTCCTATTGTATCACAGCAAGAGGCACGTAATGTCTGGTTATCCATCAATTAAATGTGGTTCAAATGTGGTTGACCTGATTCATCAATAGATATAGTATTAAGGATCCTTATCTATCTTTCACCTAATGGTTTTAGAAACCACTGATGATTTTTACTTAGATTCATCATTTTGTAAAATATTTCAAAAATAGTCATTTTCTAATTTATCATTCTTTCTGCATTTATTAACTGTAATTGTTCTATAAAGAACTTTCCCTCATCAACCACTAGGTACCTTGAAGTCCAGCCCACATAAGAAAAGCAGGGTAAGTGATAACTTACATTTATCGATTTTTAGCATAATGATTTGGTGTCTTAGTGTGTTGTGTGTTGCTATAAAGGAATATCTGAGGCTGAGAAATTTATAATGAAACGAGGTTTGCTTAGCTCACGATTCTGCAGACTGTACAAGAAGTACAGTACAGGCATCTGCATCGGGTGAGGGCCTTAGGCTTCCATCCATGGTAGAAGGTGAAGGAAACCTGGCGTGTACAGAGCTCCATGGTGAGAGAGGAAGCAAGAGAGAAACAGAGGAGATGCCAGGCTCCTTTTAACAACAGGCTCTCATGAGAACTTACTGAGTAAGAACTCACTCCTGGGAGAGGGCATTAAACTATTCATGAGGGATCTGCCCCTGTGATCCAAACACCTCTCATTGGGCCCCGCTTCCAACATAGGGTATCCAATTTCAACATGAGATTTAGAGAGAACAGTATTCCAAACTATAGCAGTTGGTATCCTGGCAATTGGTGAATGAAGACGATTTTTTAAAAAGACTTATTAAGGACTCTGAGATTTTTACACTTATGATTTCTATTCATTGTAGTCTTTATTCCTTTTCTCTTTTTTAAAAAATTAATATTATTGGAATTATAATTTAAATGCAATAAAATGCACTCATTTAGAAACTGTGCAATTGACATCAAAGAGCTTATCCACCATGATCAAGTGGGCTTCATCCTTGGAATGCAAGGCTGGTTCAACATATGCAAATCAATAAATGTAATCCAGCATATAAACAGAACCAACAACAAAAAAACCACATGATTATCTCAATAGATGCAGAAAAGGCCTTTGACAAAATTCAACAACCTTCATGCTAAAAACTCTCAATAAATTAGGTATTGATGGGATGTATCTCAAAATAATAAGAGCTATCTATGACAAACCCACAGCCAATATCATACTGAATGGGCAAAACCTGGAAGCATTCCCTTTGAAAACTGGCACAAGACAGGGATGCCCTCTCTCACCACTCCTATTCAACATAGTGTTGGAAGTTCTGGCCAGGGCTATCAGGCAGGAGAAGGAAATAAAGGGTATTCAATTAGGAAGAGAGGAAGTCAAATTGTCCCTGTTTGCAGATGACATGAATTGTGTATCTAGAAAACCCCATCGTCTCAGCCCAAACTCTCCTTAAGCTGATAGGCAACTTCAGCAAAGTCTCAGGATACAAAATCAATGTGCAAAAATCACAAGCATTCTTATACACCAATAACAGACAAACAGAGAGCCAAATCATGAGTGAACTCCCATTCACAATTGCTTCAAAGAGAATAAAATACCTAGGAATCCAACTTACAAGGGACATGAAGGACCTCTTCAAGGAGAACTACAAACCACTGCTCAATGAAATAAAAGAGGATACAAAGAAATGGAAGAACATTCCATGCTCATGGGTAGGAAGAATCAATATCATGAAAATGGCCATACTGCCCAAGGTAATTTATAGATTCAATGCCATCCCCATCAAGCCACCAATGACTTTCTTCACAGAATTGGAAAAAACTACTTTAAAGTTCATATGGAACCAAAAAGAACCCACATTGCCAAGTCAATCCTAAGCCAAAAGAACAAAGCTGGAGGCATCATGCTACCTGACTTCAAACTATACTACAAGGCTACAGTAACCAAAACAGCATGGTACTGGTACCAAAACAGAGATATAGACCAATGGAACAGAACAGAGCCCTCAGAAATAATGCTGCGTGTCTACAACTATCTGATCTTTGACAAACCTGACAAAAACAAGAAATCGGGCAAGGATTCCCTATTTAATAAATGGTGCTGGAAAAACTGGCTAGCCATATGTAGAAAGCTGAAACTGGATCCCTTCCTTATACCTTATACAAAAATTAATTCAAGATGGATTAAAGACTTAAATGTTAGACCTAAAACCATAAAAACCCTAGAAGAAAACCTAGGCAAGACCATTCAGGACATACGCCTGGGCAAGGACTTCATGTCTAAAACACCAAAAGCAATGGCAACAAAAGCCAAAATTGACAAATGGGATCTAATGAAACTAAAGAGCTTCTGCACAGCAAAAGAAACTACCATCAGGGTCAACAGGCAACCTACAGAATGGGAGAAAATTTTTGCAATCTACTCATCTGACAAAGGGCTATTATCCAGAATCTACAATGAACTCAAACAAATTTACAAGAAAAAAACAACCCCATCAAAAAGTGGGCGAAGGATATGAACAGACACGTCTCAAAAGAAGACATTTATGTAGCCAAAAGACACATGAAAAAATGCTCTTCATCACTGGACATCAGAGAAATGCAAATCAAAACCACAATGAGATACCATCTCACACCAGTTAGAATGGCTATCATTAAAAAGTCAGGAAAAAACAGGTGCTGGAGAGGATGTGGAGAAATAGGAACACTTTTACGCGGTTGATGGGACTGTAAATTAGTTCAACCATTGTGGAAGTCAGTGTGGCGATTCCTCAGGGATCTAGAACTAGAAACACCATTTGACCCAGCAATTCCATTACTGGGTATATACACAAAGGATTATAAAACATGCTGCTATAAAGACACATGCACATGTATGTTTATTGCGGCACTATTCACAATAGCAAAGACTTGGAACCAACCCAAATGTCCAACAATGATAGACTGGATTAAGAAAATGTGGCACATATACACCATGGAATACTATGCAGCCATAAAAAATGATGAGTTCATGTCCTTTGTAGGGACATGGATGAAGCTGGAAACCATCATTCTCAGCAAACTACCGCAAGGACAAAAAACCAAACACCGCATGTTCTCACTCATAGGTGGGAATTGAACAATGAGAACACATGGACACAGGAAGGGGAACATCACACACCGGGGCCTGTTGTGGGGTGGGGGGAGTGGGAAGGGATAGCATTAGGCGATATACCTAATGTGAAATGAAGAGTTAATGGGTGCAGCACACCAACATGGCACATTTATACATATGTAACAAACCTGCATGTTGTGCACATGTACCCTAAAACTTAAAGTATAATAATAAAAAAAAAGAAACTGTGCAATTGAATGAATTTTGAAAAATGCATATGCCTGTATAACTACCCCCACAATCAGAATAGAGAAAATTTCTTTTTTTTTTTTGAGACGGAGTCTTGCTCTGTTGCCAGGCGGGAGTGCAGTGGTGTAATCTCGCTCACTGCAACTTCTGCCTCTAGGGTTCAAGCGATTCTCCTGCCTCAACCTCCTGAGAAGTCGGTATTACAGGTGCCTGCCACCATGCCCAGCTAATTTTTGTATTTTTGGTAGAGATGGGGTTTCACCATACTGGTCAGGCTGGTCTTGAACTCCTGACCTCAAGTGATCCACCTGCCTCGGCCTTCCAAAGTGCTGGGATTATAGGCGTGAGCCACTTTGCCTGGCCTAGAATATAGAATATTTCTATCACCCCCAAAAATTCCTTTCAGCCCCTCTGCAGTGAGTCTTACTCCCACTCCATCCCTAGCCCTAGGCAACCATTAATCTGCTTCCTGTCACTATAGAGTAGGTTTTTCTAGGAATTCCTAAAAGTAGAATCATGTCTCTGGATTCTTTTACTCAGTTGCATCATATAGTAAGTGTTCTGTTATTCTCTTTTGATGCTCAAATTGTTGCCATTTTTGGCGAGTGGAGCATTTTTAGTTTGACTCTTTCATTATTTTGATATGACCCCAGTAGTCTCTGATAGCTTTCTGTCTTTCAGGCACAGCAAGTGGTCTCAGGCTCAGGATGTATATTTCCTATTCTATATGAAATCAGCCAGTTCTTCAAAGGCCTTGCTTGCTTCCTTGGTCTTTGAAGACTATAATCTGAGCACTAGGGATGATCATTGCTACTAAGTTGTTATTACTTCCAGAACTTTCCAGTGGATAGAACTGGGAAATAACTATTTTCTAGAAGGAGAAAAGTAAATAATGAGTTCGTACTGATATTTTCTATTTAAATTAAAGATTAGAACTTTAACCTACTTTGTAATATTTTGCCTTTGTTCTCTTAAGCTAAAAATCTTGGTTTTTAATAACATTAACATGTATTTGTCTTTTCCTACCATATAAATAATGTATATTTGCTATATGTAGCTATTTATTTGTTTATTTTTTATTTTAGAGATAGGGTCTTCCTATGTTGCCCAGGGTAGAGTGCTTGCTATATTGCCCACTGCAGCCTCAAACTCATGGCCTCAAGCAATCTGCCTCAACCTCCTGAGTAGCTGGGGCTACAGGTGCAGCTACCACACCCAGCATCATAGGTATTTTTAAAATAACAGTTTCAAAATAGCAACCCCAATATTGTAAGTAACAATAAAATGACTAAATACAGGTTACACTTCTTTGTGATGTTTTAGTCTTTAGGATATATCTCACAAAAGAATGAAAGCCAAAATATTCCTTTTGCAGTCATTAGACAGAGCTCTTCTCTATTTGGTCTTGCCACCAACTTACTGTAGAGCTAAGTTCACTTGTCTCAATTTGGTTTAGATTTTTAGGGATTGCTTTTTTCTTTTATTTTCTTCTTAAAGTAATTGGTTTTTGAAGTTATTTAATAGTCACATTTACATGTTTTGAAAGTCAAAACCATATGACAGATTTCATCTGAGAAGGTTTATTTCCAGTCTGTGTCCCCTGCCTTTCTTTTTCGTTAACAGATTTATTTTTTAAAACAGCTTTAGGTTTACAGAAAACCTGCCTCTTTTTCCCTATTATTAATGTCCTGCATTATTGTGGTATATTTATTACAATTGATAGCCAACATTGGTACAGTTATTAACTAAAGACCATGGTTTATATTAAGGTTTGTTGTTTTGTGTTGCACATTCTGTGGGTTTTGAAAAATGTCTAATGACATATCCACCGTTACAATAACATACAGAGTAATTTCACTGCCCTAAAAATCCCTTATGTTCCAATATTCATCCCTCCCTTCTTTCCCCAAAACCCTGGCAACCACTGACCTTTTCCTGTATCCATAATTTTGCTTTTTATTGAATGTCATACATAATAGTCCCCCTTTATCCTCAAGGGATATGTTACAAGACCGACAGTAGGTGCCTGAAACTATGGATAGCATAGAACCCTACACATACATACTTATAAGGTTTACTTATAAATTATGTGCAGTAAGAAATTAACAACAATAACTAATAATAAAATAGAACAATTATAACAATATACTGTAATAAAAGTTATGTAAATATGCTTTCTCTCTCAAAATATCTAATTGTACTGTACTCACTCTTCTTGTACATGTTGATTTGATAACAGAGACAGCTATTAAGTAACTAATGTATCTGGTAATATATAGAGCATGGATGCACTGGACAAAGGAATGTTTCAGGTTCAGGGCAGGATGGAGCAGGATAGCACAAAATTTCATCATGCTACTCAGAAGAGTGTGCAATTTAAACCTTATGAATTAGTTATTTCTGAAACTTTCCATGTAATATTTTCAGGCCTTGGTTAACTGCAGAAAGCAAAACTGTGGATAAGGGTGGATTATTACAGTTATAATTATCTACTGAGACTGTTTTTTTCACTTAGCAGTATGCGTTTAAGTTTCCTCCATGTCTTTAAGTGGCTTGATAGCTCATTCCTTTTTAGTTCTGCATAATACTCTGCCGTAAAGATGTACCACAGGTTGTTCATCCATTCACCTACTGAAGGACATTGTCTGCTTCCAAGATTTGGCAATTATGAATAAAGCTGCTGTAAAAAATAACATACAGCATTTTGTGTGGATGTAAGTTTTCAACTCATTTGGACAAATACGAAGGAGTATGATTGCTGGATCATACAGTAAGAGTATGCTTGGTTTTGTAGGAAGCTGCCAAACTGTCTTCCTATGTGGTTTTACCATTTTGCATTTCCACCAGCAATGAATGAGAGTTCCTGTTGTCCACATCCTCACAAGCATTTAGTGCTGTCAGTGTTTTGAATTTTAGCCATTCTAATATATGTGTAGTGGTATCTCATTTTAATTTGCAATTCCCTAATGACGTATGAGGTTGAACATCTTTTCTTATGTGTATTTGTCATCCTCTGATTCCTGTTTTTTCCTTCCGTTATAAGTAATCATTTTTTTATCGGCTTTTGGTTTATCCTTCTATTATCACTTTTAAAAAATGCTTATTCCACACACACTCACACACATACACTTATAGTCCCTCTTTCTTAAACAAAAGGTAGCATGCTATACGCAATTCACAGCATCTTATAAACTATTTTTTATAGTGGAATAGTACTTCATCATTATTTCTTCAACCAGTCCTTTATTGATGAACATTTGGATTGTTTGCAATCTTTTGCTATTACAAATAGTACTACAATGAATAAGTTTGTATATACATCATTTCATATTTCTGCCTATATATCTCTGAGATAGATTTAGAAAGGTGATTGTGGTGTCCAGGATTAAATGCATATGTAATTTTGCTAGATATTGCCAAATTCCCATCATACTGTTTTTGCATTCCTGCCAACAATATGTGAAAGTGCCTATTTCCCTGCAGAGTTGGTAATAAGGCATTTTGTCAGACTCAAGGATTTTTGCCAACATGGTAGATAACAAACTGTAATGTTCTGTATTTTAGCTGGATGGTGGGTACGCGGAAGTTTGTTCTATTCTTAATTATACATTTTTCATGTAACTAAAATACTTCATAAAATAAGCTAACATAAGGAATTGCTCTTAAAGAAGAGCAGTTTTCTATTTTGGCTTTAGAAGAAATATATCATTTTTACGGATAACTTAACTATTGACTGAAATCTCGAATGATCCACAACTAGACTTGAAAAGAATTTCAGAGACAAGAGATTCTGACCCTATCATATAACAAATTCAGGCTCTAGGGCTCAAAGAAGCCAAGTAATTAGCTTGAAGTTACATAGTTAATGAGAAACAAGCTTGCCTTTTAACTATAAGGCATTGCAGTCAATATATAAAATTTATGGAGAACATTATCCAAAAAACTGGGATGTGTAACACTCATCTTCATAACAATTCCACCACATTTAATGATACAGGAAATAGAATGCATTGCATCAAGGTCAAGGTATTGGACTGATTGCCACTGTGTTTCTAAGTGCAATTCTGAAAGCTGGTATAAGCTATAAAACTCATATTGTTTGGTTATGACAGCCTTATTAATCATCTTTCTCCTTTTTCAGCTTTTCAGTAGAATAGATCAGCTACTGAGCTCCCACCAACAGTCCTCAAATTTAGTTTATGAAATCTGTAACATATTCAGGACCTATATATATTAGAAATTCTCTGTCAATGTTACTATGAGAGTTGTTTGTAATTTTTGAGAGCAAAGTCTGAAGAACCGTCTTTTAGAACTGGATCATTCTTACAGAGGGGCAAAGTGAGACTAATGTTTTCACAGTTTTAATCTTGTTATATGGTGTCGATACTTTAAGTATTTTATATTAAATTTGCATTCTGAGGCTTCTCAATAAAAGCAACATGGAACGAATTACTCAAAATCACCAATTATCCAATGATGTCATTCTTAGGAAAATAAAAATAATTTTGTGACACAGAGTCCAATCTAGTCCAGGATCACTTATTGCATTTAGCTGCCATGTCACTCTTGTATTCTTTCATCTGGGATAACTCCTCTGGCTTTCTTTGTCTTTCATGAGTTTGACATTTTTGAAGCATATGGACCAGTTACTTTGTAGAATGTTCCTTAGTTTAGGTTTGTTTGATGTCACCTCATGCTTAGATTCGGGTTATGCATTTGGGTTAGGGTTAGCACAGAAGTGATGCTGTAATCTCAGTGTGTTGTGTCATACACACATCAGTTCACATAATATTGGTTTGTCTCAGTAGTCATGATGCTACTTTGGTTAAAGTGATGTCTGCCTGTTTTCTCCACTCTAAAGTTGCTATTTTTCCCTTTAAAGTTAAAAAGTAATTTGTGGTGAGATACTTCGGGGCTATATATCCTGTTTCCCGTTGAACATTTGCCCACCAGTTTCAGCACCCATTAATGATTCTTGACTGAACCAGTTGCTACTGCGATGGTTACCCATGGTACAAAGACATTCTTTAGTTTGGGATTTCTTAAATTATATTGGTTTGCATTTTCATCGAGTGTATACAATGTCAGAGAAAATCAAACAAATAAATCAGCAACCCAAAGAAGGAAATAAAAGGCCAGGCACGGTGGCTCATCCCTGTAATCCCAGCACTTTGGGAGGTTGAGGAGGGCTGATCACTTGAGGTCAGGAGTTCAAGCCAGTCTGGCCAACATGGTGAAACCTGTCTCTACTAAAATAAAAATAAAAATTAGCTGGGCGTGGTGGCACACGCCTGTGGTCCCAGCTACTTGGGAGGCTGAGGCAGGAGAATTGCTTGAACCTGGCTGAGATCACGCCATTGCGCTCCAGCCTGTCTCAAAACAAACAAACAAACAAACAAAAAACACAAGAAGCAAATATAATAAAAAATTTGAATAAATGACAGAAACTGATTTGAAGTATGAATGACTTGCTCACTTGCCTAAATCTGTCTTTTGACTTGTAAATGTAAGGTCAATGAAAGCTTGGAAAACCTTTTAAAATTTAATCATCACACTGTCATGGGAGATAAGTAGAAAACAGTTCTGCTCCCCACCAAGATAAGTTTAAAAACAGACATTCTTTCGGGCTTAATTGGAGCTGTTACATCAAGTACTTGTCATGGGGGCAAAATTAACTATTAATGAACTTGAGCCTTTTCAGATGGCTTCAATATGCCTTGCTTTTGTATTTCTCAAAACAATTTGAGTGTTTTTCTTATTAATAACTTAAATAAAAAATTAATTTAATCATTAAATATTTCCAGTATACAGTAAATAATATTAGACAACTATTTACCTACCATCTGAATTTAAATGATATTTACATTTTGCCATCTTCAGAATGTTTTTCTCTAAATAAATAAAATAATATAGATACATAATATTATGGATATAACTAAAACCATACTTCTATCTCTTTGCTTTATCTCCCCAGGGTTAGCCATTTCCTGTCAATAATGTATCATTGCCATGCATGAGTTTATGTTTTGGACACACATACACACACACACACACACACACACACACACACACACACTCTATATATAGATACTGTATATATGCTCTCTCTATACATACTGTGTGTGTATATATATACATTTTACATAGGCTGGGCATGGTGGCTCACGCCTGTAATCCCAGCACTTTGGGAGGCTGAGGCGGGGAGATCACTTGCGGTCAACAGTTCGAGACCAGCCTGGCCAACATGGCGAAACCCCGTCTCTACTAAAAATACAAAATTAGCCAGGCGTGGTGGTGTGTGCCTGTAATCCCAGCTACTCAGCAGGCTGAGGCAGGAGAATTGCTTGAACGTGGGAGGCAGAAGTTGCAGTGAGCTGAGATGGCGCCACTGCACTCGAGCCTGGGAAACAAAGTGAGACTGTCTGAAAAAAAAAAAATTCAAAAAAATAAATCACAATAGGATACATTCAATTTGATATAATTTGTGTATAATTTTATATGCCCAAAATAATGTTTGTATATATTGTATCATATTGATTGTATCCTACTGTGATTTACTTTCATTTTTACTTAATATTTTTGGAATTGATCCACTGTATACATGTACTTATGATTTACTTGTTTTAACTACTATATGAAAACCTACTGTATGAATACTTACATACTGTTTATTTCCCAACCAATGAAGAATTAGACTGTTTTTATTTTCCTTATTTCTGCCTCAAACGGTGAGGTAATAAATATTCTTATATTATACATTCTTCCTTGTGCATATGTAGGCAAGTTTCTCTGGACTAAAAAACCTGAGTCTTGGTGTAAGGACATTTTCAGCTTTACTAGGTAGTATCGAATTGTTTTCCAATGGTTGTACCTATTTATATGTCTATCAGCAGCTCACATCCTTCTGTGCTTGGCGTTATCAGACTTTCTACTTTGTTAACAACTAGAAGAATGTGAACTTTTTTCTTCTTATTGCTTAAATTTGCATTTCTTAATTTGTAGTAGACAGAGCTTCTGTTGATATGTTTTTACTTCTGGATTTTCTCTCTTATATACCTGTTTATGTCCTTTGCCCATTTTTATTGGGTCATTTGTCATTTTCTCATTCATCTGTAAGCATTATTTATGGTGAATTTTAATGTTTTGTTCTGTACCTTGTGAACATTTTCTCCTACCTGTTACTTGATCTCTTTGTTTATAGTGCTTTTGGTAAGTAGAAGTTTTAAATTTAATATAACTAAAATTACTAACCATATAGTTTAATTTTTGTGTGTCTTGAAGATGAGACAAGCAGCATTAGAGATTACCTGGACGAGACCTATTTGGCTATGCTACTTATTCCCTAGTTCTATATCACTACCAATGCCTATGGTAGCAGAAGAAATTGAGACAAATTCTTAGAGTTTGAACATAGATGGAAATCTTAAGACTGACTACAAGAGGCTGCAGTTTAGGCAAATGTTTTCCCTGAGCTAACTGGAGAAACTTCAGAACAACTCACAGTTTTAGTATCTGTTTTTGTTTTGTTTTATTTGGGGAGGGCAAGGGTTGAATGAGGTAGATGGGCTTTTGTTGCTTAACAATGATCATAATTTACTTTATTCTTAGAAGAAATGTGTGTTTAATGGAAAAGGGAAGTATTAATAATGGAATATGCTACTCTTTAGTAATAAGAAGAAATTAACAAAAAAGACACTAAGTCTTGAATCACACGACTCAATAGGAATACCCAGAATATTTCTCATAACAGCCTGCTAGTTGTGTGAATGACAGCTGGGATTTATAACACCTGATGCCTCACACTTTGCCATATGTTAAAAAATTTCTTTCCTGGAAGGATTAGATGGCTGGCCACTTTTCTTATCCAAAATGAAATAGCTCGTACCCAACGCCACCTTGCTGAATACTTGAATAATAGGATATATACAAAGTTGATACAATACCCATCTTGCTTCCAAATTAATTCTTTAAATTTATAGAATTAAAGCCAAATTTATATTCAAAGAATTATTTTGGCTTTAAAGCAGTTTGCATAATAGGTTTGCAAAAACCTATTAATTATTACTAATACTAAAAATTATACCCTTACTTTACTGATGCTCCATGGATAGAGGGCTAACTTCCGGCTAGGTGAGGCAGACAGAAACTTGTATCAAGTGATCACTTCCTTTAATGCTTTCTTTTTCATGTTTATATGTGAAGCTTTCTTCATTTTTCATGATAATCTCTAACATGGATTAAGGACTGTTTTTATTCTTAAACGATTATATTTTTATTTCTTATATAAGAGTATGACTTTAAATTTAGTATAATTGTTACAAAAAAGAGTTTTTTTAAAAAAGCTTTGAAAATCTTATCACAGTAAATATATATACTATTGTAGAAAATGTAAAAAAACAAAAACCATAAATATAAAAATTTATAAAGATATCCAGAAGTAACAACTATTAGTATTTTAGAACATGACTTGTCTTTTTTCTATGCATGCAGCAATTCATTTTAACCAAAGATGAGATCATACAGTCCATCGATTTTATAAATTTATTTTTCGTTATAACATTTTGCTATATTGCTAAATATTTCTTTAAAACATGCATAATATTTAATCACAGAGTTGGGGCATAACGTACATAAATATTCCCAATCATTTCCGATTTTTTATGTTAAACATTTTAACATTGATGAAATCATTCTTAATAACTTTTTACACATGTCCCTAAATATTTCCATAAAATACAGTTCCAGAAATGGAATTGTTTGATCAAATGGTACACAAACTTTTAAGGTTTTTGCTATTTACTACAAAATTTCCCTTGATAAAGCTTTTATAATGTATGCACCTAAGAGCCTTTTAACTCTAATTTGTATTCATTTAAAAAATTCTGTGGGTACATAGTAGGTATATATATTTATAAGGCATATGGGATCTTTGATACGGGCATACAATGTGTAATAATTACGTCAGGGTAAATGAAGTATCCATCACCTCAAGTATTTATCCTTTTTGTTACAAACAATGCAATTATACTCTTTTAGTTATCTTAACATGTACAATTAAATTATTATTATTAACTATAGTCACCCTGTTGTGCTATTAAATACTAGATCTTATTCATTTTTTCTAACTATTTTTTTGTACCTACTAACCATCCCCACTCTACCGCGCAATCCCCCACCCCAACCCCACTACCCTTCCCAGCCTCTGGTAAGCATCATTATCTCCATGAGTTCAATTGTTTTAATTGTTAGCTCCCACAAATAAATTAGAACATGTGAAGTTTGTCTTTCAGTGCCTGCCTTATTTCACTTAACATGACCTCCAGTTCCATCCATGTTGTTGCAAATTACAGGATCTCATTCTTTTTTATGGCTACATAGTACTCTGTTGTTTTTAAGTACCACATTTCCTTTTTTTGTTTTTTGAGATGGAGTCTCGCTCTGTCGCCCAGGCTAGAGTGCAGTGGCACGATCTCGGCTCACTGCAAGCTCCGACTCCCGGGTTCACGCCATTCTCCTGCCTCAGCCTCCCGAGTAGCTGGGACTACAGGCCCCTGCCACCACGCCCAGCTAATTTTTTGTACTTTTAGTAGAGACGAGGTTTCACCGTGTTAGCCAGGATGGTCTCGATCTCCTGACCTCGTGATCCGCCCACCTCCGCCTCCCAAAGTGCTGGGATTACAGGCGTGAGCCACCGTGCCCAGCTACACATTTTCTTTATCCATTCATCTGTTGATGGACACTTAAGTTGTATCCTAATCTCAGCTATTGTGAACAGTGCTGCAATAAACATGGGAGTGCAGATATCTCTTCAATATACTGATTTCCTTTCTTTTGGATAGATACCCAGCAGTGGGATTGCTGTATCATGTGGTAGCTCTTATTTTTAGTTTTTACAGGAACCATCAAACTGTTCTTTATAGTGGTTGTACTAATTTACCTTCCCACCAACAGTGTACGAGGGTTCCCTTTTCACTACATCCTTGCCAGCATTTGTTGTTGCCTATCTTTTGGATAAAAGCCATTTTAACTGGGATGTGATGATACCTCATTACAGTTTTGATTTGCATTTGTTGAGCATCTTTTCATATACCTATTTGCCATTTGTATATTTTCTTTGGAGAAATGTCTATTCAGATATTTTGCCCATTTTAAAATCAGATCATTAGATTTTTTTCCTATAGAATTATTTGAGCTGCTTATATATTCTAGTTATTAATCCTTTGTCAGATGGGTAGTTTGCAAATATTTTCTCCCATTCTATGAATTGTCCCTTCACTTTGTTGATTGTTTCCTTTTTCCTTTGCTGTTCAGAAGCTTTTTAACTTAATGTGATGCTATTTGTCCATTTTTGCTTTGGTTGCCTGTGCTTGTGGGGTATTACCCAAGAAATCTGTGCCCAGTCCAATGTCCTGGAGAGTTCCTCCAATGTTTTCTTGTAGTAGTTTCATAGTTTGAGGTCTTAGATGTAAGTCTTTAATCCACTTTGATTTTTGTATATGACGACAGATAGGGGTTGTGATGATTAATACTGAATGTCAACTTGATTGGATTGAAAGATACAAAGTATTGATCCTGGGTGTGTCTGTGAGGATGTTGTTAAAGGAGATTAACATTTGAGTCAGTGGGCTGGGAAAGGCAGACCCACCCTTAATCTGGGTGGGCACAATCTAACCAATTGCCAGTGCAGCTAGAATATAAGCAGGCAGAAAAAAATGTGAAAACAGAGACTGGCCTAGCCTCCAGCCTACATCTTTCATGCTGGATGCCTCCTGCCCTCGAACATTGGACTCCGAGTTCTTTAGTTTTGGAACTCGGACTGGCTCTCCTTGCTCCTCAGCCTGCAGACAGCCTATTGTGGGACCTTGTGATCATGTGAGTTAATACTTAATAAACTCCCCTTTTGTATATATATATCTATTCCATTAATTCTGTCCCTCTAGAGAACTCTGACCAATACAGGGGTCTAGTTTCATTCTTCTGCATAGGGATATCCTCTCATTTTTACTATTACAGGTAAGATTTTAGATTTATTGACTGTACTTTGTAGACCAGCATTCCCTAGTCTTTTTGGCACCAGGGACTGGTTTCATGGAAGACAACTTTTCCACGGATTTGGGAGGATGAAAGGGGATAGTTTCAGGATGATTCTAGCACATTACATTTATTGTGTACTTTATTTCTACTATCATTACTTTGTAATATATAATTAAATAATTATACAACTCACCATAATGTAGAATCAATGGGAACCCTGAGCTTGTTTTCTTGCAACTAGATGGTCCATCTGGGGGTGATGGGGGTCAGTGACAGATCATCAGGCATTACAGTCTCATACGGGCAACCTAGATCCCTCACATGCATGGTTCACAATAGGGTTCACACCCCTATGAGAATCTAATGCCACCAATGATCTGACAGGAGGTGGGGCTCAGGCAGCAATGCTTACCCACTGCTCACCTCCTGCTGTGTGGCCAGGTTCCTAACGGGCCATAGACTGGTACCAGTCTGGCTGGGGGATTGGGGACTCCTGTTGTAGACAATGCATATCAAGCTTATTAATGTTTTTCAATGGACCGCTGATCCATTAGCATCCATTTACTAGAGTATTGTCCAGAAGAAGTCTCTACCATGCACTAGGTAACCATTAATGTGAGACATTTCTAGCATTACATGAAGATGAAAAATAAATTTAAAAACTTCTCCACAAATTATTGCAAAATACATTCAAGAAAATACTTTTTTCCCCACACACTCCCAGATCATTGGAGGAATCAGTAATACATGAAGAAGGCAGTTTTTGAACAGAAGTATATTTTTTCATTAAAATATAAACTTTTGAGAATTGTTATCCCTAACATTTCTATAGTCTGAAATTATAATATAAAATAAAAAATGTTTAGATAAATTCACGGATAATTGAACAGTGATTGACTTTTAAAGCTGAGGTCCAGGTGTGGTGGCTTATGCCTGTAATCCTAGCATTTTGGGAGGCTGAGGCAGGTGGACTGCCTGAGCTCAGGAGTTCAAGACCAGCCTGGGAAAGATGGTGAAACCCCCGTCTCTACTAAAATACAAAAAATTAGCCAGGGGTGGTGGTGTGTGCCTGTAGTCCTAGCTACTCAGGAGGCTGAGGCACGAGAATTGCTTGAACCCAGGAAGCAGAGGTTGCAGTGAGCCAAGATCATGCCACTGCACTCCAGCCTGGGCAGCAAAGCGAGACTGTCTCAAAAAAAAAAAAAGAAATTAAAATTAAATCAAAAATAAAATTGAGGTTAAGTATATATAATTATTTCACTAAGTAACACTTTTTCATGAACTGGATTCATCATAAATGTTAGATAGCCTAGTAATCTGATCCCAAATGGAATTTATTATATTCTATTATCCTTACATTCACTCATTCAACAAATATTTGAGTGCCTGTCTGTGCCAGAAATTTAAAGACTTCTAGTCTTTTTTAAAAAATAAACAATCTTCCATTAGCAATTTCATATGCTACATAGCAAGTTCAGAATTTTGTGATGCCTGAATTACAAACAAATATACAGAGTATTAAACCTCGGATATTTGTGCAGACAAATATGCTTGATAAATGACTTTGGAGACCCAGAAATGAGAATGGCTAGAACTAGGGATCCCCTCTCTCTGCAGCAGGAGGCCCTGCATCTAAACTCATCTTCCCACAAAGTCTCCAGATTTTGGGCAGCCAGCTTTCTCAGCACTCCCCAAAATAGCTGGCAATTAAGTTCAGACTGTCCAAGCAGTCCATTTGCCACTTTCATAATCACTTTGCTTAAAGAGAGAGTGCAATAGAGGGAATGGGGTCCCTCTCCTAGAGGATGGCTAGCACAGTGTCCCTAGCTGTTTCCTGGTTCACGCATGTCTTTTTAGAATGTTCAGCGAAGGAGGAACCATCCGCTGCTGACCTGTTTGCCTAGAATCCCAGCTTGCTCCAAGCCATCCCACACTTGTTCGCTGGAGTTCATTGCCTGGCAATATTCAAGTAAACATTGTTCTTGAGGTCTGTGGGAATCTTGGATCTGGCAGAGTTCTACTATCCCCTTCTAGTCTTCTCCTCAACTTCTCCATGACTTGCTGGAACTGCCAGAATTTCAGTCAGGATCATGAAGGCACATTATACTCTACCAGAGGCCCCTAAATCTCCCTGGAGGAGCTCCATTGCCAATACTTGTTTCCTAGCCCCACACAAACATGAACTGAAATGTGAGAGTTGAAGGAGGTGACCAGTTCTTAAACCCCATGGATTCCCCTTCAGTTTTTCTTCCCTATCCTCTACAGGTTTGTTCCTTCATTTGGTTTTTGGTGATGGGGATGTGGATGCACTTGCTTTCACATTTTTGTTTATAGCCTTACATCTGGATATTCCTTATAAACTTAAAAAGCTAGACTTCAGCATCTTTATTCTCACCCCCAGAACTGACCACTGCCTGACCCCACCTAGATGGTGGCCTCTTGTCCTGCAGCCCAAATGGGAGAGATTGCCATGAATAATGGTGGGGTGGGGAATAAAATAATTGGACTAACACCTCACAAAATCATTGCATCTCATATCTTCCAAATATTACGTTTTATGTGAAACAACAATTATGTCACAGGAAGTGAAGAATAGGAAAAATGTATTTATACCATGATTAAAGCTATATAAAATATAAAATAAAACTGTCTATAAACAAAATAAGACAGGGATGAAGAATACTAAATTGCTAATCTTGGCTATGTTTAGATGGTGGGGTTGGAGTGAGATTTTATCTCTGTGTTTTCCAAAATGCTTGTGGTTACTTTCATAAGTAGACGAAAAATTAATCTACTAAAACAAATAGAGAAAGGTCTTTTATTGCTTGCAGGTACATTTCCTTGAACAGACCTTGAATAATGAAGAAATAACCTAAATTTATAGATAAAGATCCCATTCTCCTGTGGTAAGCCCTTCTAGTGTTTTCATAAGGAAGTCTTCCTTCTATTTGTCATTAAATCTCTTCTGCTATGTTATTATAATGCCTTTATTTCTGGCTGAAATTTAAATTTGTTATTTAACTAATGTCATCACTGTGGTTAACCACAAAAGTATCTTTATGTATTATAAATAACATGTTAGCTATATTATTAGATGTTTATTGAAAGCATTACAAATCATGTAATCTGCCATCATAATGTATTAGAATAAATATAAACAGGGATCGAATTGTTTGTTTTTATGGTCTCTGTATCTATCAGTCTTCTTTGCACCTGGGAGATTCAATAAATGATTGTTAAGGGCCAGGTGTGGTGGATTACGCCTGTTATCCCAGCACTTTGGGAGGCCGAGGCAGGTGGATCACTTGAGCTCAGTAGTTCGAGACCAGTCTGGGCAACATGGCGAAACCCTGCCGCTATAAAAAATACAAATTAGCCAGTCATGATGGTAGGCATCTGTAGTCCTAGCTACTTAGGAGGCTAAAGTGGGAGGATTGCTTGGACCTGGGAGGTCAAGGCTGCAGTGAGCTGAGATTGCACCACTACACTCCTGCCTGGGCGACAGAGTGAGACCCCATCTCAAAAAAAAAAAAAAAAAAAAGATTGTTAAGCAAATATATTAAGTTAGGGAGATGTTAAAATTATTTTACTTATTTCTTAAGAATATAAATAATTCAAAATATCTTTATTTTTCAAAAATCTCTGGATTAAAATCCAGATCAAGACTTGTAGATATTTTTAAAAGAACTATCCTCATCTAAAATATGACAGATTTTGCCTGAAGAGCCACTAATCCTTTCATCATCTATAATTCTATTTTATGAAATTCTATTTTATGATTTCATAACTCATTGGCCTACAGATGGCAAAAAAATAACCAGTTATTTTTCATATCCTTTATTTTCAGAAAAACTGAAACACAAAACAGAACATGCATAATTAAGCAGACCTATATTGTCAATGGCAAACAGAGTTGAGCAATTCTGTGGCCTAGTGGATTCAGATAGCAGAGCTGTGTGACTAGTCTAAACAATTCTCACTCAAGATGACAGGGTGTATGCTATTTTTACATGTAGTGAGGATAACTTTAAAAAATGGATATATGCTTTAAATAGTCTTTTTCACACTCCATGTTGACTATGCACATGGCCTGAAATGAGAATTAGAGTACAGTATAAATACCATAGGAGCAGCTAATTGACAACCAACAGCTTTGAAAGCTTTGGATTGTAAAATTGCAAAACTTGCCAGGAGATAGAAGGGAAAACAGAAACCATTATCTAACCAAATGCTGCCAGTTCAGAGTTTTTCTTAGTTTCAGCAATGGCCCAAAGGAACGGCAATTCAGACCACGATGAATCTAGATGCATCTGTTGCAGTATGAAAGATCTTTCCTAGGACAGGGTAATCAATCTCTCTGAAGAGGTTGTGGGCAATTTTAGGGTCAATTAAGGAATCTCATTTAATATAAAATGACTAGGGATCCCTTTATATCATGAACTCAGGCTATGGAAACGCCAACGGCAGTGTTTTCCAAAGTGTGATGCCTGGGAGTATTTAACACAATGTTGTTTTCCCTGCTCACCCTTCTGTGAATGTACTACCATGGTATGCTCTAGATCTGGGGCCACTAGTCACACATGGCTATTAATCACTTGACAGTGATGAATCCAAAGTGAGGTGTGCTGTAGGTATAAAATATACACAAAAATGTGAAAGCTTAGTACAAAGAAGGCAAAACATCTTAATAATTTTTTTGTACCAATCACATGTTGAAGTGATAATATTTTGGATAAATTGGTTTAAATAAGATACCTTATTAACATTAATTTTGCCTATTTCTTTTTACCTCTTTCAATGTAGTTATTAGAACACTTTCGATTACACATGTGGCCTGCATGTGTGGCTCATCTTATATTTATATTGGATAGCTGCTGCTCTGGACAGACCACTTGGCAGAGCTCCTGTCCATCACAACATTCCACTCCCACAGCATGCTGGGAGTTACACCTGGGAGCACTAGAGAAAGCTCTAGCCCAAGCTGAGTGAGGAGGATTTATCTGATGGCCAACAGCAGGGGGATGCGTGAAGGAGCTAGGTGCTGAGTGCCTGGGGCTGAGTCGGAGGTCGAGATTGAAAGTGGACGAGGTAGAGGGAGGAAATAACACATCTTTGCACTTTCGGTTTCCTTACTAAGTGGATTTAAGTGAAAGAAGTGAGTAAATTTAAAAAATGTATTAATATAGTAGGTCTGTGGATTTGTAAATATAGCAATTGAAATTTGTTCTATACATCATTGTGACTGTTCACTTAATATTCTTTGAACAAAACCATTGACATCATTGTGACTGTTCACTTAATATTCTTTGAACAAAACCATTGACATCATTGTGACTGTTCACTTAATATTCTTTGAACAAAACCATTGACATCATTGTGACTGTTCACTTAATATTCTTTGAACAAAACCATTGATATATGTACATACCTATATTATGATATGACTCGCTGGTTTTTATTGTGAATTCTGAACTTTTCTATTTCATTCTAAACACAGCGGGGGGTTTATTTTCTCTATGATCTCAGGAGCTAGCTAGCTCTAGGTCATTCAAGGAAGGAGGGAAGCTAACTTCTCTGTCCCTCACTGTTCCCCTCTAACTTTACCTATACCTGAAGCAGT
This sequence comes from Homo sapiens, assembly GCF_000001405.40. NCBI lineage: Eukaryota > Metazoa > Chordata > Mammalia > Primates > Hominidae > Homo > Homo sapiens. The sequence continues at coordinate 48,295,947 of NC_000004.12, read as the reverse complement.
CAAATTCTCATGCTACTTTGCCATTTGACACTTAATCAAAATACCTACACTTAGGATCCATGATAGGAGCTGGTAATATCCTGAGTTGTCCATTCGAATGTTTCTATCAGCCTCAGAAGAGTTGATTGAGTTGCATTATGATGGAAGGATGTTCAATAGATAGGGTACAAGTCTTAAGATGTTTCTTTTTCTGTTAAAGTTAACAAAGCAGGAAATTACAAAGAGCAGACAGCCTCAGCCACATAGGATAAAAGGCTATTTTGAAAGTATAATTGAGTTCATTAGCTCATATTCCACAAAGTGAAATGTATTCATTTATTCACTCACTCAACAATGTGATGAGAGTCTCCTAGCTAGACACAAGAAGGTATACAGTAGGTGCTAATTTCATGAAATTTTGCAGGCAATTAAGAAGAAACCCCACAGAAGACAGTTTATAGTCCATATCTGAAAACTTCAAAACAGAGAAACTCAAAGTTTGCAAAGAGAGAAAGAAATTCCTTTTAAAGGAAAAAGATACTAATTTTTACCTCTTAAAAATGATTCAGAGGGCAGCCATCAGTTCTAGCATATTTCCTAATCATCACAACAATGTGTCTGGAAGGCCAAATTTTCCTGTGGGCTTTGTTACCACTATTGTTCAGAAGCCAAGAAATAAGTTGAACTAAGGGAGCCTAGCTTGGTTTTGGTCATGATGTTGTGTTACCAATGAGATGAAAACACATGCACTATTAGAAAAACAAACACAGCAAAAGGAAGTTCCTAACTTTTAAATTACTTGTATTTAAATTAGTCTTAGAGGAAAAGGGAAGGGAAGAGGCAAAAATTTCTTCCATTTTATAAACACATGTAATACAAAATCTCCTTAATTTGGAATTAATTTGGTTGAGCACTTCTGGGCGGGGACCTCTGGAGATGGCATGGAACATGCCTTGATCTCAGTTTCTCAGTTTCTTATGTAATCAGTTGTAGCTATCACTGAGTTCATAACACCAGAGTGTAAGACAGGTTATATTCCTTATTATTCTAAGCCGTATGTCACCCACTTTGAGCCCTCTTTTGCATATCTTGCAGGAAATCAAATCTCAGTTATTATTCAAGCCCTTTTACTCCCCTGCATGGAATCCTACAAGAATCACAGGCTTACACAGTTCCAGGAACATAGGGGCCCATACTTAGTCCATGGACAGACTTCATTTCCATTGATTCTTCTCCCTGATGTGGCTGCTGGTCGCTGGGACTCTGGTGGGCAAGACTGTGGTAAATGAAGTAGACCTTTGCTTGGTGCCTCTCAGAGCTCATTTGGAACCACATTTGAGTGGGGGCCTTAAAAGCTGCCATTCCTACAAGTCCCTCCAAACTCCAGACCCTATTTTCAGTCTAGGGGCAGGTTCTGTTTTAGGTTGGATTCCCCCAGAAGCAGAGCTTGAGTTAAGGACTTCTATGTGTCCAGTAGTAAGGGAGATCCCAGAAAGCAGGCATGAGATAGGAGGGGGAGTAAGCCAGGGAAGGAGGTCATGCCATTATGAGGGTGTGTTATGGATTATGGAGTGAATGCACTGTGCCACAGAGCTTTGATTCTGCTGAAACCTCCTGAGCAGCATACTAAGTGCCTTTCAGAATTTCCACTTGAAGGACTGGAGGTGTAAACCTTATATATAAACATCAGGTTGTCCCCTATCTGTCGAGGATTGTTGCATTAGTCTGTTAGGGCTATATCAAACATAACAAAATACCATGGACTGGGTGGCTAAGGCCACAGAAACACATTTTTTCACAGTTCTGTAGCCTAGAAGTCCAAGATCAAGGTGTTTGATTTCTCCTGAAGCCTGTCTCCTTGGCTTGCAGACTGCCACCTTCTTGCTGTGTCACCTGGCTTTTTTACCTGGTTTTGTGCGTGTATATGTGTACACACTCCTGGTGTTTCTTTTTTTTTTTTTTTTTTTTTGAGATGGAGTCTCACTCTGTCACCAGGCTGGAGTGCAGTGGCACGATCTTGGCTCACTGTAACCTTCAACTCCCTGGTTCAAGCGATTCTCCTGCCTCAGCCTCCTGAGTAGCTGGGATTACAGGCACAAATCACCAAGCCCAGCTAATTTTTGTATTTTTAGTAGAGACAGAGTGTTGGGAACAGGCCCCCAAAAATCTGGCCATAAACTGGCCCCAAAACTGGCCATAAGCAAAATCTCTGCAGCACTGTGACATGTTCATGATGGCCATAACGCCCAGGCTGGAAGGTTGTGGGTTTACCGGAATGAGAGCAAGGAACACCTGGCCTGCCCAGGGCAGAAAACCGCTTAAAGGCATTCTTAAACCACAAACAGTAGCATGAGCGATCTCTGCCTTAAGGGCATATTCCTGCTGCAAATAACTAGCCAGACCCACCCCTTTATTTCGGCCCACCCCTTCGTTTCCCATAAGGGATACTTTTAGTTAATCGAATATCTATAGAAACAATGCTAATGACTGGCTTGCTGTTAATAAATATGTGGGTAAATCTCTGTTCGGGGCTTTCAGCTCTGAAGGCTGTGAGACCCCTCATTTCCCACTTCACACCTCTATATTTCTGCATGTGTGTCTTTTTTTCCTTTTTTTTTTTTTTATTGATCATATTTGGGTGTTTCTCGCAGAGGGGGATTTGGCAGGGTCATAGGACAATAGTGGAGGGAAGGTCAGCAGATAAACAAGTGAACAAAGGTCTCTGGTTTTCCTAGGCAGAGGACCCTGCGGCCTTCCGCAGTGTTTGTGTCCCTGGGTACTTGAGATTAGGGAGTGGTGATGACTCTTAACGAGCATGCTGCCTTCAAGCATCTGTTTAACAAAGCACATCTTGCACCGCCCTTAATCCATTTAACCCTGAGTGGACACAGCACATGTTTCAGAGAGCACAGGGTTGGGGGTAAGGTCAAAGATCAACAGGATCCCAAGGCAGAAGAATTTTTCTTAGTACAGAACAAAATGGCGTCTCCCATGTCTACTTCTTACTACACAGACATAGCAACAATCTGATTTCTCTATCTTTTCCCCACATTTCCCCCTTTACTATTCGACAAGACCGTCATCGTCATCATGGCCCGTTCTCAATGAGCTGTTGGGTACACCTACCAGACGGGGTGGCAGCCGGGCAGAGGGGCTCCTCACTTCCCAGAAGGGGCGGCAGGGCAGAGGCGCCCCCCACCTCCCTCCTGGACGGAGCGGCTGGCCGGGCGGGGGCTGCCCCCCTACCTCCCTCCCGGACGGGGCGGCTGGCGGGGCGGGGGCTGCCCCCCCACCTCCCTCCCGGTCGGGTCGGCTGGCCGGGCGGGGGCTGCCCCCCGCCTCCCTCCCAGACAGGGCGGCTGCCGGATGGAGACGTTCCTCACTTCCCAGACGGGGCAGCTGCTGGGCAGAGGGGCTCCTCACTTCTCAGACGGGGCGGCTGCCGGGCGGAGGGGCTCCTCACTTCTCAGATGGGGCGGCTGTCGGGCAGAGGGGCTCCTCACTTCAGACGGGGCGGCCGGGCAGAGACGCTCCTCACCTCCCAGATGGGGTCTCGGCCGGGCAGAGGCGCTCCTCACATCCCAGATGGGGCGGCGGGGCAGAGGCACTCCCCACATCTCAGACGATTGGCGGCCAGGCAGAGATGATCCTCACTTCCTAGACATGATGGCCAGGAAGAGGCACTCCTCACTTCCCAGGCTGGGCAGCCGGGCAGAGGGGCTCCTCACATCCCAGACGATGGGCGGCCAGGCAGAGACGCTCACTTCCCAGACCGGGTGGCGGCCGGGCAGAGGCTACAATCTCGGCACTTTGGGAGGCCAAGGCAGGCGGCTGGGAGGTGGAGGTTGTAGCTAGCCGAGATCAAGCCACTGCACTCCAGCCTGGGCAACATTGAGCACTGAGTGAACGAGACTCCATCTGCAATCCCGGCACCTTGGGAGGCCGAGGCTGGCAGATCACTCGTGGTTAGGAGCTGGAGACCAGCCCGGCCAACACAGCGAAACCCCGTTTCCACCAAAAAAAATATACGAAAACCAGTCAGGCGTGGCGGCGCGCGCCTGCAATCACAGGCACTGGGCAGGCTGAGGCAGGAGAATCAGGCAGGGAGGTTGCAGTGAGCCGAGATGGCAGCAGTACAGTCCAGTTTCGGCTCGGCATCAGAGGGAGACTGTGGAAAGAGAGGGAGAGGGAGACTGTGGGGAGAGCAAGAGGGAGACCGTGGGGAGAGCAAGAGGGAGAGGGAGAGGGAGAGGGCATGTGTGTCTTTAATTCCTCTAGCGCCGCTGGGTTAGGGTCTCCCCAGCCAAGCTGGTCTTGGCAACAGAATTTCACCATGTTGGCCAGGATGGTCTTGATCTCCTGACCTCATGATCTGCCTGCCTCTGCTGGGCAGGGTGGCTCACTCCTGTAATCTCTTTATCTTCTTATAAGGACGCCAGTCCTATTGGATTAGGACCCCACACTTAGGATGTCATTTAACCTTAATTACCTCCTGACAGTTCCCATTTACAAATACAGTCACTTTGGGGGTTACAGCTTTAACCTATGAATTTTGGGAGGACATAATTCAGCCCATCACAGCTTCCCTTGGAAATGTTACCTGGAGGCCTGGGGTTGGTTCATCAGTGTAAAGTGACTGGAGATTCTGATTTAGATGAATTCAGAGACAGGAGGAAAGGACGTGAGTTGGGGCTTCAAATACTTTTGCCTTCACTTCACCCCTTCTCAATTCAAAGTTGGACCATATTATCTGTCCATCTAAAACCACCCAGCTTAATCCTTCTCAGTGGGTTAGGAACACAGCATTTTTTTTTTTTTTTTTTTTGAGACAGAGTCTCGCTCTGTCACCCAGGCTGGAGTGCAGTGGTGCAATCTCAGCTCACTGCAAGCTCCGCCTCCCAGGTTCTCCTGCCTCAGCCTCCCGAGTAGCTGGGACTACAGGCGCCCGCCTCCATGCCTGGCTAATTTTTTGTATTTTTAGTAGAGATGGGGCTTCACCATGTTAGCCAGGATAGTCTCGATCTCCTGATCTCGTGATCCGCCCGCCTCGGCCTCCCAAAGTGCTGGGATTACAGGCGTGAGCCACCACGCCCGGCGAGTTAATGTTAATTCTAATGGTTGTTCTTCTGTGTTAGGTTTAAGTCAATATAGTTTTAATATTCTTTTTATTTTAAATATTTAATTTAATGTGATTTTTCTCTCCGTGGCTTTTTTATTTTGCAAGCCCAAGGTAATGAATGTTGCATGCCAGAGTCTGAAAACTTAAATACCTACAGGATCTGACAGGTAAAATAAATATCAATGAGTAAAGTGAACAGGGAGTAATAAAATAAACTCTAGAATAGAGTAGTGGGGACCGTAACAAATGTATTACAATGCCCTGCCTAAAGGGGGCAGCAGCTACTGATTCCCAGCTAACAGTTGCCAAGCAGGAATATGGACGTGAATTTCAAGGAAAACTGAAGAGGCTGGGTATGTACAGTTGCCTAAATACTAGCGTGGCGGTCAAGATCAGACTCTGGAGCCAGACAGCCTGAATTTGAATCACAGGTCTACTAATTACATTAACTATGTAATCTTGAGCAAGTTACCTAATAACTCTGACCATCAGTAGAATGGGACTAATGATTGTACCTATGCCACAGGGTGGTTATGAGGATTAAATGGATCAACTGCATAGGATCACACTTAGCATTAAACACTCAATAAATGTTGGCTATTGTCATTATTAGCTATTAATTAAAAAATCTAATTAAACTTTTAATTTTGAGATAATTATAGATTCACATCTGGGTTGTAAGAAATAATCAGAGAGTTCACATTTCCCAGTTTTCCTTTGCAAAACTATAGTACAACATCACAGCCAGGAGGTCAATATTGATACAGTCAAAAAAGGACATTTCCATCTCCATAAAGGTCACTCATGTTACCCTTTTATAGCCATAGCCACTTCCATCTTGCCCCACCCCTTCAGGAAAACCTAGCAACCACGAATCTGTTCTCCACTTCTACAGTTTTGTCATTTCAAGAATGTTATGTAGATGGAATCATATAGTATGTAACCTTTCTTTATTGGCTTTTTTAAATGTTTATACATTTGGAATTAGTGGATTTTTTTGTCATTAAAATTGTTACCACTGGTAACATGTGACAAGCACACCACAATTCTCCCTATCTTGTGAAGTTGTTTTTTTAAATCGCCTTGAACAAAAAGTTTTTTTTTTTTTGTTTTTGCTTTCTGAAATTCACAGAAGCCTAGGAGGACTGGGGTAAGTGGAATAAACTAGAGAAGGGAGACATTGTTTGTATTTCCTTTATACTGTGAAGTTACATGCATAAAAGCATAATCCTCTGAAGATTTATCTAAGTTGTTGTGTGGATCAATAGTTTGTTACTTTTTATTGCTGGGTTGATATTCCTTAGTATGATACACAGCACACATTTTGTTTAACCATTCACCTTTAGAAGGGCACATAGGTTTTCCCAGACTTTGGCTATTAGGAAGAAGCCTTCTATAAACATTTGTGTACAGCTTTTATGTGTGTGAGCATAAGTTTTCATTTCTCTGGGAGAAATGCCTATGGGTTCAATTGCTAGGTTGTAAGGTAGTTGTATGTTTAATGTTTAAAGAAATTGTCCAACTGTTTTCCTGAGTAGCAATACCATTTTATATTCCCACCAGCAATGTATTAGTCTCATGGCTCAAGGCAAAGTGGGAGCAGGCATTTTATGTGGAGAAAGCAGGAGCAAGGACAAGGGAATTGGAGGTGCCACACACTTTTAAATGACCAGATCTCATAAGAACTCACTATCACAAAGACAGCACGAAGCCATGAGGGATCGGCACTTCTCCGAGCCCCCCATTCAAACACTTCCCATCAGTCCCACCTCCCACCGGTCAACACAATAATTGTGTTGAACTGTGGGGACAAATATCCAAACTATATCACATAGTATACAATTATTTTTATCTATAGCAGAATATTATTTGCAAATATTCTGGTAAGGAATTTTGCATCTATTTTCATGAGGGATATTGGTCTGCAGTTTTATTTTTCAGTACTTTTTCTGGTTTTGGTATCGGGGTAATACTGCCTTATATAATGAACTGGGAAGTATCCTTTCCTATTCTGTTTTCTGGTAGAGATTATTAAAAATTTGAGTTAATTCTTTTTTAAACATTTTTTAGAATTCTCCAGTGAACCATCTGGGTCTGGAGATTTCTTTTGGGGGAGTTTTAAAATTATGTATTCAATTCCTTAATAGTTGAGTGGAAAGCGCTCAAACTATTTTTCCTCTGTTCTCACACCACAAAACAATCAGCATAGAAGACTTCTGTGACCAGTAGATTTCTCCCCAGCAAGTGAGCAATCAGTTCTGCCGTGGATACCAGCTGGGTGCCCTCCAATTCAATTCTGATGCCATCTACCTGGAGATGGCATTAGAATTCCACAGGTTGAGGGCTCAGTCCCACAAGTTAAAGGATGAGGTCCCACTTCAGATGCCAATTGCAAGCCCTAGGTTGCTTTACTTGTGCTGACCAACAAGGTTATAAACTGAGGTTCCCATGACCCTCTCTTTAAGTTTGATTAATTTGCTAGAGCACTTCACAGAACTTGGAAACACATCTGCTGGTATATCATGAAGGTTATTACAAAGGATATAGATAAGGGATTTATAGAAAAGGCATACGGGAAGGTGTGTGGAGCCTTCACGCCCTCTCCAGACACACCACCCTCCAGAACCCTCCACATGTTCTGCTGTCCGGAAGTTCTCCATACCTCATCAGTCCCCTTGGGCCTTCTGTAGAGATTTCATTGGATAGAAATGATTGAAGCATGGACAATCCTGTAGAAATGTGTTTGGACAAAAGAGGATATGAATTAACACTAATTGAGCGGAGGAACACAGCAAGGCCCGTCTATTTAGATTCTTGGCCTCTCTGTGTAGCATTTCTTCCTTCTGGGTATGGGACAGGACCTCTCCTAAAATGTAGGTCTGATAGTCTACAATCTGATAGGGTAGGTCAGAGGATTTCTTTATGGTCAACTCCAAGACTGAAAGGCAGAGGAAGATTCCTGCCTTGGGGAGAAAAAGGAACAGGGGAAAGGAAGGCAGAAGGTTAGAGAGGGAGATTTTGCTTTCTGAGGCCTAAAGTGCCCCAACATTGTAACAAAAGACTGTAACAAGGGCAATGGGAGTTAGCCGGGAACACTGGATAAAAACCAATATATGTATCATAATATCACAATAGTTATAGGGCTTTTCAACTCACTTATTTCATATTGGTTTAGATGTGGTAATTTGTACTTTTAAAAGGATTGGTTGATTTTATCTGCATTGTCAAATTTATGTGTGTAGAGGTGTTTATAGCAGTCTCTTATCACCCATTTGATTTCTGAAGAGTCTCTAGTGATAGCTTCTGTTTCATTCCTGATTTTGGTAGTTCGGGTCTTCTCTCTTTTTATCCTGTAGTATCTTGCTAGATGTTTGTCAATTTTAGAGACTTCCTAAAATAACCAGTTCTTTCACTGATTTTCTCCATTGCTTTTCTATTTTTAATTGCATTGATTTATCTTTTATCTATATTATTTTTATTAATTTTTTATTTTATTTATTCTTTTATCTTTATTATGTCCTTTCTTCTGTTTGCTTTGGATTTATATTACTTTTCCCTTTCTAGGTTCTTACAATGGGAGCTTAGATTATTGAAACTTTTTCCTCTTTTCTAATGGATGCTTTTCCTGCTATAAATTTATCCCTCAACACTATTTAGCTGGTATCCTACAAAATTTGATATGTTATATTTTCATTTTTATTCAATTCCAAGTATTTTTTTCCCTTAAGATTTCCTCTTTAATCCATGGATTATTTACAAGTGTGTTGTTTAGTTTCCAAGTATTTGTTTGGAGATATTCTTGTTATCCTTCCATTTTTTAAAATTATGCCTTAAGTTCTGGGATACATGTGCAGAACGTGCAGGTTTGTTACATAGGTATACATATGCCATGGTGGTTTGCTACACCCATCAACCTGTCATCTACATTAGGTATTTCTCCTAATACTGTCCCTCCCCTTGTCTCCCATCTCCCAACAGGCCCCGATGTGTGATGTTCCCCTCCCTGTGTCCATGGGTTCTCATTGTTCAACTCCCACTTATGAGTGAGAACATGTGGTGTTTGGTTTCCTGTTTGTGTGTCAGTTTGCTGAGAATGATGGTCTCCAGCTTTATCCATGTCCCTGCAAAGGACATGAACTCATCCTTCTATATGGCTGCATAGTATTCCACGGTGTGTATGTGCCACATTTTCTTTATCCAGTCTATCATTGATGGGCATTTGGGTTGGTTCCAAGTCTTTGCTGTTGTGAATAGTGCTGCAATAAACATAAGTGTGCATGTGTCTTTATAGTAGAATGATTTATAATCCTTTTGGTATATGCCCAGTAGCGGGACTGCTGGGTCAAATGGTATTTCTGGTTCTAGATCATTGAGGAATAGCCACACTGTCTTCCACAATGGCTGAACTAATTTACACTCTCACCAACAGCATAAAAGCATTCCTATGTCTCCACATCCTCTCCGGCATCTGTTGTTTCCTGACTTTTTAACAGTTGCCATTCTAACTGGCATGAGATGTGTGGGGAAAAGAAAGAGCGATCAGACTGTTACTGTGTCTATGTAGAAAGAAGTAGACATAAGAGACTCCATTTTGTTCTGTACTAAGAAAAATTCCTCTGCCTTGAGATGCTGTTAATCTGTAACCCTACCCCCAACCCTGTGCTCCCTGAAACCTGTGCTGTGTCAACTCAGGGTTAAATGGACTAAGGGCTGTGCAGGGTGTGCTTTATTAAACAAATGCTTGAAGGCAGCATGCTTGTTAAAAGTCACCACCACTCCCTAATCTCAAGTACCCAGAGACACAAAACACTGCGGAAGTCCGCAGGGACCTCTACCTAGGAAAGCCAGGTATTGTCCAAGGTTTCTCCCCATGTGATAGTCTGAAATATGGCCTCGTGGGAAGGGAAAGACCTGCCCGTCCCCCAGCCCAACACCCATAAAGGGTCTGTGCTGAGGAGGATTAGTAAAAGAGGAAGGAACACCTCTTTGCAGTTGAGATAAGAGGAAGGCTTCTGTCTCCTGCTCGTCCCTGGGCAATGGAATGTCTCAGTGTAAAGCTGACTGTATACTCCATCTACTGAGATAGGGGAAAACCACCTTAGGGCTGGAGGTGGGACATGCTAGCAGCAATACTGCTCCTTAAGGCATTGAGATGTTTATGTATATGCACATCAAAAGCACAGCACTTTTTTCTTTACCTTGTTTATGATGCAGAGACATTTGTTCATGTGTTTACCTTCTGACCTTCTCTCCACTATTATCTTATTATCCTGCCACATCCCCCTCTCCGGGAAATGCCCAATAATGATCAATAAATACTAAGAGAACTCAGAGGCCGATGCCGGCGGCGTGGATCCTCCGTATGCTGAACACCGGTCCCCTGGGCCCATTTTTCTTTCTCTATACTTTGTCTCTGTGTCTCTTTCTTTTCCAAGTCTCTCGTTCCACCTAATGAGAAACGCCCACAGGTGTGGAGGGGCAACCCACCCCTTCAGAGATGGTATCTCATTGTGGTTTTGATTTGCATTCCTCTAATGACCAGTGATGATGAGCTTTTTTTCATTTGTTTGTTGGCTGCATAAATGTCTTCTTTTGAGAAGTGTCTGTTCATATCCTTCACCCACTTTTTGATGAGGTTGTTTTCTTCTTATAAATTTGTTTAAGTTCTTTATTGATTCTGGATATTAGCCCTTTGTCTGATGGATAGATTGCAAAAATTTTCTCCCATTCTGTAGGTTGCCTGTTCACTCTGATGATAGTTTCTTTTGCTGTGTAGAAGCTCTTTAGTTCAATTAGATCCCATTTGTCTATTTTGGCTTTTGTTGCCATTACATTTGGTGTTTTAGTCATGAAGTCTTTGCCCATGCCTGTGTCCTAAATGGTATTGCCTAGGTTTTCTTCTAGGGTTTTTATGGTTTTAGGTTTTATGTGTAAGTCTTTAATCCATCTTGAGTTAATTTGTGTATAAGGTGTAAGGAAGGGATCCAGTTTCAGTTTTCTGCATATGGCTAGCCAGTTTTCCCAACAACATTTATTAAATAGGGAATCCTTTCCCCATTGCTTGTTTTTATCAGGTTTGTCAAAGATCAGATGGTTGTATATGTGTGGTGTTATTTCTGAGGGCTCTGTTCTGTTCCATTGGTCTATATATCTGTTTTGGTACCAGTATTATGCTGTTTTCATTACTTACTGTAGCCTTGTAGTATAGTTTGAAGTCAGGTAGCATGATGCCTCCAGCTTTGTTCTTTTTGCTTAGGATTGTCTTGGCTATGTGGACTCTTCTTTGGTTTCATATGAAATTTAAAGTAGTTTTTTCTAATTCTGTGAAGAAAGTCAATGGTAGCTTGATGGGGATAGCATTGAATCTATAAATTACTTTGGGCAGTATAGCCATTTTCATTATAGTGATTCTTCCTATCCATAAGCATGGAATGTTTTTCCATTTCTTTGTGTCCTCTCTTATTTCCTTGAGCAGTGGTTTGTAGTTCTCCTTGACCAGGTCCTTCACATCCCTTGTAAGTTGTATTCCTAGGTATTTTATTCTCTTTGTAGCAATTGTGAATGGGAGTTCACGCATGATTTGACTCTCCGTCTATTATTGGTGTATAGGAATGCTTGTGATTTTTGCACATTGATTTTGTATCCTGAGACTTTGCTGAAGTTGCTTATCAGCTTAAGGAGATTTTGGTCTGAGATGATGGGGTTTTCTAAATATACAATCATGTCATCTGCAAACAGAGATAATTTGACTTCCTCTCTTCCTATTTGAATACCATTTATTTCTTTCTCTTGCCTGATTGCCCTGGCCAGGACTTTCAATACTATATTGAATAGGAGTGGTGAAAGAGGGCATCCTTGTCTGTGCTGGTTTTCAAAGGGAATGCTTCCAGCTTTTGCCCATTCAGTATGATATTGGTTGTGGGTTTGTCATAAATAGTTCTTATTATTTTGAGATACATTCCGTCAATACCTAGTTTATTGAGAGTTTTTAGCATGAAGCGGTGTTGAATTTTATCAATGGCCTTTTCTGCATCTATTGAGATAATCATGTGGTTTTTGTCATTGGTTCTGTTTATGTGATGGATGAAGTTTGGTGATTTGCATATGTTCAATCAGTCCTGCATCCCAGGGATAAAGCCGACTTGATCATGGTGGATAAGCTTTTTGATGTGCTGCTAGATTCGGTTTGCCAGTATTTTATTGAGGATTTCCGCATCAATGTTCATCAGGGATATTGGCCTGAAATTTTCTTTTTTTGTTGTGTTTCTGTCAGGTTTTGGTGTCAGGATGATGCTGGCCTCATAAAATGAGTTACGGAGGAGTCCCTCTTTTTTTATTGTTTGAAATAGTTTCAGAAGGAAAGGTACCATCTCCTCTTTGTACCTTTGGTAAAATTCGGCTGTGAATCTGTCTGGTCCTGGGCTTTTTTTGGTTGGTAGGCTATTAATTACTGCCTCAATTTCAGAACTTGTTATTGGTCTATTCAGGGATTAGATTTCTTCCTGATTTAGTCTTGGGAGGGTGTATGTGTCCAGGAATTTATCCATTTAGTCTAGATTTTCTAGTTTATTTGCATAGAGGTGTTTATAGTATTCTCTGATGGTGGTTTGTATTTCTGTGGGATCAGTGGTGATATCCCCTTTATCATTTTTTATTGTGTCTATTTGATTCTTCTCTCTTTTCTTCTTTATTAGAATGGCTAGCGGTCTATCTATTTTGTTAATCTTTTAAAAAAACCAGCTCCTGGATTCATTGATTTTTTTGAAGGGTTTTATCTGCCTCTATCTCCTTCAGTTCTGCTCTGATCTTAGCTATTTCTTGTCTTCTGCTAGCTTTTGAATTTGTTTGCTGTTGCTTCTCTAGTTCTTTTCATTGTGATGTTAGGGTGTCGATTTTAGATCTTTCCCTCTTTCTCCTGTGGGCATTTAGTGCTATAAATTTCCCTCTAAACACTGCTGTAGCTGTGTCCCAGAGATTCTGGTACATTGTGTCTTTGTTCTCATTGGTTTCAAAGAACTTATTTATTTCTGCCTTAATTTCGTTATTTACCCAGTAGTCATTCAGGAGCAGGTTGTTCAGTTTCCATGTAGTTGTGTGGTTTTGAGTTTCTTAATCCTGAGTTCTAATTTGATTGCACTATGGGCTGAGAGACTGTTTGTTACGATTTCCTTTCTTTTGCATTTGCTGAGGAGTGTTTTACTTCCAATTATGTGGTCAGTTTTAGACTATGTGTGATGTGGTGCTGAGAAGAGTGTTTACTCTGTTGATTTGGGGTGGAAAGTTCTGTAGATGTCTGTTAGGTCTGCTTATTCCAGAGCTGAGTTCAAGTCCTGAATATCCTTGTTAATTTTCTGTCTAGTTGAGCTAATATTGACAGTGGGGTGTTAAAGTCTCCCACTATTATTGTGTGGGAGTCTAGGTCTCTTTGTAGGTCTCTAAGAACTTGCCTATTGAATCTGAGTGCTCCTGTATTGGGTGCATATATATCTCTTCCTGTTGCATTGATCCCTTTACCATTATGTAATGCCCTTCTTTATTTTTTGATCTTTGTTGGTTTAAAGTCTGTTTTATCAGAGACTAGGATTGCAACCCCTACTTTTTTTTTTTTCTTTCCATCTGCTTGGTAAATATTCTTCCATCCCTTTATTTTGAGCCTATGTGTGTCTGTGCATGTGAGATGGGTCTCCTGAATACAGTACACCGAAGGGTCTTGACTCTATCCAATTTGCCAGTCAGTGTCTTTTAATTGTGGCATTTAGCCCATTTACATTTAAGGTTTATATTGTTATGTGTGAATTTGATCCTGTCATTATGATGCTAGCTGGTTATTTTGCCTGTTAGTTGATGCAGTTTCTTCACAGTGTTGATAGTCTTTACAATTTGATATGTTTTTGCAGTGGCTGGTACCAGTTTTTCCTTTCCATGTTTAGTGCTTCCTTCAGTAGCTCTTGTAAGGCAGGCCTGGTGGTGACAAAATCTCTCAGCATTTGCTTGTCTGTAATTTTCTCCTTTGCTTATGAAGCTTAGTTTGTTTTGGCTGGATATGAAATTCTGGGTTGAAAATTCTTTTATTTAGGAATGTTGAATATTGGTCCCCACTCTCTTCTGGCTTGTAAGTTTTGTGCTGAGAGATCCACTGTTAGTCTGATGGGCTTCCTTTGTGGGTAACCCGACCTTTCTCTCTGGCTGCCCTTAACATTTTTTTCCTTCATTTCAACCTTGGTGAATCTGATGATTATGTGTCTTAGGGTTGCTCTTCTCGAGGAGTATCTTTGTGGTATTATCTGTGTTTCCTGAATTTGAATGTTGGCCTGTCTTGCTAGGTTGGGGAAGTTCTCCTGGTTAATATCCTGAAGAGTGTTTTCCAACTTGGTTCCATTCTCCCCGTCACTTTCAGGTACACCAATCAAACGGAGGTTTGCTCTTTTCACATAGTCCTATATTTCTTGGAGGCTTTGTTCATTCCATTTCATTTTTTTTTTCTCTAATCTTGACTTCATGCTTTATTTCATTAAGTTGATACTCAATCTCTGATATCCTTTCTTCTGCTTGATCAATTCAGCTATGGATACTTGTGTATGCTTCACAAAGTTCTCATGCTGTGTTTTTCAGCTCCATCAGGTTATTTATGTTCTTCTCTAAACTGGTTATTCTAGTTAGCAATTCCTCTAACCTTTTTTCAAGGTTCTTAGCTTCCTTGCATTGGGTTAGAACATGCTTGTTTAGCTCAGAGGAGTTTCTTATTACCCACCTTCTGAAGCCTCGTTCTGTCAATTTGTAAAACTCACTCTCCATCCAGTTTTGTTCCTTTGCTGGCAGGGAGTTGTGATCCTTTGGAGAAGAAAAGGCATTCTGGTTTTTGGAATTTTCAGCCTTTTTGTGTTGATTTTTCCTCATCTTTGTGGATTTATCTACCTTTGGTCTTTGATGTTGGTGACCTTCAGATGGGGTTTCTGTGTGGACACCCTTTTTGTTAATGTTGATGCTATTCCTTTCCGTTTGTTAGTTTTCCTTCTAACAGTCAGGCCTCTCTGCTGCAGGTCTGCTGCAGTTTGCTGGAGGTCCACTCCAGATCGTGTTTGCCTGGGTATCACCAGCAGAGGCTGCAGAACAGCAAAGATTGCTGCCTGTTTCTTCCTCTGGAAGCTCTGTCCCAGAGGGACACCCACCAGATGCCAGCCAGAGCTTTCCTGTATGAGGTGTCTGTCGACCCCTGCTGGGAGGTGTCTCCCAGTCAGGAGGCTTGGGGGTCAGGAACCTACCTGAGGAGGCAGTCTGTCCCTTAGCAGAGCTCAAGCGCTGTGGTGGGAGATCCACTGCTCTCTTCAGAGCCAGCAGGCAGGAATGTTTAAGTCTGCTGAAGCTGTGCCCACAGCCACACCTTCCTCCAGGTGCTCTGTCCCAGGGAGATGGGTGTTTTATCTATAAGCCCCTGACTGGGGCTGCTGCCTTTCTTTCAGAGATGCCCTGCCCAGAGAGGAGGAATCTAGAGAGTCAGCCTGGCTACAGCGGCTTTGCTGAGCTATAGTGGGCTCTGCCCAGTTTAGACTTCCCGGTGGCTTTGTTTACACTGTGAGGGGAAAACCACCTACTCAAGCCTCAGTAATGGCAGACGCCCCTTCCCCCACCAAGGTCGAGCATCCCAGGTCGACTTCAGACTGCTGTGCTGGCAGCGAGAATTTCAAGCCAGTGGATCTTAGCTTGCTGGGTTCTGTGGGGGTGGGATCCACAGAGCTAGACCACTTGGCTCCCTGGCTTCAGCCCCCTTTCCAGGGGAGTGAACAGTTCTGTCTCGCTGGCATTCCAGATGCCACCAGGGTATGAAAAAACACTCCTGCAACTAGCTTGGTGTCTGCCTAAATGGCCACCCAGATTTGTGCTTGAAACCCTGGGCCCTGGTGTTGTAGGCAACCTAGGGAATCTCCTCGTCTGTGGGTTGTGAAGACTGTGGGAAAAACATAGTATCTGGGCCAGAGTGCACCATACCCCATGGCACAGTCCCTTACGGCTTCCCTTGGCTAGGGGAGGGAGTTCCCCAACTCCTTGTGCTTCTAGATGATGCACCATTCCACCTTGCTTCAGCTCACCCTCTGTGGGCTGCACACACTGTCTAACCAGCCCCAGTGAGATAAGTTGGGTACCTCAGTTGGAAATGCAGAAATCACCCACCTTCTGTGTTGATCTCACTGGGAACTGCAGACCGGAGCTGTTCCTATTCAACCATCTTGCCAGCCACCTATCCTTCCATTTTTGATTTCTGGTTTGATTTCACTGTGATCAGAGGACACAATGTATATGATTTCAGTGATTTTAAATTTGTTGTGGTTTATGACCTAGTATAGGTCTAGCTTGGTATATAATATTCTGTGGATACTTGAAAAGAATGTGTATCCTGCTGTTAGGTGGAGTGTTCCGTAAATGTCAGTCAGATCCTGTTGATTGGTGGTATTGTTGAGTACCCTTGCTAGTTTTCTGTTTACTTGTTCTATCAGTTGTTGAGATGGGGATGCTTTTCAAATTCCACTTTGGTTTATCTATAGTGCTTCTGAGTATATCTCTTTGTGTAGCTTTTTAAATGATTTGTTTTACACTATTAAAACTTTCTTTTTTTTTTTTTTTGAGATGGAGTCTCACTCTGTCTCCAAGGCTAGAGTGCAGTGGCATGATCTTGGCTCATTGCAACCTCTGTCTCCCAGGTTCAAGTGATTTTTCTGCCTCAGCCTCCTGAGTAGCTGGGATTACAGGCGTGTGCCACTACACCTGGCTATTTTTTTGTATTTTTGTAGAGACAGAGCTTTGCCATGTTGGCCAGGCTGGTCTCAAACTCCTGACCTCAGGTGATCCACCCACCTCGGCCTCCCAAAATGCTGGGATTACAGGCATGATCCACTGTGCCCGGCCACACTATTAAAACTTCTACTGGTGTTATCATTTTTCCATCTGAGGGAAATATGGAAATTTTAGCTCCCTATAAAAGAGCTAAGGCCGGGCGCGGTGGCTCACGCCTGTAATCCCAGCACTTTGGGAGGCCGAGGCGGGCGGATCACGAGGTCAGGAGATCGAGACCATCCCGGCTAAAACGGTGAAACCCCGTCTCTACTAAAAATACAAAAAATTAGCCGGGCGTAGTGGCGGGCGCCTGTATTCCCAGCTACTTGGGAGACTGAGGCAGGAGAATGGTGTGAACCCGGGAGGCGGAGCTTGCAGTGAGCCGAGATCCCGCCACCGCACTCCAGCCTCTGGGTGACAGAGCGAGACTCCGTCTCAAAAAAAAAAAAAAAAAAAAAAAAAAAAGAGCTAAAATTTACCCTCCTCCATTTATAAATATCCTAAATATTTTCTTTGCATACTTTTAGAACCTCTCAGTGTTAAAATTTATTTTTTTAAATTATTATTATTATTATTATTTTGTAGAAATGGGGTCTCACTATGTTCTCCAGGCTGGTCTTGAACTGCTGGGCTCAAGTGATCTTCCCACCTTGGCCTCCCAAAATTCTGGGATTACAGGTGTGAGCCATTGTGCCTGGCCTTGGTGTTAAATTTTTGCTTCAATTATCCATTATAATTTACAAAAGGCAGAGGAAAATGAATATTTACTCTATTTATCTGTATTATTGTTTACTGTGTTTTTCCTTCTTTCCTTTCAAGATTCCATCTTTTATTGATTTCTTCCTGTTTAGAGAACCTCCTTTCACCATTCTTTTTGGGTAGATCAGCTAATGATAAGTTGTCTTCATTTTCTTTTATCTGAGAAAGTCTCGAGTTTCTCTTTATTTATTTAGAGACAGAATTTTTGCTTTTGTTGCCCAGGCTGGATTGTAATGGTGTGATCTCAGCTCACTGCAACCTCCACCTCCTGGGTTGAAGAAATTCTCCTGCCTCAGCCTCCCGATTAGCTTGGATTACAGGTGCCCATCACCACGCCCGGCTAATTTTTGTATATTTTACTAGAGATGGGGTTTCACCTTGTTGGTCAGGCTGGTCTCAAACTCCCGACCTCAAGTGATCCACCCAACTTGGCCTCCCAAGGTGCTGGGATTACAGGCATGAGCCACTGTGCCCAGCTGAATTTCCCTTAATTGTTGAGGGATATTTTCACTAGATATAGGATTCTAGGCTGGCTGACAGTTATTTTATTTCAGCATTCAAAAAATTCCCTGCCACTTCCTTCTTGTATTTCCTGATGAGAAATATGCTGTCGTTCAAATTGTTTTTTTCCCTATTGGTAAGGTGTTATGTCTCTCTTGCTGCTTTCAAGATTTTTTCTTTATCTTTAGTGTTAAGAAGTTTGACTATGATGTGTCTCAGTGTGGATTTCTTTGTGTTTATCCGGTGTGAGGGTAACTCAACTTCCTAGTGTATAGGTTTATGTCTTTTGCCAAATATGAAGAGTTTTCAGCCATTATTTCTTTGAGTACTTTTTCCAGCCCTGTCCTCTTCCTCTGAGACTCTGAAGACACAAATGGTAGATCTGTTGTTATAGTCCCATAGGACTATTTTTTTTTAAATCGCTGTTGTTCAGATTAGGTAGCTGCTATTGCTCAATTTTCCAGTTCACTGATTCTTTCCTCTGTACCATCTATTCTGCTGAACAGAGGTTTTTTTGTTTTGTTTTGTTTTGTTTTGTTTTGAGATGGAGTCTCGCTCTGTCACCCAGGCTGGAGTGCAGTGTTGCGATCTCAGCTCACTGCAGCCTCCACCTCCCGGGTTCAAGCGATTCTCCTGCCTCAGCCTCCTGAATAGCTGGGACTACAGGCACGAGCCACCACACCTGGCTAATTTTTGTGTTTTTAGTAGAGATGGGGTTTCACCATGTTGGTCAGGATGGTCTCGATCTCCTGACCTCGTGATCCATCCATCGCAGCCTCCCAAAGTGCTGGGATTATAGGCATGAGCCACCGTGCCCGGCCTGAACAGAGTTTTTAATTGTAGTTATTGTACTTTCACTTACAAAATTTCCATTTGGTCTTTTTTTACTTTCTATTTCTTCACTCAAACTTTCAATTTCTTTGCAGAGACTATTTACTTCATTTGTTTCAAGCATGTTTCTAATTGTTCATTGAAGCAGTTTTATGATGATGATTTAAAATCTTTGCCAGATAATTCTAATATCCCTGTCATCTTGGTGTTGGCATCTACTGATTATCTTTTTCATTCAGTTTGAGATCTCCCTGTTTCTTGGTATAGTGAGTTATTTTCAATTAAAACCAGAAAATTTGGCGTATTCTGTTTTTAGATTCTGGATTTTATTTACGCTTTTTGTTTTAGCTGGCTTCTTCTGACACTGTCTTGGCAGGGGAAGGAGGGCATGCAGGTCATCTCCTCTATCTACAGCCAGGTAGGGGTAAAAATCCAGGTTTCCCACTATTCTTCCATTGACACTTGGGGGTGGGGTGCTCTTGATTACTGCTGGATGCGGTTGGGAGTTCCATCCCAATGAATGGATACAAGAAGTTAGGCCTCCACTGGTACCTCCCTGACTGGGAGGAATAGGAATGTCTTGTTACTATTCTCTGTGTGGCCTTTGGTGAAAACATGGGGTAGGGGTGTGTGTGGTCTCAATAACTGGTTTCGTAATCTTGCTTGAATTTATTTTGAAAACTTATTTTGGCTTTAAGTATGTATAAAATGCTAGACACATAAAGAATAAATAAGTAGCTTTATATTTATATATTTAAGTGAATTAAAATGAAAATGTTTGTTTAAAAGGGCTTCCTACTTGATTCAGGTTTGAGAAATACCCACATGAGTGAATGCATGGCTGCACACTCACATCATGAGTCCCTGGAATTGTTCGTACTTCCCTCCAGGTTCTTCCACCTACACAAAAAGACAGAAGGAGCTGGGCCCCTGACACTATGGAACATCATGCCAGCCTGACCCTGATGCTCTCTATTGAAGGCTCTTGTTAGTTTCCTATTGCTGCTGTAATACATTGCCACAAATTTATTGCCTTACAACAATACAAATGTATTCTCTTACTGTTCTGGGGGTCAGAGTCCAAAATCAGTTTCACTGGGGTGAAATCTAGGTGTCTGGTTTCTTTTGGAGGCTCTAGGAGAGAATCTGTTTTCTTGCCTTCACCAGCTTTTAGAAGCTTTCTGCTTTCTTTGGCTCGTGGTCTCTTCCTTCATCTTCAAAGCCAGCAGTGTAGCATCTTCTAATCTCTCTCTTACTCTGACCTCTACTTATCTCATTATACCCTGCCTTCTCCCTCATATAAGGACCCTTGTAACTACATTGGGCTCACCTAGATAGTGCAGAATAATCTCATTTCAAGATCCTTCACTTCATCCCATCTACAAAGACCGTTTTGCAGCATAAGTTATACTCACAGGTTCTAGGGAATTAAGACATGGACATCACTGGGAGGGCCTTATTCAGCCTACCATAAGGGGGTGCTGTTACTTGCAGCTAAATCAAATTCTGAATGATTGACCTTCCACCAGAATGTAAGCTCCCCTACAACAGGGAGTTTTGTCTGGTTTGTTCACCAATGTTTTCTCAGTCTCCTATCGTAGTGATGGGTGCATTTTCATGGCTGCCACCCTCGCAAAGGAGGTAACTTCAAAAAGATCTGGAGATAGAGCACTCCAGGCAGAGGAAACAGCCTGTTCAAGCCCTCAGGCCAGAGAACTCTTTTTATTTATAGGAATAATACTCAATATATCATTTTATTGTGACAGAACAACTCAGCTTTTATAAACTATCAAACTGTTGAGATAATGGACCCCTTTGAAACTCTCTGTCTCTTTTGCTAAGCACAATCTGGTTTTACTTCTACATCTTCTTTTCTGGCTCTAACATCGAAAAAATTTTCAATTACTATCAAACCAACATAAAAACATTATACAAGAAATATATGTATAAACATCATTCATGATTCAAAGATCATTCCCTTTGGCAGCTTTGAAAGGTTAAAAATGTAAACCCTGGAGTTATACTGTTTTATGTTCACATCTGGGCTTTGCCACTCAATAACTATGATTTTGGGCTATTACTTAGACCTTCTCTGCCTTTGTTTCTTCATCTGTAAAATGAAGATAACAATAGTCCACCTCACACAGCTGTGAGAATTAAATGAATTAATCTAATATGCTTAGAAAGGATGCTGGCACATCCCCTCAATAACTGTTAATCATAATTCTTACTTTTCAGTTTTCCTCCACATAATTTGTATTTAGTTGCAATTACAGGTACTCAAAGCATTGTGTTCTACTTTTAAAAATATAATCTTGTTCATAAGTTTTATTTCCTATCTCTTTTTCATTAACATAGGTAATCTTATTTTATTATTTAATTAATTAATTAACTTATTTAGAGACAGGTTCTTGCTCTGTTGCCCAGGTTGGAGTGCAGTGGCACGATCTCAGCTCACTGCAACCCTGCCCTCCTGGGCTCAAGCAATCCTCCTACCTCAGCCTCCCGAATAGCTGGGACTGCAGGTGAGCACCACCAAGCCTGGCTAATATTTGTATTTTTAGTAGAGATGGAGTTTCGCCATGTTGTCCAGGCTGGTCTTGAACTCCAGAGCTCAAAAGATCCACCCGCCTCAGCCTCCCAAAGTGCTGGGATTATAGGTGTGAGCCACCATGCCTGACCAACATAGGTAATTTTAAATGACAGCTTGACATTCCATACTGTTAATATATTTTACTTAAACATTTCCTTATTATTGGACATTTATTTTATTATTATA
The DNA here is from genome assembly GCF_000001405.40 of Homo sapiens. Classification (NCBI taxonomy): domain Eukaryota; kingdom Metazoa; phylum Chordata; class Mammalia; order Primates; family Hominidae; genus Homo; species Homo sapiens. Next base: position 48,274,150 of record NC_000004.12, on the reverse strand, counting down.
ATGATCTTATAAATATACTTTGCATATGATGCTTTTTATTTCTTTTGAATTATTTATTTAGCATCTCTTCCCAGAAATATGATTATTGATTCTGTGTCCAATATTTGAAACTCCTTCCTTCTATGCAATAGTTCTAAAGAAGCAACTACTTTCAGCACATGATGGAAGGAGAAGCAGACATATCATAGGATCACAATGAAGTCATCTTCATGTAGGAACAGACTCTCCATGGAAGACTGATAAGGTCTGCATTATCGTCATTGTCATCATCATTTATTCATCAACAAATGTATTAATTATCTATGATGGGCCAGTTTCCTTTTCAGTAGGAAGATGGTTACAAAATAAAACCAGTGACTTGCACAAAAGAATGCAAGAAGCTGGCCGGGCATGCTGGCTCATGCCTGTAATCTCAGCACTTTGGGAGGCTGAGGCGGGCGGATCACAAGGTCAGGAGTTCAAGACCAGCCTGGTCAACATGGTAAAACCCCATCTCTACTAAAAATACAAAAATTAGCCAGGCGTGGTGGCAGGCACCTGTAATCCCAGCTACTCAGGAGGCTGAGGCAGGAGAATTGCTTGAACCCAGGAGGCAGAGGTTTCAGTTAGCCGAGATTGTGCCACTGCACTCCAGCCTGGGCAACAGAACAAGACTCTGTCTCAGAAAAAAAAAAAAAAGGCAAGAAGCTATAAATACAAATATATACACACATATATTTTTGCAAACCTTCCAGGTTGATTCTGCATGTCTTCTTCTGTACCATGTGGAATCTACATGTAAGTTAAAAAGAGGCATTTTCGTCTCTCAAGGAACTGAAATTATGTCAACCTGATACTGATCATCTAAACAAATAAACTTTATGGAAGCCATAGCGATATCTTGTAAGAAGGGAGAGTCTTGTCTCCCAAGAAGTTTATATTAATACCTTTTTCTCTGTATCTTGATTTTCTTAAAATAAAGATGGTTTTACTAATATTGTTTGAGTCTTCTTTTTGGAGGCAGGGGGAGAAATCTTTTTAAGTCAACTACTAGATTCCTTCTTTTGACTAGGGACGAATGTAAAAGTTTGAATTATACAGGCCCAAATGTAGTATTCTGTTTTCACCTAAAAAATAAAAATTAAAGAAAGACTAAATCTTTTTTATTAATCCCACCACATTCTGAGTTCAGTTTTTACACCTTTTCCTTAATGTAGTTGAAGTTCCCTAATGGCCTCTTTTTTTTGTCTGTCTCTCTGTCTCTTTCTCAACACCTTGCTGAAAAAAATTGCCATTGTTCTCTATTATGTGATCTATGGATGGTATACCTGTGGCAATTGCCTACTTAAACTGTATGATTGATAGTGTAACAAATGTCTTATTTAGAAAACTATAACTTTATGAAAATTACCCCAACTATTAAGAATTATGTTGGATCTAGGTGTTTTATTTACAGATCTGTTCTCTTTGGCTTTTCTGAGAGTTAGTAGGGACAATACAGACACTTTTCTCTCTTTTAATTTAAACTTTATGAAGAAATTATGTAAGGGTCTGGGTTTTCTGCCTTTTCAAACTTCATAAACATTGAGATCCTCATTACCATTGTCAAGAATATGAGCTACCATCACCTACCAAGAACAGGCAAGGCGAATTGGAAACTGGTTCTTCTAACCATCATAATATCAGTTAATTCCTTAAGGCAGTAGCTCTTACCTTTTTGGGATCAGTCAATATGATAAAAGTTCTAAGTCCTCTCACTTAAAAATATACGTACATAAGCATTTTTCTTGGGAGAAAATTAACTGTATTACTATAATTATATATCTATAACTCTCTTTCCTGCCCCCCAACACAGTTTTTTTGCATAGAGTTTCAGATGGTTTATGGTCCTGTCCCCTCAAAGTACATCTGTGCTAGGGGAAATTACGTTAACTAGCCAAAACAAGTACCTGAATGGGACAAGAGGCAGGAGAGACTCGGGTAGGGAGGAGAGAGTAGATCATAAAAAAGAAATTTTACTAGATTCATTCAAAGTACTAGTCATTATACTCAAAGTCCTCACTGGAGAGAGGATTTGTAATCAGAAGGCCTTGGTCCAAATCTGTGCCCTCTTCCCATCTCCCCTTTTCCTAGATAGTTGTCTGACTTTTGGAAAGTCATTGAAACCTCTCTGACCCTCAGTTGTTGTTGCTGTTATTGTTTTCCCTGTTAAATCAGGGTTCCCCAACCCGCAGGCTGTGGACCAGTACCGGTCTGAGGTCTGTTAGGAACCTGGCCGCATAGCAGGAGGTAAGCGGTTGAGCGGTGGGCAAGGGAGCAAAGCTTCATCTGTATTTACAGCCACTCCCCATTGCCTGCATTACGGCTGAGCTCCGCCTCCTGTCAGATCAGCCTTGGCCTTAGATTCTCTCAGGAGTGCAAACCCTAGTGTGAACTGTGCATTCGAGGGATCTAGGTGGTGTACGCGTTACGAGAATCTAATGCCTGATGATCTGAGGTGGAACAGTTTCATCCTCAAACCATCTCTTCCTGACACCTGTCCATGGAAAAATTATCTTCCATAAAACCAGTCCCTGGTGCCAAAAAGGTTGGGGACCACTGTATTAAATGGAATCTTGTTAGACTTCTCAGGGTTATTACAGTGATCAAAGGAGAAATGATATAGGAAGGCACTACTTTTAAGTCCCAAGCAAGCATGAGGTGTGATAAGTATCAAAGCACTTGCCATTCCCTTAGCTTCAGCCTTGGGTTGGCCGTCTGTCCTATCATTCAGGTCTCAGCTCCACTGTTACCCCAGAGAAGCCTCCAGTAACATCATATCTAAAGTAGCCTCCCTCTCCCTTTCACTCTCAATTCCATCACCCTGCTTTATTTTAGTCAAGACACCTCACTTACGAAGTGGTTTAATTTTTTGCTTGCCTGTTGATCATGTGAGACAAGTAACAAACGTTAAGAAGCCATGCTTGCTCATTTCTGCTTGTCAGCATAATTTCACACAGCCCCTGACTCTGTGACCACCTGCAGCTGGCGGAAAGATGCTTTGAAGACAAAACGAGATAGAACACAGGATCCCCCACGTCTCTTGCCTGAGCCCTTGCCTTTTACTGCACCTAAGATAAAGTCTGATGAGGTTAGTGATTATGCTTCTGTAATCTATAAACAGATGTACTCTTAAGCCCAAACTGTGATGTGCTTTTACACATACTGAATCTTCACCAACTGTTTCTAAATTGAGAAGGGAAGTTCTGTGTTGGAGGGATCTGCTTGAATCTCTCTAAAAGACTCCTCCAGGGCTGTAGGCCTCCATCTCTAGTCCTCAGTAAGACTTCTGAATAAAACTAACTTTCATTCTTTAACAGCTTGATTTTTAAATTTTAGTCGACAATCACTTATTGTCTTTCTCCTACAGTAGAATAAAAGTTTCCTAATGGCAGAGTCCTTGCCTCATCTTCCCCAGGCATGGGAACAGTTCCTGGTATAGGATGCACACAGATTTTGCTGATTCAGGATAGCCGTGAATAACAGTGGAGACTCCAGAGGAGGAAGACCTGGATTTGAAGCCCAGCTTCTCAACCCAGCTTCTCAATTTACTAGTTGGGTGACATTAGGCAAGTTATTTAGCTTCTCTCTGCCTCACTTGCACCGTATGTGAAAAGGGGGATTCTGATAATATACGCTTCAGAGAACTTTTAGTACATGTGAAGTACCTAGAACAGTGCCTGGCACACAGTTAAGTCTTACATGTGTTTTCTACTCTTCAGTGAGTTTAATGTTAACACATTAATAGTGCACGTGACCCTCTAAGTGTATCAGATATGCACTGCTCCCTCGGGTTTCACAGGAAAACCACTTACTCTTTTGGTAAAACAGGCTGCATGGCTCCACTGCTCCGCGTCACCCGCCTGGCCTCCCACCGCTTAGCGGAAGGGGAGGTGCGGTTCCTAATTCCGACAGGCACGTAGTCTTCCACAAGTGGCACTACTCGGGGCTCTCCTGGCTAGGGGCGTTCGAGCCACTAGGGGCGGGTCTCCTGGGATGGGAAGACTGGGGCTAGGGAGGTTCAACGCCGCCCCCGGAAACCTAAGGGACGCTCCCTGAAACTCACCGGGACGCGCTTCCGACCCATTCCGGTCACTTGCCTTGAAATCGCCGCAGGGCTGCGCAAACCTGCCACCCAGGGCCCAAGCGACCGGGGCGGGGCGATCGAGGACTGGGCGGGCCTGCAGGATCAGAGGCGGGGTAGGGCGTCCACGGGGCCAGCAATCGGGGCGGGGCGGGGTGATTGGGGGCGGGACGGGGAGATCAGAGGGCGGGGCGGGGCGCTTTGCTCTGGACTCTGGGGCGCTAGGCTCCGGACTCCGCGGCGCAGACTGCACCTCGCAGTCTCCCCAGGTCCGCCCAGCAGCCGCGCTTCAGCCAGGTAAGGGCGCCGCGGGCGGGCTGGGGCGGCCCCGGGAGTGCGATACTCCGGGCGAGGACGGGTGGGGAGGGGGATGAGCGCGGCAAGAGGCGGCTTCCACACGCCCCTCGAGGAACGGGGAAGGATTTTCTCCCCTCCGTGCCGCAGTGAGCGCGGGTGCGCCGTCTCTGGGTCCCCTCTTCGGTCCGGGAAGGAGGGACAGGTGCGCGCAGTGGCGCAGCCTCGCCTTCCTGCCGGCAGTAGATTCTCCACTTCTCCAACTCCCGCACTGACCTCTCCTAAGGAACACCCGCCCCTTTTTCTTGAAGTTCCAGGCCTGAGGCCGCCCTGCGGCAAGTTCAGCGTTGGGGTCACGTCCCAGCGGCGAGCAGGGCTGATGCCTCCTTTCGGGTTGGGCGGCGGCGCGATCTTGATTGAAATTTGGCAGTGTCGAGATAGATATACCTAATGTAAATGACAAGTTAATGGGTGCAGCACACCAACATGGCACATGTATACATATGTAACAAACCTGCACGTTGTGCACATGTATCCTAGAACTTAAAGTATTAAAAAAAAAATTTGGCAGTATCGGCCAAGATGTTCCGCAGTTGCACGTGACTCACCCAGTGAAGTTCACGTTCTCTTCCCCACCCCCCCAATACCCCGCCCACCTCGCCCCGGGAAGTTGTGTTTGAATATTGAAAACAGGTGCCCGGCCAATGTATGTACTTCTTGGAAAAACTAGGGCCTTGACCTGGGAGTGTACACTTTCCTAATTTTCTTTAATCCTAAATTTCTTGTGGATTTTATTTTATTTTATTTTTCCCGTGGACGTGTAACATGGTGGTGTGTACCAGGTTTGGAAACAATCTCATCCATTGCTATTCTTTGGAAACTGGAATATTTGATTCGAAAGATTGATCTTAATGTTAACTTGGAACAACAGGATGGCTGGTGGCTAAGTGGGTTTGAAGATTATCCAAAATAGTTATAAGTTTTGCGCGTATTCCTTGTATTTTTCCAGTGAATGCTCATTTTCCTCTTGGGAAATTCTGAGAATTTACTCACTTCTAGATTATTCTCTGCTAAAGAGCTGGGAAGAAACAAACCAGCGGATCTCCCAAATAAAGTTTGGGATTTAACAGTTTAGGTCGTGACACTGGTAGCTGCTTACTCTGCAATAATCACCTGGAGTAAGGGATATTAAGATTTATTTCTAAGGGGAAAATAGAAGTATGGGTAACTTTCACATTATGTATTTGAAAGTATTTTTTAGTTTAGTTACATTTTCAATGTTTACGGAAGACTTACACTTTCCCCATACTCCAGTTAATCTGATCCATATATTACACTCTTGCCAACGCAGATGCTTACTGTGGTGTGTTTATGTTAATGATCTTGACTCTTCTCACAAGGGTGTGTACATTCTGGTCTGTGGAACTGTATAGGCCAAGTGTAAACTCATGCAGTCAGTGCTTTACTCTAGTTGGCAATACCTTTGCCCCACATAGGTCCAACTAGAATTTTCACATCTTCCCAACTAGGAAAGGATATAGAATATTAATGTATGCTCTAGCATTTTCAACCTACTTTATTCTTTATCAAGATAATCATGTTTTCTCAGCAGCTAGTTACTCAAGGGCAGCAGCTATGTTTTACCAAACCGTGGAAAATAAAGCTGAGATAATGGTAACCTTTGCTTCCTTAAGTTGACCCTTGATAGGGAGGTTGGAAGGGTTGTGAGCAGTGTCTGGCCTACTTTTACGCTTGGGGAAGAATTACTGGCCTCTCTGCCTTTCTCCGGGTATCCAGAGTGCTGGGAGACAGGGCCTTGGGCCTCCAGCCACACCTCTGCCTACAGGTTCCTCCAGGTTGACCAGGTTGGTGCCTCTCCTCCCTGCCCCAGCTGTTCCAGCTCCTTAGCTTCCACCCCACCCCTCCCAGATTCTTACCCCTAGACAAATCACCATGTTGTTCAGGGCAGGGGTACTTGGTCTGCAGAGTCAGCATGAGTGTTGATCTTCAGCATGGTGCTGGTTCCCCGTGGATGCTCCTTGGATGTCTGCTGCTTCAGAGCCTTTATTATGCTCCCTTCTTGTCCAGTCTACAGCAGGCAAAGTGGAGTTACTGAAGTCAAACCCAGATCAACAGTCTTGGGGGCCAGCTGCCTTGGTTGGACTAATTACGATCATAAATTGGGCATTCAAGTCTGTTGGAAAAAAGTGAAATTGGCTCATGGTCACTGGCAATTGTAAAATTATCCTGTACGATGTGGTTATGCTATTATAAAAGGTTTGTGGAAAAATAAGAAACAACCCAGAAGGAAGGGGCCTAGTAGTTGCCTCCACCTCCAAACACGCCTGTGCTTGGGCTTGCCTTATTGTCACTACCCCAGCTCAACCAATTCTTCTGGGATTGGATTGTAACAATTAATTTCCCCACCATGTTTGACTGCTCAGAGCTCAGATGACCGCAGCTACTGTAGTATAGATGTAGAGAATTACATACTCTTTTGTTTAGAGAAACAAGGATGGGCTTTTTCAAAACAGATTGTTATTAGGGAAACAAAGAAAAAGCAAACAAATGTAAAAATGTGTGGGCACAGAAGCCAAAGTTTGTTTTGTTATGGTTTATAGTTTTAAACTTTTATCCAAGTTACATTTCTCCCTTTCCAGAAACAACCACTTGTAATTCTTTGCCATTTGTGGCTTATAGTTGATACTTCTTGATTTTTCAATTTTAAGCATTATCTGTTGACTTCCCACTGTGGAAGATGATGAGTTGGCTCTCTTTTTCCCTCCAACCCCCAACGCAAGTACAGCTTCCCTATTTTCCCATTCTTGCAGTCGTTAAAACAGAATATTGAATAATGGTTAGATCAAAATTCACAGCTAAGCCAAGCATAACTTTTTTTTCGTTTTTTTTTTTTTTGAGACAGAGTTTTGCTCTTGTTGCCCAGGCTGGAATGCAATGGCACGATCTTGGCTCACCACAACCTCTGCCTCCCGGGTTCAAGCGATTCTCCTGCCTCGGCTTCCTGAGTAGTTGGGATTACAGGCATGTGCCACCACGCCTAGCTAATTTTTGTATTTCTAGTAGAGATGGGGTTTCTCCATGTTAATCAGGCTGGTCTCAAACTCGTGACCTCAGGTGATCTACTTGCCTTGGGCTCCCAAAGTGCTGGGATTACAGGCGTGACCAAACATAACTTTTTATTTTCCTTGGAGTTAATAATGGATTTGTTTGTTCATTTTATTTATTTTGTGCTCTTCATTGATTAAACCCACAGCTCTTGGCCAGTTTTCCAAATTCTCCCTCAATTGACCAGGTATTTTGTCAATTTCGTTTTCCTCAAGAAGCTGTTCCTGAGCCTACTGGCTTGCTATAATCCAGACTGGGTGCCTTTGGTACATTGGCACACTTGTCACCCCAAGGGTTCCCTTTGTCATCATTCTGGAGATTCTCATCATTTGTCTCTTGTGTTGGATCTCCTGGTACTTGTAGCACATGTCTTCCTCAGTCTTGGTTGACTCCCTTCTTTTGGTAGAGCCCATCCTAAAGGAGCTTCCTGGAATAGGATGCCTAGAGGTCTACTTTTCTGAGACTGTAGATGCCTGAAAATGTGTTTTCAACTGACAATTGATAGTTTGACTGAGTGTAGATTTCTAAGATGGCAATTTTGAAGGCATTGTTCTATTGACTTCCACATTGTGGTATTGCTGTTGAGAAATTTAGAACTCTACTGATTCCTCAGCTTTTTCTTGTAATCTGTGTACAGGTTACAATTTGCTGGGTCCTCCCTGAAGTTTATAGAATTTTCTCTTGGCCTCCACAGTCCTAAAATTTCACGACACTGTGCCTAGGTTTGGGTCTGTTTTCATGCATTGTGTTGGGCTCTTTGAATCTGGAAACTTTCATTCTTCAGTTTGGGAAATTTTCTTAAATTATGTCATTGGTGGCCGGGCGCAGTGGCTCATGCCTATAATCCCAGCACTTTGGGAGGCCAAGGCAGGCCGATCACCTGAGGTCAGGAGTTCGAGACCAGTCTGGACAACATGGTGAAACCCCATCTCTGCTAAAAATACAAAAATTAGCTGGGCGTGGTGGCTCACCCCTGTAATCCCAGCTAGTCAGGAGGCTGAGGCAGGAGAATTGCTTGAACCCAGGAAGCGGAGGTTGCAGTGTGCTGAGATTGAGTCACTGTACTCCAACCTGGGAAACAGATTGAGACTTTGTCTCAAAAAAAAAAAAAAATATATATATATATATATACACACATATATACACACACGTATATATGTGTGTGTATATATGTATATATATACGTATATATGTGTGTGTGTATATATATGTGTGTGTATATATATACATATACACACACATATATATATATATCTATCTCATTGGTAATTTTTCCCCCTCTATTTTCTGTGTCTGTGAGAAGCTCATATTGTTCAGATATTGGCTATTTTTGACTGGGCCAAAAATAAGTTTTTCATGACTGTAATCATGAATATTTAAAATCAAAATCTCTATTTTTTTGGTTGCCTGAATATATACATATATATTTGTATGTGTGTGGTTTGTGTGTCTATTTCTTTCTGGTTTTTGTTTTATAGTGTCAGTGTCTTTTCCTTTCTCCCTAAGAAGCTTAATGATTTTTTGGAGCAACTTTTTTTCCTTCCTGCACAGATTGAATTTCCCAAGCGGCTTTTGTCTTTTCATTTGTTTAGGTTTCTTCTCTTTCATGTTAGAAGTTTTCCTTGTGTAACTAATGCCCTTGGTTATCTACTCACACTTCAGAGGGGGATTAAAAAGCAGAAGGTCTGGGGTTCAGGCAGGGTGGCTCACGCCTGTAATCCTAGCACTTTGGGAGGCCAAAGTGGGCGGAACACTTGAGGTCAGGAGTTCAAGACCAGCCTGGCCAACATGGTGAAACCCTCGTCTCTACTAAAAATAAAAAAAATTAGCCAGGCGTGGTGGCGTGTGCCTGTAATCCCAGCTACTCAGCAGGCTGAGGCAGGAGAATTGCTTGAACCTGAGAGGCTGAGGTTGTAGTGAGCCGATATGATGCCACTGCACTCCAGCCTGGCAACACAGGGAGACTCTGTCTCAAAAAAAAAAAAAATGCTGAAGATGTGGATGAGCTTGTCGACTGGGGAATTCATGGTAGGGGGAATCTGGCTGGGCTTTTTATTTGGGGAACCTCTGTGGTCGTTACCTCTTGGGCTGGTGAGAGTCCTCAGAGAAGCCTTTTCCATTCTTTTCCCCAGAGATTGACAGAGAGCCTGGTTGTCAGTAAGTGGAAAAGAAGACTGGAAGTCTCAGCATCCAGTATGTAGATGTGCATATAACCCCTCCATGCTGTTTGTGTACGGACCCCCTGAAGGGTGAAGGAGTAGGGAGGAAACTCCAGGTTTTTTGCTGGGGTAGAGAAGGGGCAGTCACCTAACTGGTTGGAGTGGCCAGAGGGATCTGTGGGATCCAGCTTTTTAAAAAGACTTTAAAAAGTCACTAATTTTTTAGCCCACCCCTCTTTTTATAGAGGGTTCAATTGCCTTTAATTATTTAACCTTTTGGAGATTCCATGGTGTAAATCAGATTATTTCTTGGCTTCTGCTTATTCCACCAAAATGTTTTTGCTATTGTCTCTTCACTCATTCTCTCCATCCTTGCTGATTTATACATGAAATAAAAAAATTTCTTTATTGTCATTGTCTTAGGCTTTCAGAAGGGAGAGAAAGTAGAGGTTTTTGTCCAGTCTGCTAATAGTGGCTAGAGTATAATTTCTTTACCAATCTCTATCCAGAGACTGGCACCATTCAGTCATAGCAGTGTGTTGCTGTTTTCCCCTTCCTCTACCCACAGGAAACATTTTCGGATCAGGCTGGGCCGCTGAGCCGAGTTTGGACCTCAGATGCCTTCATATACAACTCTAAGTGTACACTACCAATTGATCATAGTTGTCATAGGGGGCAAAACCTATATCTTAGGTTGGGTGGTACGTAGATTACTGGCATAGAGCCCTTGTTCCTGTTTCTTTCTTTCTTTCTTTTCTTTTTTTTGGCGGGGGTGGAGACAGTCTCGCTCTGTCACCCAGACTGGAGTGCAGTGGCATGATCTCAGCTCCTGGGTTCAAGTGATTCTCCTGCGTCAGCCTCCCGAGTAGCTGGGATTACAGGTGCACGCCACCACACCCAGCTAATTTTTGTATTTTTAGTAGAGACAGGGTTTCACCATGTTGGCCAGGCTGGCCTCGAACTCCTGGCCTCAGGTGATCTGCCTGCCTTGGCCTCCCAAAGTGCTGAGATTACAGGTGTGAGCCACCGCCTGGCCTATTGTTCCTGTTTCTTGAATTCACTTTGTGTAGGATGACTCTTTCTGCCATCTTGACCTCTGAATGTTTTACCTTTCAGTGAAGTGCAGCTTCTATTAAGTCCAATATTATTTTAATCTGAAAGATGGGATTGGTGTCATTGATGGCCATGTGGCCTCAATGGAAGTTATCATTATTTCCTTCTGGAGGCCAGTTTATCACACAACTGCCTTACCAGCAGCAGCACCCTTACTTCCCTTTCCACTTGTGCCCTCCTTGGAATGTGAACCAAGTTCCTGTTTCTGGCTGGGCTGATGTACCCTGCCGTTTGTGGATGATCACGACTTTCCCAACGTCATTTCATCAGTTGAGTCATTCCTCAGGCTCCCTTAATGGGCTGTGAACTTCCAGCATGCTCTCCCAGTTGCTTTGTAACATCAACATTCTTTATGGTTACACACATGATGACAAGAGTCAGTTTCCACAAAAGTAGGAGGATAATTGTTCCTAAGCCATCTTATCTGTGCAGAAAAAGCAAAGCTCGATCTTCCCATGATGGCAGCTATGCATTGGCAATACAGAAAACAGGAGTGCTGGCGATTGTGACAATGGAGTGGGTGCAACAATTACTTTATCTTTGGAGGATGACAGATGGTTAAAAAGGCTTTTTCAGCAGGTACCACTAGGCACCATTGTGAACAAAAGCTTGGCTAGTAGGGATACTGCAGAGCTCATTCCTCCCACTGTGCTTCCACAAGCATCCTTCCCTTTTCTAAACGAAGTCTTTGAAGTCATTGGAACCTCCCTTTTCCAGGCAGTATAGTTTTTCTGTAATGTACTGGGTCTTCACAGAAGTTCTTTCCTAGGGAAAGCATAGTACCAAGCAAGTACTTAATATACTGAATGAATTTTCCAGACAATTTTGGACACTTTATAGTTAAGAAAAAATGATATTTGGGCCAAGAGTGGTGGCTCATGGCTGTAATCCTAGCACTTTGGAAGGCTGAGGCAGGTGGATCACTTGAAGTCAGGAGTTCAAGACCAGCCTGGCCAATATGGTGAAACCCCATCTTTACTAAAAATACAAAAATTAGGTGGGCCTGGTGGCACGTGCCTGTAATTCCAGCTACTCGGGAGGCTGAGGCAGGAGAATCTCTTGAACTCAGGTAGCAGAGGTTGCAGTTAGCTGAGATCGCACCACTGCACTCCAGCCTGGGCAACAGAGCAAGACTCCGTCTCAAAAAAAAAAAAAGAGACATTTGGTCACAATTACCCAAGTTGTACTCAACAATCTAAATTCTCTAAATTCTTGATTAGACTTTCACATCACTTGTCTATATATGGATTGAAATATAGAGCATTCAATTTAAGTTTTCTCAAGTGTATTGTTTCTTGTATTATTTAGAAATATTCTTCACTGAAAACATTCTTGAAAGGACAACATACATTATTATCATTATTTTCCATCTGTATATTTTTTCTTAGCATAGTGTTATGATTATCTTAGTTTTTATGGCTACAAAGAATGGCTTTTGGAGGAGGGAGGGAAGTAAGTATTCATTATGTTATCTCATCAGTTTTATGTTTCTAAAGGAGGAACACTTTTGTTTGGATTTCTACAATATATACTTTTGCCTTTTGTAACTATATGTCATTTGTTTTTCAAGGTTAAAGCTTTTAACCTTGAAATGCTTACAATAGAGTATCAAAGCGACAGACTTTAACTTGTCATGTACTATATGAGATACTTACAAGGTGAAACTCCCTGTCAAGTATCCTACTCCTTTTATTTTTAATTTTGGTGACATTATAATGTGATTTAGTAGGAAAAACCTTTGATTTTTCTTCTCTTATCCTTCATGGAATTCCAATGATATCTTTTGTTACTATTTCCTTAGAAACTCTTAATGTCCTCACATACTCCTCAATATTATGTTTCAACCACGACTTGTGGGATTTCCATATGACTGCCCCAAAAATGAAACTGGCTTTTTTTCTTACAAGAGTGATTTAAAGTTTCATTTTTCTGCCAATATGATTTAAGCATGCAACAAAGTTAGTTTTTACTATTAGGGTTATTTTTGATTTGTAGAAGGCAGTTGATTTCTTCATTTTCCTGCTTGGGTGATAAAAATGCTTGATCCTTCAACCATGCAGGGAAACAGAAATACAATTTAACTGGGTTTGAATGCTGTCAGACATGTAAATTTAGGTATACATGCTTTTGAATTTTTTTAAGGATTGTCAGTGTCTTTGTCACATACTTAAACCAGTTATAGAAGCATTGCATGAAATAATTCTTGTTCATAAGTTCTGGAGTCCTAGCCAGAAGACATTTTTTAGGCTCAGAGCTGTTGACACACCATCTTGCTTCCCCCAGGCAAAAGTTTGATCTTTGGGTGCCACCGAGGTTCTCAGACACCTGGTGTGCTCCTTGGACTCTCCTTGCCATCAGTAAAAAAAAATTGTCATTTTGTAGAGTTTTATATATTCCTTGTTAGAAGATGTAAACAATACTGAAGCTTACAAAGAAGAAATTAAAAATAACCCTAAAACCATTCCAGAGAGAATCTTTGTGAATCCCCTTCCAGTCATCTCTATTACCAGCTGACTTTTAATAAATCTTTAGCAATGTTCTAGAAAATAATTAAGGAGCATTATGTTACAACTGTTTATGTAACTCCAAATTCTACAATCTTTATTTATACACAGGTAGTTACTTTATGACGTTGTAATTAGTCCATGCATAATTTTCTTTGGGTAATTCTGTCATGTTAGCATACGGTGGTATTTTGAGCCACTCCCCAGTTGTTGGACACTTAGATTTTTTTTTTCTTTTTTTTTGTTTTAGAGACAGAGTCTTGCTCTGTTGCTTAGGCTGGAGCACAGTGGTGCCATCACCATAGATTACTGCAGCCTCGAACTCCTGGGCTTAAATAGAAGGTTTGAGCTTCAGCCTCTGGCTTCAGCCTCCTGAGTAGCTAGGATTGCAGATGCATATGACTGCATCCAGCTCATTGAAACGAAAATTAAGCAGCGATGAGGCCTTGCTATGTTGGCCAGGTTGGTCTTGAACTCCTGGCCTCAAGTGATTCTCCCACCTCGGCCTCCCAAAGTTCTAGGATTACAGGTGTGAGCCACCACACCTGACTGATTTCTAGCTTTTATTCATCAGTTTTAGAAGGTCATAAAATAACTCACTAGCAATGTGAAGTTTCCATTTTTTCTCTTTTTTGACCTTTTAGAATTACAGTGTCTCTGTTATGTGAGGACAAGAAGAGCCAGAATGCTTGAGGCCATGTTATGTACCCAGTTATAGGTCAGATAAAACTAGAAGAACCTGACAGGTCATTTGCAGAGACTGTGTTCTTGTTGGTAATGTGTAGAGCCTCATTTCATCTTATTGGATGTCTATAGGAAAACTTTCCAAGGATCAGTAACAAAACATGGAAGAGTTGTTATGTAACTGTGCAATGACATTTGACCTCAGTACCTGGTCTAGAGTTTATGAAACTTTGTGTGACCCGGGAAGGCATCTTATGTCCTCAGGAAACTCCAGCCTTCCTATCCATTGTGCCATTTCTCTACTGCTTGAGTAATCATGGCCCAGTAAGGTGTGCAAGGCAACCAGCAATGTTAGAGAATTTTGCATTAATGTAGTTTCTTGATAAAGAACTACAGCAGAGTGAGCTCCTGTTCAGATTTTTCTTTTGACATCTTTCTTTTTTTTTTTTTTTTGAGACAAAGTCTCACTTTGTCACCCTGGCTGGAGTACAGTGGCATGATCTCGACTCACTGCAATCTTCACCTCCTGGGTTTAGGAGATTCTCATGCCTCAGCCTCCTGAATAACTGGGACTATAGGCATGTGCCACCACGCCCGGCTATTTTTTGTATTTTTAGTAGAGGTGAGCTTTTGCCACGTTGGCCAGGCTGGTCTCGAACTCCTGACCTCAAGTGATCTGCCAGCTTCAGCCTCCCAAAGTGCTGGGATTACAGGCATGAGCCACTGCGCCCAGCCCCTTTGTCATCTTTCTAGATATCATGGTCTAATGTTTAAAGCCTTGGGTGGATTTCTTTTTTCTTTTATTTTAGGTTTGGGGGTACATGTGAAGGTTTGTTACGTAGGCAAACATGAGTCACAGGGGTTTTTATACATATTGTTTCATTACCTTGCATGGATTTCTAAGTTAACTATTAACTGGAATTATTTTCCTGTGCTTCAGGTTTTGCATCTATTCAACAAACTATAATGACACATAATTAACAGTTCACTTGAGAAAGATTCATGGCCTAATACTTGTAAAGGACTTTGAGCTTCTCTGAGAGTGTTTTATACACAGTCATGAACAAGGAGATGGCTTGTTCTATTTGGCAAAGGGCAAGTATATTATGCCCATTTTATAGATGAGAAAAGAGAGCCTCATAGAAGATAATGGCTTGCTTAGACTCACGGTAAATTTAATGTAGTGTCTGTGGAATTTTCCTTGGACTTTGTGGAATGAATGAAATCTAAAATAAATTCTACATGAGTGTATGTGTAGGGAAGTAGGGAAAGTGGATTTATACTGTTTTAAGCAAATATAACATTTCGGAGGAGAGTCTTTCCCTTTGAAAGAGGGTAACCATGTCAGACAAATTCGCTAGAGTTCTTAAAGAGAATTAAATAAATAATCAGGGAAGACAGGGATAAACAGATTTTCCAAGTGATTTTGAAAAGACGCCACACAAAGTCTGGTAAGTAAATTCAGTCAGCAATAAGTTGGGAAAAATATTTTTGAAAATCAGGACTCAGGAGAGGGCTACACGATGAACAAAGGTTAGGCATAGCTGGACATTTCTCAGAATGTGTATCAGAATACAGATATGGTTGAACTACTCTAGTTATTATTTTTAAAATAAATTACATACAAGAGGGAGTATACAGTCTACATGAACCCTTTGGGACATGAAAAAGCTAAACAGTTGATCTCAAGTCTATGCAAAATGGCAGAGAAATAAAGAATGCATTTAGGGCTGGGCTTAGTGGCTCTCTTGTTATCCCAGCACTTTGAGAGGCCAAGGTGGGCGGATCACTTGAGGTTGAGGAGTTTGAGACCAGCCTGGCCAACATGGTGAAACCTTGTCTCTACTAAAAATACAAAAATTAGCCAGGTGTGGTGGCGCATGCCTGTAATGCCAGCTACTCGGGAGGCTGAGGCAGGAGAATTGCTTGAACCTGGGAGGCAGAGGTTGCAGTGAGCCGAGATTGTGCCACTGCACTCCAGCTTGGGTGACAGAGTGAGATTCCTTCTCAAAAAAAAAAAAAACCAAAAAAACAATGCATTCAGATAAAATGAATCGATCTGTACATGTAGATGTACATTCCAATGCTTGTTTCAAGAAAGAGATTCAGATATTATAAAGTCTTAACTGAAAACATTCACTATATGACTTGGAACAAAAATTTCTAGTGTTAGCTGTTGGCACAAATAATTCATTAAATGCCAGTTTTACCCATTTTCATGTTGCTTCAGCATCTAAGATAATTTTTTCACTGCTCATTAATGTGTCTTAAAGACCTAATGGATTTAAAGAAAGCAAATATATTTATCAATGGTATAGAAGATTGAGGAAAATACTTCCATCCAAATTTTCAGTCTAGAAAGGTAAATGGGCATGTGGACAGGGTGCACCCTCTTGTACTGTGGCAAACTGACCTAAATAACACAAAGGAAATCATTCATTTGTACCTTCTTTATTCCCAAGTAATAAACATCCCAAATATCTATTGGGCATATATGATGTGCCAGGCTCCATGCTAAGCTCTTTACCTAGAGTATCAGGTTTAATCCTCCAGGCAGCCCTTTGAGGTGGGTAAGATTACTTTCAGCATTTTACAGATGAAGAGATTGAAGTTCAGGGAGGTTCTGTAACACTTGGTAAGTGGTAAGTGGTGGAGCTGGAGTCCAGAAGTCTGCTGAGCTCTACTCACTGAGGTATGCTCCTCTCCTCTCTTTGTCATATTTTCCCTCCTTGTAAACAGAGCTGGACAACCTAGAAAGAAATGTGAAGGTCTACTTCAAACAAAACCAAGCAGTTAGTTTCTCTGGATATCACCCCAAGCCCCTTAACTATATAGACCTTAAGATGTCTTCAAAGCAGCACTGTTGAACAGAAATATTCTGTAAGCCACATATGTAATTTAAAATTTTCTAGTAGTCACCTTAAAAAAGGAAAGTGCAACAGGTGAAATTAATTTTAATAATATATTTCATGTAAGCCATATATAAAAATATTATAATTTCATGTAATCATATAAAATTATTGAGATACTAGAAATAACTCAGGAGAAATACAGTACAGGACATCTTTTGTAATGCAGCAGATAGAGTGAAATGTAGTTCTACCAAACAACAAAGTTGTGATTAATGGAAAAAAAATTATTTACTGCTTAAGTTTTACATTTTAAATTCATATTTATTAAAATAAAAAATGTGGTTCGCCATTCGCACTGGCTTCATTTCAAGTGCTCATTAGCTATTGGTGGCAAGTGGCTGTCATATTGAACAGCGCAGCTCTATAGCAAAAGGTATTCTTTGTCTCCTAAGGACCGGGGACTCCTAGACACTCTATCCCCATCCCTGACTCCTGACTCCTCTCAGCATCCATCTTATTTTCCCTGCCTATGCCCAGAACTGCTATATATAATGTGCAGGTTATACACTACAAAATTCTGAGATGTCATTTATATTGTAGACCCAGTGGATTTGCTTATTTACTGCAACAGGTTTTAGGAAGATAGAAGTAAAGTTTTTAAAAGAAGAGACACTTTTTCCTAATTTATGCAAAAAGACTTTTTTTTTTTTTTTTTTTTTTTTGAGACAAGGTCTCGCTCTGTTGCCCAGGCTGGAGTGCAGTGGCACAATATCAGCTCACTGCAGCCTCTCGACCTTCCAGGGTCAAGCGATCCTCCCTCCTCAGCCTCTCTAGTGGCTGGGACTACAGGCAGGCACCATCACTCCTGGCTAATTTTTTTTTTTTTTAAATTTTTTGTAGAGACAGGGTTTTGTCATGTTGCCCAAACTGGTCTCGAACTCCTAGGCTCAAGCGATCCAACTGCCTCAGCCTCCCAAAGTGCTGGGATAACAGATGTGAGCCACCGTGCCCGGCCACAGAGGCATTATTTTTAGCAGGGTGGGCGGTGGATTGTAGCCCTTCTGTCTCTTCCTCGCATTCTGGTAGTTGGTCCCATGGCATTGTTCTGTTGTATGCTCAGCACTACTCCAGTGCCCTGCCTGTGGCTGAAAGTGTAGAAGCAGCCTCAGTCAACCTCTCCTCCCCCAGAAATACTGTCACAGAGCCATAGTCATTCTTCATGGTAGTTTACCTTGGAGTCATATGTGTGTTATTCATAATTGTATTTCCAGTGCTTAGTGCACAATAGGTGCTCAGCATGTTTATTGATTTGAATTGTTATCTTAGCTTTGACTCTGTATTTGGGCCTCTGCATTGTGTCCTCAGTTGTCCTTAATGATACATGACCCAGGGCTGATTTATCCAAATGCTGACCTTGCCCTCTCTTTCATGGAGTCACAGATCACCCTTCATATGGTACCTTTGTTCTGATAATACTAATTGTCATTATTGTTATTTTGATAATAATAGCTGCCATTGATTGATCACTTACTTTGTGTCAAGCATTGTGCTTAGCAATTTATGTAAATTATTTCATTTAATCCTCCCACAATATCTATAGGAGGTAGGTACTATTTTACAATGAGGAACCTGAGTTACTGAGAAGTTACATTACTTACCTGAGGTCATACAGCTAGTAAATGTCAAAGCTGACCTTTAAAACCAGTTCTGTCTGACTTCAAAGCTCTCTCAAGTGCCCTTTTGGTTATCTGGGGCCTTCCTGACAAGTGACTGTGCTGTAGTGGACTGATTATTTGTCTGCCCAGACTTTCTTCCTTTGGGCAGCTACTCTGTCCAATTCATGTGGTTTGGGTGGAGTTGACACTACCCAGGGATGATCATGTGATTCAGCCTTGGCCAATCCGAGCAGTCCCTCCACTTGACCAAGGGATTGGCTCAGGGGTTAGCATGTGATCCAGTCTGGCTCAATGGGACTCTTCTGCTGGCATTTAGGAAAGGGGGAGCTCTTCCTCTGGGATTTAACCTGGAGCGATGTAACCTGGAGCTACTGGTGGTCATTTTTCCCTGCTCCATGGAGGAAGCCGCAATACAAGAGAATGGGACCGTGCAGTGAGAAGCAGCACTGCACGGTGGTGAGAGCACACTCAGCATTGTTTGAAGTGCAGGAGTCAGCTGTGCCAGGACTTCTCGATTATGTGAGCCAATGTGTTCCTTTTGTTGTTGTTTGCTTAAATCTAATTATGTGCATTTGAAAGAACCCTGCTTATACCGGGTTTTCAGAAGATGAGTATTTTTGTCTTGGATTCCCTATGCTATTGTCTGTCTGCCCTTGGTCATCCACTACTTTTTTGGCCTTCGTGCCTACTTGGTGCCTTGCAGGCCTCTCATCCCTGTAGACTCTGCACCATGTTCAGCTTGCTGTGTCCCTTTTAGGTCAGTAAGCCCTGCCCTAGTGAAAGGAGGTGCCACACCCAACACCTCCTCACCAACAGCCCCCGCCCCTCCATCCTGCCCTATGGCATAGCCCACAAATGGATCTGGGTGGGAAAAGGATTTTGCCATGAGTGGAACATTAGAGAAATCTGTTCTTCATAGACATCGGAAAAATTACTCGTCAACCTACTCTTTGGATGCTGATCAAAGACTATTGAATGCTAACCTCATTTGGTCTCTGACACCATCTGGGATCTCAGCCAGTGTAGGCGGAGGCCTTGCCTCTTATCCCCAGTTTTTTTGGCCACCAGCCTTTCTAATCAACTGTCTTTCTATGTACTCTCAAGCCTCCTATGATTTTGAACTTCCATTCTTCTGCTGGCTGCCTTCCCAAATCTTTCCAGTGGCCCTTTGAGAGCATTGTTCCACTGTGAATCAACTCTCCCACACCAGAGCCTCCTCACAGAGTAACAGCATTGCCTTCCCTGTAGCTCTCTCTGCTGTAGCCTACTCCTAGCTTCCCTTTGCCACTTCTAGGGCATCACTTTTCTGCCTTCCTGCAAAACCCCTTTGTCCTTTAGGGTTCAAGCCATTCATGCAGGTACCCTCCTGGTCTCTCCTTTTGCCACCAACCTCTTTGTCATTCTCCCTGATTGACTCACCTGGTTCATGGTCATCTCTCCCAGCTCTGCTATCTCTGCATTCATAGATACAACCAACTTTTTATGTTTGCGTTAGTTGTGCAGTTGTCTTGGGGTTAATGGGAGTCGTTAATTATGGCAGGAGTGGAAAATAAGGGAGACTTCATAAAAGAGATTACGTATGATCAGGACCTTGAAAAATGAATAGGATTTCAATAGGTGGATAAAGAGGGAGGAGCCTTCCAGAGAGAACAACTCGAGCAGATACATGGGGATATGAAAAGACCTGGTACATTTGCTTGCTTGAGTCCTGGAAAACAAGTGGTAGGAAAGGAAAAGGGAACTCAGATTAAATTGGACATGATTAGGCCAGGCTCGGTGGCTCACGCCTATAATACCAGCGCTTTGGGGGGGCCTAGGCAGGTGGATCACCTGAGGTCGGGAGTTCAAGATCAGCCTGGTCAACATGGTGAAATCCTGTCTCTACTAAAACTACAAAAGTTAGCTGGGCATGGTGGTGCATGCCTGTGGTCCCAGCTACTCGGGATGCTGAGGCAGGAGAATTGTTTGAACCTGGGAGGTGGAGGAGGTTGCAGTAAGCTGAGATTGTGTCACTGCACTCCAGCCTGGGCAACAGAGCGAGACTCTGTCTCAAAAAAAAAAAAAAAAAGAATTGGACATGATTACATTTATTTAGGATTGAGGAATGACCCTAAGGAGTATGCAGGTGGAAGAATGCAAGAGAAAGAACAAAAAGAAGAGGGGCAGGATGATCTTGTAAATGACAGGATGAAAACTTTATTGGAGTGATTGTAAAAGGTGAGAAGGAGTAATTAAAACAGTTAAAGAAAGCTCATAATAAGACTACGGGCTTTAGAGAGAAGAGATAATAGAAGAAGAGGTGGAAGGATTTTCAGGACAGAGTAGTTATGTGGAAGCAGGGAGAAGGGCAGAGGAATGAGACAGGACAGCTGCTGCTAGGATGCCAGGAGACGACAGCTACATACTAGGTATGAATCAAGTTACTTAGCCGTTTTACTGCCTGATGAATAAAAAGTAAGATAACTTACGTATTTCATGATAGTAAAAATGACTTACATTATGTAAGCCTCAGATGTTTCCCAATCTGTGTTTTATAGACTACAACTCTGGGAGATGTTAACGAGGTTCAGGGGAAATAGAGTAAGTTCTATGATCAAATGAAGTTGGGAAGCGCTGCATTCTATATGATTCACCTATTAAAGCCCCTGAGAAATGCATACAAGGAACCAATTTGATGTTGTTTAACCCAGCTTTTCCCAAATATACTTGTCCATTCATTCATTTGTTCATTCATTCAACAAGCATGCAGTAAATGTGTGCTATGGTAGTATGTTTTGAGTACTCTGCTGGCCACTGGTCCTAGAGTAGAATAAAGTCACCCAGTGTTCCTACATTTATGAGATTATGGTCTAATATAAGCACATGTTATCATCCCACAGCTCCTAGTGTTCTGAGGAACATGATTTGGGAAGCCTTCAGTTAAGGTATTTAATATTGCTTTTTGTGCTCTGGAATGGAATGACATGGAGTGATTGTCTGCCTATATCTCTGCCTTTATGTCTCTATCTTACATCAGTACCTCTGCCTCTTCACAGAATGTTTCTTAGACCTGCTGCCTTGGGCAGGGATAGAGCTGATGACAAGGAAACTTTCAGGTCTGGGAAGTTGGTGACTCACCCAAGATCACCCAGCTAGTTAGTTGCAGAACCAGGGACAGAACCCAGCTCTTCTGGCTCTAGGTTCTGGTTCTGTGCTCATTTCTTTCTTGGTAAGAAGGGACAACTTGAAATGCTTGAAAATTAAAAAAAAAATTAAGCAGACTCAACAGACTCAGTGAGATACTATGGCCTTTGCCAATTTAATCAACAATAGCAGGATTGACTTAAGGATCAGCAGCACCACCACCACTACCACTATCATCATCATCACTAATGCTGAGTAATTACTATAATCCATGTGCCATACTAAGCACTTTATGTATATTTGCTTATTTAATTCTTACAACTCTGTGAAGTCATAATTATTACCCTATTTTATAAATCAGGAAGCAAGCTCAGAGAGGTAATTGTCGGTGTTTATACAACTAATAAGGAGCAGAGCAAAGCTTCCATTTTAGGCTGTTTTCAGAGTCCAGGCTGTGAACTGCGTTCTGTTATCTAGTGAAATGTTTTTTCTGCTTTAGTATTTTCCTCTCAGAATCAGTTGGTCTTTTCTCTCTTCCATTTTAGCTTGCCTTGCTTCTTCGTCTTTGTAAAAACCAGATCTTAGGATCTGATTTGTTTATTCTATGTCAGGTAGCATTCATCCAATATTTGCTTCTACTATTTCTTCTCTGTAAAACCCATAGTCTTATTATGAGCTTTCTGAAACCATTTTAATTACTCCTCCTCCCCTTTTGCAGTCACCCCAATAAAGTTTTGATCTTGTCATTTACAATATCATCCCACCCCTCTTCTTTTTATAATAAAGGCTGTTATTTCTCTTACATTCTTCCACTTGCATACTCCTTAGAGTCCTCCCTCAATCCTAAGTAAATACAATCATGTCCAATTCAATCTGAGTATTTAATGAATAATATGTGAAGGAACTGCTTTAGGAGCTGAGGACCCAGTGGTGAATGCACAGAACAGGTTCCTTTCCTGTGAAACTTACAACCAGTGGGGAGAGTGCACAAGAAAAACAACACATAATCAAGAAAAGTGTCACACAGAGATAAGTACCATGGAAAGAATTAAAACAGGATAACATAGTGAGAATAACTGGCTGTCTACTTTAGACTGGGTAGTCAAAGGAAGGTCTTTTTTTGTGGAAGTGAATTTAAACTAAAATTTGAGTTATAAGAAGAAAACTGCAAGAGAGAAATGGGTGGGGAGGAGGGAGAAAGAAAATGGAGCACTCTTCCAGGTAGAGAGAACATTATGTGCCAAGACCCCAGCCATGAGTTTGCAGTGTTTGAAGAATAGGAAGAAGGCTGGTGTGGTTGAATCATAGTGGGCCATTGGGGAGTGGTACTAGATGCGGTTAGAGAAGTAGGTCATATACTAGGTTAAGGAGTATGGGTTTTAGTTTAAGTGCATTGGGTAGGCGTTGGAGGATTTTAGCAGGGCTGATGACATAGACTGATTTATGTTTTTTAATGAATGTATTTACTGATGCATGGAAAAATGATTATAAGGAGATAAGAAGGAAGTACTGAGACCCATTAGGAGGATATTCCAGTAGTCCTGATGCGGGATAATGATGGCTCTATTAGTTATTGCCACAGTAATCCTGTGTAACAAACAGTCCCATAAATTCAGCAGCATACAACAATTAGGATTTATTTTTGCTCATGAGTATAGGATGTCTGGGTAATTCTGCTGATCTTGGCTGGGCTTGGTTGATCTTAACTGGGCTTGCCCATGTGTCTGTGGTCCACTGTGGGTTAGGTAGGCAGCTCTGCAATATTGCCTGGGTTCTCTGATATGTTTGAGGGGCCAGCTGGCTGTCAACTAGTATAGGGATGGTCTCAGCTGAGATGTTTGGATCAACTCTGCTCTCCTCCATATGTACATTACATCCCTCTAGTAGGCTAGTTTGGGCTTACCCTCAGGCTGGACAGTTGGATTCTCACGGTGATCGCAAAGAAGCAAGAGAGGAAGTAGAAACAAACGCACACGTTTTAAGGACTCAGCTTGTGTCAAGTTTGCTACTGTCCCATTGGTCAAAGTAAGTTACATAGGTATATCCATAGTCAGTGTGGGAGGGCATTGCCAAAGAACAGGAATTCAGACAGGTGTGAAAAGATACAAGGAGATATGAAAAATTGGGGCCATTATTCCAATCAATCTATTGCACTCATGGGAGAGTAGTGAAGAATGAGAATCTTGAATAGGTTCAGGAAATATTTAGGGGTACAGTCCAAAGAACATGCTGATGAATTAGATTTGAGTATGAGAGAAAAGAATGAATCAGAGCTAATGCCTAGATACTTGGCTGAGCAGCTGGGGAGATTATGAGGCCATTTACTTGGATACTGGATGAAGAGCAAAATTTAGGGGACTATCTAGAGCTCTGTGTTAAGTGGTGTTGTGTTTGAGATACCTGCTAGATATTTAAATAAAGATGTTAGGGTTGCAGTTGGATACAGCAATCTGAGGTTCTGGAGAATGTCAAAGCTAAAGATGTAGATTTTGGAGTTATCAGCCTATAGATGGCTCAGCTGGAATTCCAGGATGCATGCCTTGGCTGGGATCTACTGAAATCCATCAGCCAGTCACCCTGAAGTCTTCTAGTCTATGCGTAACTGATAAGACTCACATTGTGCTTTGAATGTGCTTTTCTATTTCACTAGTTTAAAATATTAGTGTCTACTTGTATAATTTGTGCTGTGAACTGAAAACTACAGTTTTCCCACTCTGCCATGTACAGCCTTCTGATTTGGCAGAAATAATACTGAAAGGACACCTGCCAGGGTCTTAGTAATTCTTAGTTATAGTAATCTGAGACATTTCAGCTCAGGGTTAGCAGAAAGATCATGAAGTCAAGAAGCAGGGCTTAAATCAGATGAAGTTGGAATCTCCAAAGGTAATTACTTCCTTTGTGAAGCCATAGGTCTTTGGGACTGTTTCCTGTTACCTTGGGCCATTCAGCCAAGTACACCATAAAATACTTGGCCTATCAGGAAGGCACATACTAGCATTTAAAAAATTTTACAAACGTGCTGTTTAAATTATATTACACAATATTACCATGAACATAAGATTTACATTTCTGTCACATACTGGAGAGTGTATCTTAAACTGAATTTCACTCAAGTTTTGCCAAAAGTGGTCTTGAGATAATATTTAACAGATACAGACCAAGGATCATATTCCTGATTTACCTATTTCTGTACTTTATTCCTATTTCTTGAATTAACCAGATAGCAACCTATTTAGCTCAGCCCAGGTAGGAATGCCTTTACTAAGGCTTTATTTACTAAGCCATTATGAAATGTTAATATAAGAAGTAGCCTGTTGAGGAGCACTTTTGTGATTTCTGCCCAAACTGCTGTTGAAGACATTTTGTAATATCTTTCATTATCTTTTATGATCCCATAAACTGGTTTCTCTTTGGAGTTTAGTGACAGGGAAAATTTTTCTTTTGATAAGCTGGTGTGTAATTTATCATAAACATTATTATTCTATGAAGCATTCAAAAAATTCTTTAATCTCTGATATTTTGAGAAGCTCCAAACTTGACACACGATTACACAAAATGTTTCAGATTTCTGGTTTTCAGTGTGTAGTAGAATTGAAGCATATATGAATTAGGGGAATTCAACTCTGTGGGCCAGCCAAAAAAAAAAAAAAAGAAAGAGGAGACAAAGAGAGAGAAACAACAATGTAAAGAGTGCAGATGAACCTATTCATCTTTCCACCTGATGAGTATACACCCCAGAAGGGGTGTGTACTGGAGGCGTGTGAACCTGGTGCTCTCTTTGTCTGCCTGAGTCTGCAGAGGATATCCATGAGCATCTCACAGTGCTCAATGTGATTTGTGGTTAAAGATACATACCTTGTTATACAAACTGACCCCTAGGCCCATGCCAGATACTTTAGTCCCAAACCAGAAAACCTAAAATTGATTATTCTGTGGGCTGGATTGTTTGCAAAAAGGCCTGCATCATTCCCCTCCCAGTGTCTGCTCACCTTGAGTAGTCACCTCCCGTACTGACGCTGGGCTTGTGACTTGCTTTTGCCAGTGAAACAAGAGCAAATAAATGTAAAGCATTCAGAGACATGCAATGTGCTGTGTACTGGGTGCGTGCTCTCTCTTACTGCACTTAGGACCCTGAGGACTGTAGGAGCAAGCCCAAGTTGTCCTGTTCAAGAAGCCACGTGTGCCCTGGCTGATAGCTTATAATTGCCAGAAGCGTGAATGAGGCCACCCTAGATATCCAGGCCAGGAAAGCCCAACTGACCTGCAGAATCATGAGAAACAATATGTTTTTATTATTTGTACACCACTAATTATGGAGTGGGTTTTGTTTTTGTTCTAATCAAAAGCTAACTGATAGAACTTCCAGTGCTTCTGGACATTTCTGCTGATACTGTGTTGGACATATCCAGAGAGAGTGTATCAGTCTGCAGTGTGACCTGTGTCTCCTGTGGAAGACTCAAGGCTAATTGACTGTGTTCAGTTTTTACCCTATGTGCTGACTGAGAACCAACCCCTGCATAAGTCTGAGTTCCACTCTGTTTTCCACTTTCTGCCTTTTGGTTTCTGACTCCTCCTTTTAGTTTTAATTCTTGTCTGTATATTTACATGTTGTACATGTATTGTTTCTTAAATTACTTTTATTGAGAATAAATTCAATTAACATAAAATTTGCCATTTAAATCGTTTTACAGAGTAGTCTAGTGATTTTTACTATATTTATGATGCTATGCGTCATCGCCACTATCTAATTCCAGAAGATTACCATTATCTCAGAAAGAAACCCCACACCTCCATATCAGTAACCCACTTTCAGCCTGTGTGGATTTACCTACTCTAGACATTTAATGTAAAAGTAATCAGTACAACTTGTTGCCGTTTCTATCTGGCTTCTTTTATCCAACATAATGTTTTCAAGGTTCATTCAAGTTGTACCATGTATCAGTATTTCATTCCTTTTTAGGGTAGAATAATATCATATTTCATTGTATGAATATATAAATTTTGTTTATTCATTCATCAGTTGGCAGACATTGGGTTGTTTTCACTTTTTGGCTGTTGTGAGTAGTACTGCCATGAGCATTCACATACAAGTTTTTGTGTGAATGTGTTTTTAATTCTGTTGGGTATATACCTAGGAGTGGAAATGCTGAGTCATACGAAAATTCTATGTTTAACTTTTGAGGAACTGCCAAACTATTTTTCACAGTGCCTGTACCATTTTACATTTCCAGCAGCAATGTGTGAGGGTTCTGATTTCTCCACATTCTTGCTAATACTTGTTCAGTTTCTATTTTTTGGATTATATTCCTCCTAGTGTGTATGAAGTGGTATCTCGTCGTTTCAATTTGCATTTCCATAGTGACTAATGGTGTTGAAATTTTTTTATATGTTTGCTGACCATTCATATATGTTTTTGGAGAAATGTCTATTCAAATCCTTCACCCATTTTAACACTGGGTTGTCTTTTTCTTGTTTAACGGTAAGTGTTCTTTATATATTCTGGATACTAGACCATTATCAGATATATCATTTGCAAATATGTTTTTCATTCTGTGGGAACTTCTTGTAACCTTCTTCAATAATGTCACGCAAAAATTTTTAAGTTGATGAAGTCCTACTTACCTATTTTTCTTTTCTTGCTTATGCTTTTGATGTCATATTTAAGAAACCATTGCTTAATCTAAGGTCATGAAAATTTGTACCTATGTTTTCTTCTAAGAGTTCTACAATTTTAGTTCTTTAATTAAATCTTTGATCCATTTTGAGTTAATTTTTGTATATGGTGTGAGGTAGAGGTCCAAATTTATTTGTATCCAGTTATCCCTATACCATTGTTGAAAATATTTTTCTTTCCGCATTGGATGGTCTTGACATCTTGGTCAAAAATAATTGACCACAGTTGTGTGATTTTATTTCTGGACCCTTAATTCTGTATTGTTGATCTATATATCTATCCTTATGGAGTACTACACAGTTTTGATTGCTATGCCATTAGAGTAAATTTTAAAATTGGGAGTGTGAGTCCTCCAATTTTGTTCTTTTTTTTTTTTCAAGATAGTTTTGTCTATTAATTTTACTATATGGGTTTTAGAATCACCTTGTCCAGTTCTGCAGAAAAGGTTGTTGGGATTTTAATAGAGAATTCATTGAATCTGTAGATCCATTTGGGAAGCATTGCCATTTTAACAATATCATGTCTTTCATCCACGAATGTGGGATGTCTTTCCATTTATTTAAGTCTTTTTAAATTTATTTCTACAATGTTTTGTAGTTTGCCGTGCAAAAATCTCATTCTTCCTTGGTTAAATTTTGTTCCTGCATTTTTTTTTATTGAAACATGTCTCAATTTCTCTCTGTAGGTAGACAAGATAAAAATGATAAATCCGTAAAAATAATTTTTCTTGTTTTGAGATGGAGTATCACTCTTGTTACGCAGGCTGGAGTGCAGTGGCGTGATCTCGGCTCACTGCACTCTCTACCTCCCATGTTCAAGTGATTCTTGTGCCACAGCCTCCCGAGTAGCTGGGATTACAGGTGTGTGCCACCATGCCAGGATAATTTTGTATTTTTAATAGAGATGGGTTTCACCATGCTGGTCAGGCCGGTCTCAAACTCCTGATCTCAAGTGATCTACCCTCCTCTGCCTCCCAAAGTGCTGGGATTACAGGCATGAGCCACGGTGCTTGGCCCAAAGTAAATGTTTTTAATGTAGCTCTTCAGCTATTTTAATGTAGCCAGACTTTTTTCCTAGAAGTCGGGGAATGAGGATACTAGATTTCTAGTCTCAAAGGTGTTATTATTATGTTTATAATTTTGGCTATATTATCTTAGCTTTTATTTATTCATTTATAAAATTGTACCTGTCAAAGTGCCATCTACTCTGTCCATTTTAATGTTTTAGCGATTAATAGTAATAGTAATGCTATGAAGATTAAGTTAAAACAGTAATACTGATAGCAAGCACTTAAATGGCATCTATGTGCCAGGTAACTATTCTAAGTGTTTTCTGTGTATAAACTTACTTAATGAAATTAAATACTGGGTGGGGTGAAGCTTTAAAGGACTGTGTGATTTTTTTGTGTATGTGTGTTTGTGTGTGTATGTGTATGTGTGTATACACGTGTACGTGAAGTCTTTTTGGATGACATTTGGAAAACTCATAATTTTAATCTAGAGTTCTCAAACAATAGTTATAGTCAATGTTTAATTTTTTTTTTTTTTTCCTGGAGAAGGACTCTCGTTGTGTTGCCAGGCTGCAGTGCCGTGGCGCGATCTCGGCTCACTGCAACCTCCGACTCCCTGGTTAAAGCGATTCTCCTGCCTCAGCCTCCTGAGTAGCTGGGATTACAGACACGCACCACCACACCCAGCAAATTTTTGTATTTTTAGTAGAGATGGGGTTTCACCATGTTGGCCAGGATGGTCTGAATATCCTCACCTCGTGATACTCCCGCCTCGGCCTCCGGAAGTGCTGGGGTTACAGGCGTGAGCCACTGTGCTCGGCCTAATTTTTAAAGATTAAGATATTAATAACTGTATTAATGAACAAAGGGAGGGAGGTGATATCTCTCAACTCTGCCTGTTTGGGCTTTAATTATTTCACCTCTCAATTGAGAAGTTTGAATCCAATGATCTCTAATCTTAGAGTGCCTAGCTCTCATAGTCAGCTGTCTAATGGCTTAGATATGATATCTCTCTGTCCTGTGTGTGGTATTTGAGAAGAAGGATGTTGCAGGGGAAGGCTCTTTGAGGAATTAGATCAAAACTCCACAGAAGTGTGAGCTTGGGGAAGGCAGAGCTTGTGTTTTCCATGTGGAATGTTATATCCCTGTCACAGTACCTGATATACAGTAGAGTTTAAATAAAATGTTTTGTTGAAAAATGAGTGAAGAAATAAACATAAGACTGGAAAGAAGTCATTTTGGGTTTGATATGATTTGGCTGTGTTGCCACCCAAATTTCATCTTGAATTCCCACGTGTTGTGGGAGGGACCCAGTGGGAAGTAATTGAATCATGGGGCAGGTCTTTCCGATGCTGTTCTTGTGATAGTGAATAAGTCTACAAGATCTGATGATTATAAAAGGGGAGTTTCCCTGCACAAGTGCTCCTCTCTTTGCCTGCCGCCATCCACGTTAAGATGTGACTTGCTCCTCCTTGCCTTCCACCATGATTGTGAGGCTTCCCCAGCCACGTGGAACTGTAAGTCCAATTAAACCTCTTTCCTTTGTAAATTGCCCAGTCTCGAGTATGTCTTTATCAGCAGTGTGAAAATGGAGTAATACAGGGTTTTAGTTTCTTTTAAATAGTAGAAACGTGTATATGTGGATTGAGTGTGGGGAGAGGAAGGAGTATTAAAATGGATATATTTAAATTAATATAAGCTGTTTCTTACTTTTTGTATTTCTTCATACTCATCTTGTATTTCACAACACTGAGCCCTTGGCCTGGGATGTGCCTTTGCCTTGCCATCTACCAACTTACTCAGCTTTTTAGCCCAGCCCAGGCATCACCTTTGCTGGTTATCTCTCTACCTCTTTTTTTTTTTTTTTAATTATACTTTAAGTTCTAGGGTACATGTGCACAACATGCAGGTTTGTTACATAGGTATACATGTGTCATGTTGGTTTGCTGCACCCATCAACTTGTCATTTACATTAGTTGTTTCTCCTAATTCTATTCCCCCACCAGATCCCCAACCCCCAACAGGCCCCAGTGTGCGTTGTTCCCCGCCCTGTGTCCAACTGTTCTCATTGTTCAATTCCCACCTAAGAGTGATCTCTCCACCTCTTATCTCCAGGCAGAGTTGAAGCTTGTAACCATCTGTGGTCTAGCACTGATCACATGGTAATGAAATTGTTAGCTTCTGTTGTGTCTGTCCCTTTTACTAGGGTATGAGTATCTTAATGGCCATGTTTTATGTTTTATTTTGATAACATATCTGGCATTTAGCAGGTGTTCAGTTAGCAGTTGTTGAGTGTGTAAATGTGAACCAATACAGAATAAAGATGAGGCAATGACCAACTGACCAATTGCTTTCCTGAGTGTTTGCTGCGTGTAAGGAATTTTATGTGCATTTCTCTTACTTCTCAGGACAATCCTTTAGAGTTGGTATCATCATCATCCTCATTTTACAGATAAGAAAGCAGTCTCTAAGGAATTAAGTAACTTGTGTAAAGTTATGCAGCAAATAAATGGCAAAGCTAAGATTTACAGCCAGGTTAAGCAGACTTACCTGTTTAAGTTACTTCCACTAAAATCAGGGTTCTTGGCCAGAATTTCCAGTAAAAATAATGAGTGAAATAAGATACTGGACATCAGGTGACATCAGGAAAAAAAAGATCTTCGGGATGATGTTTAAAGAACCATTGCTTATGTCTTCTCCAGCAGTCTCAGGAAATAGATTAAAAATTGGGTCTTTTAATATATCAAAAGGTACAGGCCTGCCCTCTCAGTGGTTGAATTTTCTGTTTAACACAGTAGTAAAATGAGGAACAAGTGGGTTTCTAGATCAAGCTACATAGAATAATTACATTTGGGGGCTAAAGACAACATTAGAGCTCATCAGCCTCAGCCCCATTAATCTTACAGATATCACAAGACCCACAGAGTTTGTAAGTTTGGTCCTCAGTTGCTTTGTCAGTTAAGGGCAGAGAGTGTTCCTTTACATCATGAGGCTCACTTTATATATTAATAGAAAATTTAGAATAATGGTAGATAAAAACTTGTCATATTAAAGAGACAAGAGCATGAGAGCTTGGTTGAAATACCATCACTTCACACATTGGAGATAGTATCTCTGAGCTTCTGGTCCCCCTCAGAAAAAAAGAACTTCCTGCATAGGACAGAATTCATCATCAGGGGCATCTCTGAGAAAAAAGGATCCTGTAAGTTGTTTGTTAACTTATGATTCCAAGACTTTGCTAATTTAAGATGCAAATGAATATACAATGGTCCCTCCTTATCTGTGTGGCTTTTGAAATAAGAGTTTTCTTTCAGATTTGCCCACTGATAGTAGGAGGAACTACACATGGTGAAAGATCTGAAGTAGACGCTTCTGTTACCTTTGAGATTTGGCTTCTGAAGTAAATACCAGCAAGCTAGATAAAGTGAAATCATTGTCATCCGATAAATACTTACCGAATACCCAATATATTTCAGGCAGTGTTCTGGGTGCTAGATCAGGCCAAATATTATATTTTATTTTGTGTGGCTTGTGTAAGACAGAATACTCAGAGGGAAAAGAAGACTTGGAAATATGCTTTTGAGAAATTGATATGTAATGGAATTGAGATTTATGTATACGTGTAACATGTACACAAACATTAATTTATTTTGTTGTGGGTCCATATTGCTTATATAAGTAAATTTGATTTTCAGAATTTCACACAGCACTGGAAGAAATTGGACATTGACTTATTTTACCAATGTAGCCAGACACTGCACATTACCACTTTTAAAGTCCTTAATAGATTGTAATGTCATGCGTTGTTTTTAAGGTACTCTTTTCACATTCTTCTCTAGAACAAAGATCATTTCTTGTTCATCTTTGTTAACCACCTTAGTGCCTCATGCATGGTTCCTAATACATCATGACTGTGCAATAAATGTCAGAATAAATAATCATGAATGTCTCAAATTATTTCTGTGGACAAATTAGCTCATGAACTGAAAATGGTAAAAAGATGGTTGAGTGAAGAAGAGGAAACATTTGAGGGAAGGAAGAAAATTGACGAGGATAAGAGATGAATGAAACAAGAATGAGGTGGTCAAGAATGCTATCATATATTATATGTCCTGGTAAACTTCTGCTGTGTTAGAAACCATCCAAGACTTAAAGGGATACAACCATTTTATCACCCTCATGAATTCTGGAGGTTAAGAATTAGTGCACAGTGGGGATGTCAAGGCTCTTATCTTGGAAAACTTTAATGGCTGGGGGTGACTTGAACCACAAAGGGCTGGAATCATTTGAAGGTCTCTCACTCATGTGTCTGGCTTCTAGGCTGAGATGATTTGAAGGCTGGGCTCAGCAGTAATTCTGCAATAGAACTGTATGTGATTTCTCTCCTTGCAGTGAGCTTTTCTCAGTATGGTGGCTGGGTTCCAAGAGGGAGAATATTCAAAGAGCTAGACGTCCAAAAAAATCAAGCAGGGCTACTTGGGCTTTTATGTCCTAGTCTCAAGACATTTCTACTATACTGTATTAGTCAAAGGAGTCATAAGCCTACTCCAATTCAAGGGGAGGTGACATAGACCCATGAGAAGAGTGTCAGTGAATTTACAGGTATTTAAAAAAAAAAACAGAAACAGCAGCACTACATATTATAAGTGGACCAGATAATGACAATGATGAATAGAGCAAAGAACAGGAAAGTTCATTATCAATTTACTTCCTCAGAGATGGGACATATGACAATGTCATTAGACACTTTCCAAACAGTAGTTAGATTATGACATACATCCATGATACTTTTTGAGTATAGTTGATAATTTTTATTTGTTACAAATCATCTATGAGAATGTTTTCTATCAAATTAGTGTTTTTAACAGTTTTTTTTTTCCTGTTAGGGATCAGGTATGTAATGGCTGGCATTTCAGTTTTTGAAATTCTTCATTAACTGAGCTCCATAAGCTTTAGAAATAAGGGCAGATACTTGTCTGGTCAAATGTGCCTTTATGATCTAGTGTGTTCTGCAGTTCCAGTTATGATGCCGACCTTTGGTAATCTTTCTAATGATTCTTTTATAAAAAGTCTGCCATTTGAATATACTCACTTTGCCTGACTGCCCACTGTGCTTTGGGACTTTGTTGGTCTGTAGAGAATCTTTTTATCATGATGTAGACTTGAAAAAGAACTTCAGCTTTCATGAACTTGAACAGGGAAATGGAAAGGACATAGAGGGAAGAGAGGAGTTATAATGAGTTCAACTGTTGCATTAGACTGTGGTTTTATTTTTGGGAGCTAGAAATCACATATTCCTTTATGTCTGAGAAGAGGTAGCGCAGATTACATTAGCACAAGGCTCTGCTGGCTCACAGGAATCACCGGGACCATTGGAAGGTATTTGTGATGAGGTAGGTAGGGCAGTAATAATGGTCCTTGGGGAAGGTGAGCCCATCCACCTTTTTCTTGTGTTGTTTGTCTGTTTTGGTGCTTTTTTCCCCCTCCCTCCTTTCTCTTCCTGCTTTTACCCTTTTCTCTTTTTTCTTATCAACTCTGAAGTGTTTGATGACTGGGACATGGAAAACTATGTTATTCCTGTAAATATGTTTTAAACACTTTTTATTGTGGAAAATTTCAAACATAAGTAAAAATAGGATGATATAAGGAACCCCTAGTATTTATCACTAAACTTCAATAGTTATCAACTCATGAACAATTTTATTTTGTCTATACTCTTCCATACCCTTCAGATTAGGAAGCAAATCACAGACATTATTTTATCTGTGAATTTTTCAGTATATATCTTTAAAAGATAAGAACTCTGAAAAATATAATCACCATACCATCACACACACACACACACACACACACTCACAGAGCAAATCATAAACAACTGAACACTATCTTAATATCATCAAATCCTCATATCATCAAACAAATATTACCGATGAACCTTAATATCAACAATATTGAGTTAGTATTCAAGTTGCCATAATTGTCTCATACATTTCAGTTGAGAGGTCTCTTAAGACTAAATATATGTCAGACCCTCCTGAATCTCTCTCTTTTATTTTTGTTCTTAAATTTTTTTTTGTTAAGGAAAGTTTCTCATTTGTAAAAAAAAATTGAATGTACTAATGACTTGGACTCTTCATTCCTATTTTAAAAACATTGAGAAAAGAATATATAGACACGGATGAATGTTTCATATTAAAAATAACAGAATACTGTGGCCAAGGAACAAACATTGGCATTTGATTATCTTATATATAATTTCCAAACATTCTTTACTCTGATGCTTTCTCCTAGTAAAAGGCCCTGAAAATCACTGTACCCACTGAGAAATTTGTTTTATCTTATTTTCACTTGTATTGTTTCCCTCTGCAGTAGCAAGAAATAGACAAATATTCGTTTTATACAAGAAATTCCCTTATCAGAGGAGAATTGGTGTCAGAATTTGCCACTTAAAGTGAATCCAGTTACATTTCACAGTAAACAGTAAAAGAGAAAAAACCTGGAATGATTCAGACTTTATCCTGAAAACTAAAGTGAAAATATGTTTACCTCATATTTAGAACCATTTAGATTATAACTAATTCATAGGAAAAAGAGTGAATCTAGTATTTTCTTGATATCATTTTCTGACAAAATTTTAATCAAAATTTTGACTTCTTTTACGTGTGAGTTTGTCAGCACAATTTGAAAGAGAGCTTTTTTTTTCAAAAGCATTAGAAAGTTTTACCAGTTTTTGCAAGGGTTTTCCTGTTCCATAGAATAAATGTTAACCGACTATAACAAAGATACCATGATATATAATTTCTAAAATAAGATAGAAATATACTTGTCTCTCACAAAGTAAGTGAACTAGTCTAGCCTCTGCTCCATTAAGTCATTCCAGGATCAGGCTCCATCTTGTTTCTTCCCCACCTTCAGAGTAATGCTGGGATGCATAAGGGAAGTTGAGTCTGCCAGTCGGAGGCTGGAAAATGCCCTAAATCCAGGGAAGTAGCTTGTCTTTAAGTTGAAAATGGCCTGGAAGGAGTACATATAACTTCTACCACACATCTTTTTGGTCTTAACTTAGTCAGATGGCCACACTTTACTGCAAAGAAGGCTGGGAAATATAAATATATAAATACATATAAATATATAAATTTATATACATATATATAAATTTACATAAATTTATATATGTAATGCATATATCTGCATATGGACAATAAGAAACAACTATTCCTAGGGCAGCACTCTCAGTCTGTTTCTAGGTTCACATGTCCCCTAATCCAGTGCTATAATCACCTACCCTATGGTAGTGGACTGGGGTAGGGGATATAGTATCAGGAGAGATGAGAAATCAGCCGGCCTTTCAACTTTTGCCTTTTGTCCTAAGAGGACTTCTCTTATCCTCTCTTTAGATGCTATTGATAGTGAAAGATAAGGGTTTTATGCAGATCTCTTGGTGCTGTTCAAGGTGTCTACCTTCAACAGGTTAGCAGATGAATACTCAAAACGTTATAGCCTGCTGCATATCAACTGGCTGAAAGGAGAAATATATAAGACTTTAAGAAAATACAGGTTATCACATGGTGCTTTTGTTTAATAGCTCAGGAAGACAGAGGTGTACAGTGTTACTTCCTTCTGAGCACGAAAACATTGCCTAATCCTGGAATAGCTCCAATTCATGACGTTAAATGGGGAGCCTAGAATGTACTCTATTTTGATTGAACTCATCCTAGTATTTTTTTCCTTTGTTGTATTTCTGCTATTTAATCCCCTTTTACAAAAGAAATTTGGGGCTTTAAGCTGAGAGTATATATTGCAGAAGAATATGTGGTAAGATTTATTCTTATATAATAGCTACGCATTTTGGTACTTTTGAATTGAAATATAACCTGATACTGTTGACAGGCACCACAGCATTTGATTTCTCAGATTAAGGTCGGTTTGATGTTTATTTGCACAAATTTCCTAAAATTGCAAACAAATAGTAACTTTGTCACAAACTTGTGATGAGATTGCAAATGGTAACTTTGTCATAAACCTGTGATGAGATGTGAAATAAGGTCACCTGTTCTGATGTAGAAGTTTGTGAACTGAGGGCTTTAACTAAGTTTTAATAATATGAGGACATCACCAAGTATTAAATTGAATTATATAATATTGCTAATTCTGTAGGTAAAATACTGCTGGATATTGGCAAAATGTGGCACATAGTAAATGACTTAACCTAATAAGATGAGAATTTCAACAACCTCTAATCACTCTTTGCTTGCTCTTATAAATAGTCCATCCTTTCCCCACTCTGTTATCAGGGCCCTTTTTTTCTTATTTACTATAGTCCATTCCATAATATCATTTGGTAACTCACAGTCACTTTTGTTTTCTTTTGTCTCTGATTTTCTTTCCCATTTAGCACCTCTGTTCTCTTGACTTAAAATAGTATGAAAAGTCATATTGACTAGGATAGGCTGTTCTAGTCACCAGCTATTTTTTTAAAAATTATTATTTTCTCTCTCTCTCTTTTTTTTTTTTTGAGACAGAGTCTTACTCCAACACCCAGGCTGAAGTGCAGTCGCACGATCTTGGCTCACTGCAACCTCTGCCTCCCG
Organism: Homo sapiens; assembly: GCF_000001405.40. NCBI lineage: Eukaryota > Metazoa > Chordata > Mammalia > Primates > Hominidae > Homo > Homo sapiens. The sequence continues at coordinate 48,237,243 of NC_000004.12, read as the reverse complement.
GGTTCAAGCTATTTGCATGCCTTAGCCTCCCAAGTAGCTGGGACTATAGGTGCATGCCAACACGACTGTATTTTCAGTAGAGATAGGGTTTTGCCATGTTGGCCAGGCTGGTCTCGAACTCCTGGCCTAAAGTGATCTGCCCACCTCAGCCTCCCAAGTGGTGGGATTACAGGCGTAAGTCACCGCACCTGGCCTATTTTCTTATTTTAATTTTATTTTTTAATTGACAAATAATAATTGTACATATTTGTGGGGCATATAGTGATGTTTTGATATGTACAATGCATAGTGATCAGATCAGGGCCATTGGCATATCCATAAAAAATTATTTGTTTTTAGGCAGAATTTTTCATGATGAAAAAGGTTTTAAGAACTGTTGGCTAAAATTGCTGGACTGTGAAACTGAGTATTAGTCAGATATTCAGATTTGCAACGCTGGATAGACAGTATAACTTTGGTGGTTTGTGTTTCTCACCGGTGATACAGTGACAGTTTCTGTTGTCTACCTCAGAATATTAGTGTTCAAAGACAATGTGTTAAAATGTTCAGAATTTTAGCAGTTAGCCGCCAAGGCAAAGGGAATAGTACTCTTGTGTTCAACTCCAATGAGATAGAAAAGGGGTTTATGTTGCAGTCGAGTTTTATTTAAAAAAGATGTTTGTGGCCCGGCGCGGTGGCTCACGCCTGTAATCCCAGCACTTTGGGAGGCCGCGACGGGTGGATCACGAGGTCAGGAGATCGAGACCATCCTGGCTAACACGGTGAAACCCTGTCTCTACTAAAAATACAAAAAAATTAACCGGGCGTAGTGGCGGGCGCCTGTAGTCCCAGCTACTCGGGAGGCTGAGGCAGGAGAATGGCGTGAACCCGGGAGGTGGAGCTTGCCATGAGCCGAGATTGCGCCACTGCACTCCAGTCTGGGCGACAGAGCGAGACTCCGTCTCAAAAAAAAACAAAAAAAAAAGCTGTTTGTAATCCTTAGTAACGGCTAGGAGAGAAAGCTGGAATCCTGAAGTTTTGTTTCATCTTCATTTTAAAATTTAGAACATCAAACCTATTATTTTCTTTCTCAGAGGGGACATCTCCCTTCAATTTTCGTATTAAGAGTTTGTTGTGGCTCTTAATGATGCCCTGAAAGTCATAGGCTATCTCTGTTGAAATCTGGAGATTGAATCCAATTGCACTTAGCAGTCTCCTAAACTAGGAGACTGGAAGTGACACCTCATTAAACTTTTTCCTTCCATTCCACCTTCCTTTCCACTAGAGAAGTTGTATAGTGTAGTGAAGAGTGTAGGCCCTGCAATTGTATTGCCTAAATTAAAACCTGGCTCTTATTCTTACCTTGTGATGTGTAAAGTGTAGACAGTACTAGTACATACTTCAGAAGGTTGTTGAGAGAATGAAGTGATTCAATACATTGAAAGTGCTTAGTGATTGGGACAGTGCCAAGTAGTAAAAGCTTAATAATGATAATGATAATGATTTTTTATTATTTTTCTGTGTGAATAGTAATTCCATAGGGATACTCCTGGATTCCCCTATGGTCTGCTTATTCCTCCGGATTTCACTGATCTTATCAAAAGGTTATTAGATTGACCTCTCAGGACAATGATGTTTACTTTTAGGAAAATCTACCCTCAGCCTCCTCCCCCATTTTGGTCCAGATTTCACAGCATTTAGCAGGTATTTCATAGTTTGTAGTTTGGGATTGAAGGCTGTCTTTTTATTTCTTTGAAGATGGGATTCTCTTCCTCTGGTTTTTATGTTTTATTATTTAGGGTAGAAGAGTAGAACATATACCTTTCCACTGCTATTCTCCAATGATATTCTGATTTTCAGAGGGAATCATTTTCATTTTTTCAAACTTTTTCATCTCATTGTATCTTATTAAACAAAAATTATGGGAGGCCATTGTTTTGGACTGAGCTCCTGTACTAGGCCCCAACAAACCAGACCAAACAGAAATGGAGTCACCCATGCTAAATGCTGCATAATCAAACTGAAGCTTTAAGGGAGCAGGTAGATCCCCAAATAGACCATTTTCCCCCCTGAAAACAGAAGATTACAGTCTACGTGAATCAGTTTAATAAGGAAGTCCCCTCTGTTTTAATCTTTACCAAAAAAAGTAACCTGAAGTAACTTGATGTTACTAATCAGCTTTTTTTTTTTCCTATTATTCTGTTTCCTTGTTCCCACCTTATAAAATCCATGGTTCTGCCCTGGCCCAGTGGGAGCTCTCATTCTATTTTACAGAGTAGAGGCTACCCTGACTCATGAATTGTGAGTAAAAGTCACTTTTACTAAATTTGTTGTCATTTTGTCTCTTGACAGTCTCTAAACATGCTTTACATTGCTACTTCTTGCTTTTTCAATTGTAGATATTATTTATTGGTTTCCTCCTTCTTCTCCTCTGCTACCTTTTCCTCCTTCTCCTCCTACTACCATGGAGGAAATAGCTCTCTTTCATAAAGTACTCCCCCACCCACACGGGAGCATACTTCCTGCTCTCACACCCAATGTATTTATATTGGTAGTAAGATTATCACTATTGTTTACCTGATTATGACGGTGTAGTTGTTATTTGTAGCAGAACTCTGTAGCATACCTGTGATTATTTTTCCTTTTCTAAACAATTTTTTGTTTTCCTTTGGAATTATTTTGTTTTTTAAAATTGGCTAAATTTTACTAACTTATTATAAATCTTCTCCCCATACATTCAGTTTTGTTTCCTAGAAGAATTCTTTGGAAGAACCTCCTTACTTGATCCAATCCGGACTGGTTGTACTCTTGGCCAGCTGCTCAGTGTCATTCATTTTGGGATTTCCCTTCATCATCTATTGGGGGAGGGGGTCCCTTTACCTCTTTCTTATGTTGGAATGTTTGTTTCCTAAATTCTTGTGGTTTTTGCTTTTTTGGTTTCCTGCTTTGTTTTGGTATTTTGGCTACATCCCCAAGTAGCTTTTTGAGAAAGGTGGATAAGAGAAAATTGTTAAAGCCTTGCGCATATTTGAAAAACGTCTTTATTCTCCTGTCACTTCATTGGCACTTTGGCTGAGTATAGAATTTTTGATTAGAAATCACTTTCTTTCTGAGTTTTTCTTCATTGTCTTCTACTCTCTGGCATTACCCTTGATGATTACCATTCTGAATTTTGATGCTTTCAATGAAACTTACATTTAAGCTTGCTTAATATTTGGCTTATCCCCATAGTTGTGAAATTTTACAAGAGTTGCCTTAATTTGGTAGTATTTCAATCTGAAAATAACCTTCAGTTTGAAGAAATTTTCCTAAAAATTTTCTTTGATTGTTTTCTCATTCTGTTTTCTTTGCTTTCTCTTTCTGGAACTTCTGGTTTTTAGATGCTGAACTTTCTGAGTGAGTTCTGTAATTCCATTATGTTTTCTGCGTCTTAATTTTTTTTTTTTTTGGGAGAGTTTCTCAATTTTATGTTCTAACTTTTCCATTGAGTTTTTAAGTTCTGTCATTTTATTTTTGATTTCTAGTAGCTCCTGTTTTTTTGGCTCTATTTCTTATTTTGGCTGTGTCTTGACCTTGTTTCATGCATGTATTTCCCTTAATTCTTTGATTTTGTTGAGTTTTTTTTAACATTTTCTTTTTTTCTGTACAACTTTTGTTTCTTCCAACTTGCCCTTTTTTTGCATTTGTTCTTTGACCTTAGATTCATATTATAATTTTTCCTCAATTGTCTGGGGTGATCCTTGGCTTTCTCTCATTTATCAGAGTGGGACTTTAAAAAGTCAGTTGAGCTGGGCGTGGTCATGTGCACCTGTAGTTTCAGCTACTTGGGGAGGCTGAGGCAGGAAGTTCACTTATGCCCAGGAATTTGAGTCCGGCCTGGGCAACATAGCCAGACCTTGTCTTTAAAAAAAAAAAAAAAAAAAAGTGTCAATTGGAAGCTTCATGCATGGTAGTGGGCCTTGCTGACTGTGGGCTTAACTATAGGGTAGTCTGGCTGTGCCATTTTTTTGGGGACACTTCTATGTCTGTGTCTTCAAGACTTTTCCCTTAGTCCAGTCCTGATGTCCTGGAGCCAGATGGGAGAAGAGAGCTGACTAGCCTCATCATTGATATGGACACTTGTACAGTTTCACTTAAGCTCCTCCTTTTCAGTGTGGTATTCCCAGCTGCAGCTGCACTTAGTCTCTCCCAGGATAGAGACCCTGTGTTTTATAGTCTTCCGAAATAAACCTCTAGTTTTCTTCCAGGGTTGAGGAGGGTTAGTCACCTAGATCTATGGCATGGAAGTGGAGAGGATCGGGGACTCTCTTTATTAAACTGATTTGCCAACAATTCTTCTGCTTTAATTCCTTCTCCATCACAACTTCTAGAGATACCATATTCTTCTGATTCTTGAGCTATTTGGATGTTTTGCAGAAGAAATTGGGTTGTTTCCAGCCTTCCCCTTGGTGGGACCTGGCACATATTTATTTGTTTTCCAGTTTCCAAAATTCTATTGTTGTTTCCTTTTTTGTTTTCTATTTCCTTGAGAGTCAGTTCCTTAACAACAACAATGTAACTGTTTTTAATGGAATTTCAGGAAGGAGCCAATGTGAAGTGTGCATTCAACACTCTATCTTTGGCTGGAAGTCTACATGAGGAGACTTTTCCTTCATTTGTATCTCTCTGAACTTTAGTAGATTTCTTGGCCAGGACTTCCCATTGGCCAATGAATTATAACAACAGTGGTGAACTTTAGTTGTATGGGATAGAAGGATAGGGAAAGCCCGTAAGTAGGAACTAGGAGACTTTTTTCTAGTCTTGGCTTGTGTGACCTTGAGTAAGCCATTTAACTTTTCTGAACTTCAGTTTCTTGAGGGAGATAGATGGTGACTAAGATTCCTTTCAACTTAAATGGTGTGATTCTGTATAAGAGTAGTAATCACACATATGTCAGATAAGGTGTTTTTTTTTTGTTTTGTTTTTTTTGTTTTTTTGAGACAGAGTCTTGCCCTGTCACTCAGACTGTAGCACAATGGCGTGATCTTTGCTCACTGCAGCTTCTGCCTCCCCGGTTCAAACGATTCTCCTGCCTCAGCCTCCCAAGTAGCTGGGACTACAGGCACCCGCCACCTCACCCAGCTAGTTTTTGTATTTTTAATAGAGATGGAGTTTCACCATTTCCACCAGGCTGGTCTTGAACCCCTGACCTCAAGTGATCCTCCTGCCTTGGTCTCCCAAAGTGCTAGGATTACAGGCATGAGCCACCGCACATGGACAGATAAGGTGATTTTTTTTCCCCAGGACATTCAACATGAATGTTTTTTCTGCCCCTGATGTTGAGACCTTTTGCTTCTAGAACTGCATATAAGTCCTGCCCCATTTATCCTTTGGGCCTTCCAAAAGTCTGCCTTCCATTTGTTTACAATGGTATTGCTCACTGTGTTGGGAACTACATGTCTACACATGGCCCGTTTATGAGAGCATCGCTTGCTCTTCCCTGGTATCCATTCTTTGTTGTTTTTTTTTCAGACGGAGTCTTGCTCTGTCGCCCAGGCTGGAGTGCAGTGGTGCGATCTTGGCTCACTGCAAGCTCTGCCTCCTGGGTTCATGCCATTCTCCTGCCTCAGCTTCCCGAGTAGCTGGGACTACAGGCCCCCGCCACCACGCCTGGCTAATTTTTTGTATTTTTTAGTAGAGACGGGGTTTCACCGTGTTAGCCAGGATGATCTTGATCTCCTGACCTCGTGATCCGCCTGCGTCGGCCTCCCAAAGTGCTGGGATTACAGGCGTGAGCCACCGTGCCCGGCCTCTGTTCTTATAAGTAGTCATTTTCACCCTTGAAAATGTGTTGCACAAAGATGAAAATATAATTTCCAGAGAAATGGTATTTGCATTCTGACAGTTTCTTAGGAAAGAAGGATGGAGTGCCAAAATTTTAATATGGAATAAGGAAGACCAACTTAGATGCAAAAAGGGCAAGAGCTTTCCTGTGACTCCTTAGCTTAAGTTGGCTGTTGGGTTAATTAGTTCTGTGGTTTAGCTGCTACTGAGAGGCTACTGTAGACACTGGGACTGGGATAAAGAGGTACAAGAGTTCAGTGTCTTCCTTTAAGATAGTGGCTCTCAATTCTATCAGTACATGAAATCATGATGCTCAGGGCTCCTCCCCAGACCAACTGAATAAAAAAACCTGGAAGTGGAGCCTAGACATCTGTATTAAAATGAAATTCCCTAGATTCTAATACACACTTAAGGTTGAGAACCATTCCTTAACAGCTAAGTGAGAATTAAAAATACGTACATTAATTGCTGTAGACATAGCAGAATATGATTAGCTCTATGATGAGTGATAGAAATTATGGCCCAGGAGTTGGAAGGCTTTTAATTAATAGGAGCCATTAGGAGAGACTACATCAAGGAGGGGAATTTTGAGCTGGTATATCTTCACAGGTGGAAAGCAGAGAGTCCACTAGGCCAGGGAATGAATGCTGTGAGGGGAATCTCCGGAGATTTGGAAGACTATTTTGATTGGAGTGTGGTGGAAGTAAAGATGGACTGGTAGGCTGCAGCCAGAATGTGGACAGTCTCTCGTGTCAGACTAAGGAATTTTAGCTTTACTCTGCAGGTCGTGGGGAGGCATTCAGGATTTCTGATGAGTGAAATGGCAATGCTGAATCTTTGAAGATTGATCCAATGGGAGTGATGGATAGGCAGTTTGAATAAAAGCAGGCAAGAACTTGAGGAAATGAAGACCAATTGGGAAGCTACTCTCATGGTCCAGATGTGGGGTCATAATGTTCTGAGCGAGGCAAATAGCCGTGGAATTAAAAATGATAAACATTTGCGTAGTATTTTCATGGTCAGTTCTTGCCCATATCTCATTTAAACCTCACACTGACCTTGTGGTCTTTCCTTCCATACTTTACAAATGAAGGAACTGATGTTCAGAGAGAAGCTGTTGTAAAGGAACCTTATAGAAAATGGAGGGGCCTGATTGGATGATGACCAATCAGTAATAGGAAATTAAAGGGTGCATTGGAGGTGTTGGATTGGGTGTGAAGATGGTAGAATTCCTCAGTGGCTAACCGTGTCCAGTCACCGGCCGTGCTGTCTGAGAGCCACTTCATGCTGTTCATGTGACTCTTCTTGCCTCTGTCCTTTAATATGCAGTTATTTATTTATTATTATTATTATTATTATTATTATTGAGACGGAGTTTCGCTCTCGTTGCCCAGGCTGGAGTGCAATGGTGCGATCTCGGCTCACTGAAACTTCCACCTCCCAGGTTCAAGCGATTCTCCTGCCTCAGCCTCCCGAGTAGCTGGGATTACAGGCACCTGCCACCATGTCCAGCTAATTTTTTGTATTTTTAGTAGAGACGGGGTTTCACCATGTTGGCCAGGCTCGTCTCAAACTCGTGACCTCAGGTGATCCACCTGCCTCGGCCTCCCAAAGTGCTGGGATTACAGGCGTGAGCCACCACGCTCAGCCTATTTATTATTATTTTTGAGACGAAGTCTTGCTCTGTCACCCAGGCTGGAGTGCAGTGGTGCTGTCTGGCTCACTCCACGCTCCACCTCCCAGGTTCAAGTGATTCTCTTGCCTCAGCCTCCTGAGTAGCTGGGATTACAGGCATGCGCCACCATGCCCAGCTAATTTTTGTTATTTTAGTAAAGATGAGGTTTTGCTATGTTGGCCAGGCTGCTCTTGAACTCCTCACCTAAAGTGATCTGCCCAAAGTGCTGGGATAACAGGCGTGAGCCACTGTGCCCAGCCACAGTTACTTCTTTAAAGGCATAGTGGAGGCAAGAGAAGGAGAGGCTGTTGTTAATTCAACTTGTCTCAAATATGAATCTTCAAGCCTTTTTTGAATGTCTTTGGGTTTTCAGATAGTTAAATTGTGTTGAATTTTAAAAGGCTCAGTCTAGGTATGAATAGTCTGGAGTTAAAGGGCTGAGACTTTCTTATCCAGGTGGACTCTGCCCTGAGCAGGTTAACTATGACTGGTAGGTTTCCATTTCTCTTGTGGTGGAGACAGGAGCCATAGGGAAGAGAACTCTGGAGCATGGTAGTGTAGACACCAGAGAACATCCCTGTGGCACTGGTAACTAGGATGCTTCATTGAGATTACATCCTTATCAGAGCTGGAGTATGAATCATATCCACCACCATGCTAATTCATTTTGTTCATGAGTTGGCTGTGTCTGTAAGGTCATCTGTTTTGTGAACCAAGATCCTGAAGCAATTCAAATGCCAGTGTAAATCAGCCACACAGGTGACGAAATGTGCTTTTCCATATGAGATACTTGTTCCCTGCAATCAAATAGTAGGAGTGCACCAGAAAGCTAAGGGTACTAGGAGGTAAAAAGGAATGAATCATCATCATGAAGAACCTTGATTAGATTTTTCTCATGAAATGATGAGATGTGGAGGAGCAGGATGGAAACTGGAAAAGGAGAGGAGATTGAATTTTTGTGCCCCAGGCATTCTCAGTTTGGGCACAGAGATCAATACTCATCTGCTCCAGCAGGGGTGAGGGTGAAGCTGATTTTGGTAATTGGAAATGGCAACATCCATAGAAAATTAAACTGTCACATTTTAACTGTTTCTTTTTTCACTGTAGAATACTGGGATCTTCAGTGGCAGGAGGAGTAATCAGAAGACGGAGATGAATTTTAACACTATTTTGGAGGAGATTCTTATTAAAAGGTCACAGCAGAAAAAGAAGACATCGCCCTTAAACTACAAAGAGAGACTTTTTGTACTTACAAAGTCCATGCTAACCTACTATGAGGGTCGAGCAGAGGTAAGAGACAATCACGATTTACTTTTCTGCTTTCTATGTAGATAACGATTTTATAATATTGCCTGCCTCTCCAATCTTATTGAAAATGCTTTGGGTTAATGAAGTAATGATTTATTATCATTTGGACTTGAAAGATGAATTTCAGAGTATGGATAGAAATTAACAAATCTGTTAATTATAGGTTTATTATAATTAACCTATGAATTAATCTATTAGATTACATTACTTTTAGATCCTCATGGAATTTGTAAGGTGCATTGTACATATGGCTCTCTCCTGTAAACCGCTTATTATGTATCAAAGTCTTCTTTAGCAAATATAAATTGTATCCAAGTCCATTACTTTATATGAATATTTCTTCTTTATTAAGTAGAAGTTACTTAAAACTGGTTGGTGATTTGGTGGACTCAACACGTTATCGAAGTTGACCTAAAGCAGAGTTTTTAAACATTCATTTTTTTAATGATAAACAGCTACTACAAAGTTTCTTCGATGGCAGCAGGGAGAAAGCAGCTCACTAAAAAACCTGGCCGGTGAGCACGTGGCACAGACAAATGTGTGGTTAGCACACTCCTGGCTTGTGGGTGGCTTTAGCTTCTCCTTCCACTGCTAGATGAGGCCTTGAATGTGCAATCACCTCTGGTTCTTTTGCTTCTGACATGTTGGGTGTGGCATTTGCTAGTACTGCCACATACTGCCTTCTCTGCTAGAAATATCCTTGGTTTCCAGGAAATGACCAGGGGCTGGGTTGCCCATGGCTAACCATATGCTGTTATGCAATTGGTTTCAGTGGACTGTTGGTGATCCTGGTTTAGTTTTTTTTTTTTTTTTTTTTGAGACAGTGTCTTGCTCTGTTGCCAGGCTGGAGTGCAGTGATGCGATCTCGGCTCACAGTAACCTCCATCTCCTGGTTCAAGCAATTCTTCTGCCGCAGCTTCCCGAGTAGCTGGGATTTACAGGTGCATGCCACCGCACTCGGCTAATTTTTGGATTTTTAGTAGAGATGGGGTTTCACCATATTGGCCAGGCTGGTCTTGAACCCCTGACCTCAAGTGATCCACCCACCTGGGCCTCCCAAACTGCTAGAATTACAGGCATGAGCCACTGCACCCGGCCCTGGTTTAGTTTTCATTCTGTTTTTTTTCTAGAGTATCTTCCTCAGACGTTGATTTAGTTGTATTTTTTTTCTCCCACTGATTTCTCTGTGATTTGGTTTCCCCCAATTTAGATAGAATGGCATTGTGTTTCATGATGGTCCTCAACTCTTAATTTCTGCTGTGGCTCGTCATTGTGACCTGTGGTATTCTGCAGGTTCATGTAATTTAGGAGCATACTCCTTTATCCTTAAGTCCCCAAAATGCTGAAAACCAAAACCTCAAAACTCTTAGTTACAAAACCTGTGTGTGTGTATGTGTGTGTATCTGTACATGTCTATGTGTGCAGAAATATTAATGTATTTAATTATGTGGAGCTGCCCTAGTCCCTGCTGGGACTATTATGTAACATATGATATATGTGCTATATTTGCTTTGTTAAATCTAAAAAATTTAAAAATCCAGAAGTGTTTTAGACAAGAACTGTTACCAGAAATGTGAATTATTTTGAAACCTAAAACAGATTTTAAAGGAAACATTTACACATTTTTGCTGTATGGTAATAATTTGTTATAATTTGATTTTAATATATAGTTGACTCTTGTCAATGTAGGGTTAGGGACACCAACCCTTGTGCAGTCAAAAATCTGCATATAGCTTTTGACTCCCCCCGCAAACTTAACTACTAATAGCCTACTGTTGACTGGAAGTCTTACTGAGGACATGAACAGTAGGTTACCACATATTTGGTATGTTATATATATATAACATACTGTATTCTTACAATAAAGTAAGCTAGACAAAAGAAAATATTAAGACAATCATAAAAAAGAGAAAATAGATTTACTATTTATTAACGGGAAGTGGATCATCATACAGGTCTTCTTCCTTGCCATCTTCACGTTGAGTAGGCTGAGGAGGAGGAAGAGGAGGGGTTGGTCTTGCTGTCTCAGGGGTGACAGAGGGGGAAGATGTGGAGGAGGTTGAAGGGGAAGCAGGAGAGTGAGGCACACTCAGTGTAACTTTTACTGAGAGAAAAATCCCTCTATCAATGGACCCATGCAGTTCAAGCCCATATTGTTTAAGGGTCAACTGCAGTAAGTCTAAGAAAAGAAGTGAAAGTGGTAAAATGCAATTTTTTTACTAATGAAAAAAGTCTCAGAAACCGACATTGTTTGGTTCGCAGTATGGGCAGTTACTATTGAAATATATTGCAATTGCTAACTCACTTTGAAGAAGATAAACATATTGAGTTTAAAGTACCCCTTTTGGTTTAGCTTAAGGGGAATAAGGACAACAGTGGCATCCCTCTTCCTTCAGAACCTCGCTCACCATCTTGCCTTGGAGCAGCCTCAGCCACCCTGAGAACCAGAAAGGACAGAATGAGGAGGTAGTCACAACACAGAAAAACCCAGCCTCTAACACTTCCTGGCAGAATCCACCTCCTTTCTGGCTGCTGCTGCCTGGGCTAGAGAGCCTAGTCCTGTTACTTAATTCCTGCCTTCACCCCCACTCCTCTGATGAGCTGGGCGTTTTGATCCCTTCTGGTTTCTTCTCTCATGGACCAACATTCACTGGCATACTTGTGACCTATGCCTTGAAATGTGGTCACAGATTTGTTTGCCTCTCATAGTAAAATAATTGTCAGTAGTAAAAAAAAAAGAAAAAAAAAGAAAAAAAAAGAAACTTTGTAAGAATCTGGCTTCTTAAAATAACAAAAGTTCTGACAGTGCTGGGCTGAATTCCCCAACAGCTCTCCCTGGCTTCTAGGCATGGCCAGCAACACCTTGTTGCTATGTTTCTTCCATGTTTGTGCTAATGTGCTCAGTTCACTGTTTGCCGTGGATCAATCTTCTGATTTCCATCTCCCTATCCCTGGAAGCTGTGATTCGGAAAAGAATGTGAGGGCCGGTCGTGGTGGCTCATGCCTGTAATCCTAGCACTTTCGGAAGCTGAGGTGGGTGGATCACTTGAGGTGAGGAGTTTGAGATCAGCCTGGCCAACATGGTGAAACCCCGTCTCTACTAAACATACAAAAAAATTAGCTGGGTGTGGTGGCAGGTGCCTGTAATCCCAGCTACTCAGGAGGCTGAGGCAAGAGAATTGCTTGGAGCCAGGAGGCAGAGGTTGCAGTGAGCTGAGGTTGTACCACGCACTCCAGCCTGGGTAACAGAGCGAGACTCCATCTAAAAAAGGAAAAGAAAAAAAGAAAGAGAAAAAAAGGATGTGACATGAGTAATCTGTGCAAATCAACAGGTTTTTAAAAATAATATTTTGTTAAAAAAATGTGACTCTAGAAGTAAATTAGAACCACAGGGGCCATTCAGAAATAAAATAGCCCTAGAGATATTTATTTTTATTGTTCATAGTTCTCCTGTTTTCAATAGAAAAACAATGAGGAGGCTGTCGATTGATCTAATAACTATGATTTATGGTTTCTTTGTGGCTACCAAGTGCCACTAATACTCGTTAAAACTCTCAGTTCATAATGTTAGACAGAAGACGTCCATCTTCTCCTTATTCTCTGGACAGCTTCTTCAACATGATGACAGCAAGCTTTTCTTGAAATTCTTCCTATTATGTAATAAACCTTTCTGTGCTTGTTGAAATATGCTGAAAAATCCTATTCTAGATAACGAGAAATTCACTCAAACCATTTCCTCAGTCTAATTTTGCAAAACTTGCATTTCAGTTTCCGCTGTGGGTCCTTCTTTAGTTTGTCCTCCTTTCTTTATGGTAGTTAGTTAATTCATGTGTATTTCCACATATTCCAAATGAACTGAAAAAAGATCTTCCTGGAAGTTTATATTATTTGATCCTATTCAGGATAACACAGAGCAAAGGACACTGGAGGTTTCATAAGTGATGTTGCTTTCTAGTCACGGGGCTAAATGACACAGGGGACAGACCACCCAATGTTTCAGTGGAGGCTCCATGGGATAATGAGGTGGGAACCAAGGAAGAGCAGCACTGGAGTTTGATCAGGAAAAAGATCTACAAATAATAGTGAGAGAGAAAATGAGGAATTGATTTCTATAGGTTGAGATGTTGAATTTAAAAAATTGAAGTAGTATGTAAATTTGCAACTATCATTAGCTAAGAAATCAGGAATTTTTAGAATTGGACTTTGGATCTCTTAATTTGGTTGGCTTTTTGTCTGTTGTACTGCCCCAGCATGGAAGCTGGCAAATAACTTACAAAGTTGAAGGAATGGGGAAACTCGTTGTGCCAGGGTTCCCAACTCCACCTGTACATTCAGTGATTCACTATGACAGCTCACAGGACTCAGCATTGAGTCATACTCACAACTAGATTTATTACAGCGAAACGATACAAAACAAAATCAGTAAAGGGAAAAGACACATGGGGCCAGGCATAAGCTTCCAAGAATCTTATCCTAGTAGAGTCCCAGAGGATGTGCATAATTCCTCCAGCATCCAATTGTGACAATTGTGAAATGTGCTATTAGAGACTTGGTGCCCAAGGTTTTTGTTGGAGGCTGATCACACAGGTGTCCTATGCCTAGTGTACCAAGGTTCCAGACTCCAGAAGGAAAGCAGGTCTTCAGCATGAACTGCATTGTACAGTTTAGGTACAGTGAGCCACCTCATCAGTGTTGGTAATAGTGGGACCCTCCCAAAGTCCAAGTTCCCAGATGCCAGGCAAGGATCAGCCTTGTAAACAGGCCTTTCTTGGGACAGCAGCCTCAAGCCTGCTGTGTTAACTCTTTTCTGCACATTAGTAGTAAAAATGATACAACCTATTGAGCACTAACTACAAATTAACCACTGTGCTAAGTACTTTACATGCATTATTTCTCTTATTTCTCAAAACAATTCTGTATTAAGTCTTGTTAGACTTAATTTCAAAATGCAGAACTAAGGCTTAGAAAAATTAAAAACCTGCACAACATACAGCTTACAAGAGATTGCGCACACCTTCCAGAAATTGCAGGTATATTTCTTCAAAGCCTATCTTTGAAATAATCTTGATATTCCAATGAAAATTTGAAAAAAAAATCTAAACATCTTAAAGTTAGCACCCCATAATACAGATAACATTTTAAAAGTTTCATGGATATTTTTGTTTGTTACTTTCAGTTATAACTTCTTTAAAAAAATTTTCTTTGTGATGGAAGAGAATTAACACTTGAGAGGGTTTTTGTCCTGGATCTACCACTCTCTCATTGGACTTTATAAAATAATTTTCTCCAATCTATAGTTTAAACATTTTTTTGTGTATATATTGTCTTTATACTTTCTTCAAATTAATTTTTAAATTTATAATTGACACATAATATCTTTTCAAACTGTTAGCTCCTCCGTTTCATCAGCATTTCAACCCCAACACACATCTGATCTGTTACCAGTTCCTGTTGTATTGGTCAGGGTTCTTCAGAGAAACTGAACCAAAAGGATATATATGGGATATATACATATGATATAATGTATGGGTATGTATATATATGTGTATGTGTGTGTATGTATGTACATAAAAGGAGATATATTGTGAGGAATTGGCTCACACAACTGTGGAGGCCAAGAGGTTTCACAGTCTGTTCTCTGCAAGCTGGAGACCCAGGAAAGCTGGTGATGTAGTTCAGTCTGAGTCTGAAGGCCTGCGAACCATGACAGCCAGTGATGTGAATCCCAGTTTGAGGACAGGAGATGATGAGATGGGATGTTTCAGCCCAAGTAGTGAGGCAAGGAAAAAGGGGTAAATTCCTCTTTCCTTACCTTTTGTTCTATTCAGGGTTGGATGATGCCTGCTCACATTGGGGAGGTCAGTTTGCTTCCTGAGTCCACAGATTCAAATGCTGATCTCACCGAGAAACACTCTCACAGACACACTCAGAAGCAATGTTTAATCTGGGTACCCCATGGCCCATTCAAGTTGACACATAAAATTAAGCATCATATCGGTGAATTTTCTCTACTGCAGGCTTATTGCAGCTCCCAACCCCAGTTTTAGGTGGATTACTGCCCTACTTGATTCAATTCCTGGATCTTCATCTTTCATCTGCAAAATGCATAGCTTCTCTAGGATCAAGTTAAAATTCCTTAGTTTGGGATACGAAGTACTTGATGCAATTTTTTCTTCTTCTCCTCTTCCTCCTCTTCTGGCTGTGTCTCCTACTTACAGTTGCCCTTTCACATCGTGCCTTTGCTAATACTCTTCAATCTATTTGGAGTGACACACTCCTCTGCCTGCCTGCCAGGATCCATCTATCCAGCCACCATCTATTTTATCTTTCAAAAATTTGTTGAGTGCCTGGGGAACACTTACTCATCTTTTCTGACATAGTTCAATCCCCATCTTCTCAGAAGCCTTTTCTGTCTCCCTCCTGGCAAAAGTAGAATGGATCCTCCTCCCCTTTGTGCTCTGTACACATTATTATGGTATCTTGACTACCTGACTATTTACATATCTGTGTTACCTACTGGATTTTAAGCTCCTGTGATAGTGTAGTATAATAAGAAATATACATTTTGGCAAGCCCCTTTCAGCCGTAGCTATGTTTATGTTAATGAGGTGACTTTTGGAAAGTAATAGGTTGACTTTAGGATGGGGGATCTGGTTGTCAGGGGAGCCAACCATGTGATTAGAGGGTTGGAACTTTCAGCCCTACCCTCCAACCTCTAGGGAGGGCAGAAGCACCAGAGGTTGAGCTAATAATCATTTATAGCCAAAGATTTAATCTATCATGCCTACGTAGTGAAGCCTCCATGAAAACCCTAACAGAAGGGGTTCATAGCGCTTCCAGATTAGTGAACAAGAATGTGTGCATGTGCTAGAGGATGGTTGGATTAGTTGGTTCTCACACTGCTAATAAAGACGTACCCAAGACTGGGTAATTTACAAAGAAAAGAGGTTTAATTGACTCACAGTTCAGCATAGCTGGGGAGGCCTCAGGAAACTTACAATCCTGGCGGAAGGGGAAGCAAACACATACCTCTTCGCATGGTGGCAGCAAGGAGAAGTGCTGAGCAAAGCGGGAAAAGCCCCTTATAAAACCATCAGATCTTGTGAGAACTCACCCACTATCAGGAGAACAGCAGCATGGGGGTAACCGCCCCCAGGATTCAATTATGTCTCACTGGGTCCCTCCCACAACACGTTGGGGATTATGGGAACTACAATTCAAGATGATATTTGGGTGCAGACACAGCCAAACCATATAAATGGTATAACCCAAACTCCATGGAGACAGAAGCTTCTGTGCTTGGGACCCTTCTGGACCTCACCCTGTGTATCTCTTTATCCTGTTGTTCATTTGTATCCTTTAAAATATCCTTGTAATAAGTTGATAATAGTAAGTACACTTTCCCTGGGTTCTGTGAGCTGTTCCAGCAAATTCTTGAACCCAAGGAGGGGGTTGTGGGAACCTCCATATGTAGCCAAGTCAGACAGGAGTTGTGGTAACCTGGGGATCCACTACTTGTGATTGACATCTGAAGCAGAGGGCAGTGTTCTGGGAGTGATCCTTTGGTCTGTGGGGTCTGTCTTAATTCTGAGCAGTTAGTGTCAGAATTGAGTTAAATTGTAGGACACTCAATTGGTGTGTGCCAAGAATTGGAGAGCTGGCTGTTGTGGAAACCCCACTCCCTGCCACATATTTGGTGTCAGAAGTGCTGAGAGAGTATAGGAGAGGTATTTTTCTTTTCTTTTCTTTTTAGCTGTGTATTAGTCCATTCGTATTGCTATAAAGAAATACTTGAGGCTGGGTAATTTATAAATAAAAGAGGTTTATTTAGCTCACTGTTCTGCAGCCTGTACAAATAGCATGGTGCCAGCATCTGCTTCTGATGGGGCCTTAGGAAACTTACAATCATGGTGGAAGGCAAAGGGGACCTGGTGTATTCCATGATGAGAGCAAGCAAGAGAGATGCCATACTCTTTTAAAACAACCAGATCTCACATGAACTCAGAGTGAGAACTCATTCATTACCATCTAGGAGGGCACCAGGCCATTCATGAGGGATCTGCCCCCCATGACCCAAACCACCTCCCACCAGGTCCACTTCCAACAGTGGGGATTATATTTCAGCATTAGATTTGGAGGGGACAAATATCCAAACCATATCAAACTCTTTGAGGGCAGGGTTCATATCCATTTTTGTATTTCTGTGGGCCTAGGGCAGAGGGAGTACTCAGAACATGTTGCATGGCTGGATGCACTGGATATCCTAGAGATGAGGAGATGGGGAGAACTCAATCCTAAATGTATTTAGGAATTTAAGATTGAGTTCTCCCCATCTCCCCATCTCTAGGATAAATTTAGGATTTATGTATGTTGTGAACCATGACATAAATGTATGTTGTGAACCAAGACAATCAGAAAGGTTGTCACACTGCTAATAGGTAGAAGAATTAGAATTCGAACCTTGATATTGTGACTCTTAAGTTCAGTGCTCTTCCCAAAATGCCACAGATGCCTTGCAGCGTCCAGCCCTATGGGGCTTAGCGAGTGTTCTCCCCGTGTGTGGAGACAAGAGATTGTAATAAATAAAGGCACAAGACAAAGAGATAAAGAAAAAGCAGCTGGGCCTGGGGGACCACTACCATCAAGACACGGAGACCAGTAGTGGCCCCGAATGGCTGGGCTTGCTGATATTTATTGCATATAAGACAAGGGGGCAGGGTAAGGAAGGTGAATCTTCTAAGTGATTGACAAGGTGAAGCAAATCACGTGATTACAGTATAGGGGGCCCTTCCCTTTTAGGTAGCTGAAGCAGAGAGAGAGAGAGAAGGCAGCATACGTCAGCGTTTTCTTCTCTGCACACGTCAGCATTTTCTTCTCTGCACTTATAAGAAAGATCAAAGACTTTAAGACTTTCACTATTTCTTCTACTGCTATCTACTACGAACTTCAAAGAGGAACCAGGAGTACAGGAGGAGCATGAAAGTGGACAAGGAGCGTGACCATTGAAGCACAGCACCACAGGGAGGGGTTTAGGCCTCCGGATGACTGCAGGCAGGCCTGGATAATATCCAGCCTCCCACAAGAAGCTGGTGGAGCAGAATGTTCCCTGACTCCTCCAAGGAAAGGAGACTCCCTTTTGCAGTCTGCTAAGTAATGGGTGCCTTCCCAGACACTGGCGTTACCGCTTGACCAAGGAGCCCTCAAGCGGTCCT
This sequence comes from Homo sapiens, assembly GCF_000001405.40. Classification (NCBI taxonomy): domain Eukaryota; kingdom Metazoa; phylum Chordata; class Mammalia; order Primates; family Hominidae; genus Homo; species Homo sapiens. Next base: position 48,219,246 of record NC_000004.12, on the reverse strand, counting down.
TATGCGGGCATGACAGAAGGTTCACCTCTTGCCTTCTAGGTCACTTCTCACAATGTCCCTTCAGCACCTGACCCTATACCCGCTGGTTATTCCTAGGTTATATTAGTAATGCAACAAAGAGTAATATTAAAAGCTAATGATTAATAATGTTTATAATAATGACTGATAATTCTTCATGGTCCTCTCTATATCTAATTTGTATTATGACTATTCTTATTCTAACTACTTTCTTTATTATACTGAAATACTTTGTGCCTTCAGTCTCTTGCCTTGGCACCTAGGTAATCCTCCACCCACAGTGCCTCTCTTATTTAATCTGGTTGTACCAAAATTGAGCATTCTCTTGTTACGAGATGCTTGAAACTTTAATATTTTACCTAGGTTAACAAACATGATGGTGGGGGCAGGCAATCAGTTACAAGTACGATGACATGAGTCTCAAACACCCTGGGAAATCTCTCATTTGTATAGGCTCTCCTGGGTCATATTGGTTTTTTTCTTGACCAATCCTGGGAACCTGGAGACTTAGTGATACAGGGATAAGAGCCTGTTGAGGTTCTGAGATGATCTGATGTTTCTCCCTTAGTTATATTCGTATATTAGGTGGTTCCCCAAGTGGAAACTGTAGGTTTATTGGGTCCTTCTAATCTTTACCTGAAGGTTTGTATCTTTCAGCACTTCCTAGGGTTCTGGGGAGTTGGTGTGGAATGGGAAAAGAATAATTTCTTGTACTACCGGGCAATTGGAAGTATCTGCATCAAATGTTAGAGATTACCAGGCAGTCCACCAGCTTGTAAAAAGTGCTATGACTCTGGCAGGTGTGGTGGCTCAGGCCTGTGGTCCTGACACATAAGGAGGTAGAGAGTTTGAGACCAGCCTGGGCAACATAGCAAGCCATCTTCTGTATAACAACAACAACAACAAAAGTGACATGACTCTAAATACTCCATGTAATCATTAGTGTGTGATGGGATTATTCTGGCTCTGGAAATTCTCAACTATATTATGCCTTGAAAACTCATATTCTTAGACAATTGAATTTCTTTGTTTCTGAAATTAGGTGGTATCAACTTTCTTCTTTGTGTCTCAATTTCCTTTCTTGTATCTCTTCTCCCATTTCTGATTCATATCTGTGTTTTTATTCTACTCTCCTAGATCTGACCTTTCTTGTCATTAATCACTTCAAGAGGCCATGATGCCAGGTCCGAAGTCCAAGGGTCTTACTTACTCCTTTAATTTGCCAAATTGTTTACCTTTCTTTAATGATATTCACTGTCTTTTTTTTTTTTTCTCTAGGAAGCTGAAATCTATTTAAGACAGAATAGGGGGATACTAACATTCCCTCCATCCATACCCCTAGACATTCTTTTTTATAATTACAGTACAGTGATCAAAATTAAGACATTTAACATTGATATACTATTATTGAATCTGGAGATCCAGAGCACATTTCATTTATTATTCCACTGATGCCTTTATAGCTATTCCTCACCCTCCCTGCCCCTCCAGCCCCAAGTCCAGGATCTAATCCATAATCACACATTGCATTCAGTTGGTCAAGACATAAAGTTTTAAAATATCTATGGTGAGAGGAAGAGATAATACGGAAGAAATGCTGTCCTTTGTTACATACTATAAAATGCCAGCTATCTCATGACTACTCAATGATTTCATGTAAGAGTCCATACAATGACTTCACGTAAGAGTCCACAAACTTAAAAATCAGTGTAGTCTATTCTCCTACTTTCATTGTCATGGTTATCATTAGGAGCTGAAGGTGTCCCTCCCCACCAAAGAAATTATTGTAGCATGGTTCACTAGGATGAGTAAAAATCACTTATTACTGGCTGGGCGCGGTATCTCACGCCTGTAATCCCAGCACTTTGGGAGGCCGAGTTGGGCGGATCATGAGGTCAGGAGTTCGAGACCAGCCTAGCCAACATGGTGAAACCCCGTCTCTACTAGAAATACAAAAATTAGCTGGGCATGGTGGCGGGCACCTGTAATCCCAACTACTCGGGAGGCTGAGTCAAGAGAATCGTTTGAACCTGGGAGGCAGAGGTTTCAGAGAGCTGAGATCACGCCATTCCGCTCCCACCTGGGTGACAGGGCAAGACTCCATCTCAAGAAAAAAAAAAAATCACTTGTTACTGTTTACCATCTCTCTCGTTTCCTCCCCTTCTAGCTTAATTTTTTATTATTTTGTATTAAAACAGTTGTCAGGCATGCAGAGCTTTTTATGGGGTAATTACTACTAAATGAAGAGAGGAGTTTAATCAAAGGTTTGGTCCTCCTGCAACTTAAGAGTAGAAACAATAGACATATTCTAGATCTTGAAAAACACTCTTTGATCTGGCTGTGATAGTTGTGTTTTATTCATTTGATTATTTGTATTATGATGAGAGAAAGGCTATATGAAAAATCAGCATTGTTGTTCAGAAATGGTATTACTTAATTTAATTTAGTCATAAAACTTGTCCGTCAGCAATTTTTAGTGATATCAGAAAGTTGAGTTTTAAGCAAAGTTTTATTTAGCTATTTTTCCACTGAACATATTCAAGACTGTGACATAGGAACTGAAGGCAATTACAAAAAGAATGATTCCTAGAATATTTGGAAAATGGCATTGTAGTTGAAATAAACATAGTGTTTCTACCCACCCCTCTTCTCCTACCTGTCTACCTTGAAAAAAAATTGTCTTAATTTGAAATGTATGTAACTTCTTGCATTTTTTTTAAAAAAGAACTACATTTGACATCACAATTTGTGTAACTTGAGTTGTATTTCTCCTTTTATGCTATGAACTACTGGGCTGAGGAATTCTTAGAAATCTTTGAAATTACTTCCTTGTAATTAATAGTTTCTAGAAAGTGTTTATTTTGAAGATAGGGATGATAGCATTTACACTGGAAGACAGTTTAAAAAGAGACCAAATTATGAGTGGAGGAATCCTTGGTGGCAAGAGTATAGACCTGTATACAGTTTTTTGTTTTTTTTTTTTTCCTGGGGCGTAGAGATTGGGGAAGGCCACTTGGCCAAGGGTGAGAATGTGAGCAATGATGGGCAGAGAGAGTCCATTCAATGCAGAGGGAACAGCAGGTGCAAAGGCCCTGGGGTGAAAGGGGACTTAGTGTGTTTGTGGAACTGTTCTGTTCTGAGGCCTATAAAGATTTATAAAGCAAATAATTACAAGAGGATAAATACAAGGAGATAGTTGATTTGTTAGTAATAAGGAGGAATCATGCAATTTTAGAGCTTAAAGAGACTTTAAAGAATCACCTCCAGATTTTTCACTTGTGAAAACTGAAGATAAGGAGATGGTTTGCTCCAGGTCACCTAGTGAGCTGGTTGTTAAGCCTGGACCCAAGCTCATATCGAATATTTCTGGATCATGCTCTCTGAGTGCACTGCCTTAGTTCTGGAAAGGATGTGTCTGGGTTGCCCAGTGGATAAGGACTCTAATTCTATACAGTGTCAATAATATGGTTGTTATAATGGATACCATCTAGTGACTATTCAGACTCCTTTGCTTGCAAATACCGATGCTCTTTGTCTTACGACAGGGTTACCTCTTGATAAACCCATTGTAAGCTGAAAATGTATTTGGGACACCTAACCTACTGAACATTGTAGGTTAGCCTAGCCTACCTTAAATGTGCTCAGAACACTTACATTAGCCTGCAGTTAGGCCAAATCATCTAGCACAAGCCTATTTTATTTATTTAATTAATTATTTTTTTGAGACAGGGTCTCACTCTATTGCCCAGACTGGAGTACAGTGGCGCAATCCCAGCTCACTGCAGTCTCCACCTCCCAGGCTCAAGTGATTTTCCTGCCTCAGCCTCCCAGGTAGCTGGGATTATAGATGCGTGCCACCACGCCTGGCTAATTTTTATATTTTTAGTAGAGATGGGGTTTCGCCATGTTGGCCAGGCTGGTCTTGAACTCCTGACATCAAATGATCCACCCACCTCAGCCTCCCAAAGGGCTGAGATTACAGGCGTGAGCCACTGCGCCCGGCACAGGCCTTTTTATAAAAAAGTGTTGAGTATCTCATGTAATTTAAAAAATTATTTTAATTAGTTTTATTTTTTGAGATGGAGTCTTGCTTCGTAGCCCAGGCTGGAGTGCAATGGCATGATCTTGGCTTACTGCAACCTCCGCCTCCCGGGTTCAAGCGATTCTCCTGCCTCAGCCTCCCACGTAGCTGAGATTACAGGTATGATCCACCTCGCCTGGCTAATTTTTGTATTTTTAGTAGAGACAGGGTTTTGCCATGTTAGTCAGGCTGGTCTTGAATTCCTCACTTCTTGTCACCTGCCCACCTCAGACTCCCAAGGTGCTGGGATTACAGGAGTGAGCCACTGTGCCCGGCCTAATTATTTTTATTTTTGAGACAGGGTCTTGCTCTGTCATCCGGGTTGGAGTGCAGTGGTGTGATCTCAGCTCACTGCAACCTCCACCTCCTGGGCTCAAGCAATCCTCCCATGTCAGCTTTCCTAGAAGCTGAGACCACAGGCACATACCACCACGCCTGGCTATTTTTTTTGTATTTTTAGTAGAGATGGGGTTTTGCCATGTTGCCTAGGCTGGTCTCAAAATCCTGAGCTCAAGTGATCCACCCGCCTTGGCCTCCCAAAGTGCTGGGATTACAGGTGTCAGCCACCACACCCAGTCCTCATGTAATTTATTAAATACTGTACTAAAAGTGAAAAACAGAATGGTAGTATGGGTACATGAAGTATGGTTTCTACTGAATATGTATTGCTTTTGCATCATCATAAATTTGAAAAATCGTTAGGTCAAACCATAACTTGGGACTGTCTGTGCTTGTCACTTTCCTACCTTTGAAGCTTTGGTCCTGCTGTGCCTAGCAGTTCTCCTTCTCCTGTCTATTTACTCAAGTCTCATCCCAAATCCTTTTAAGTGGGAGGCTTTGTACACCCCTCTGGTTATACATGCCTTGCCCTTTCTGAATTCCTGTTTAAATGTAATTTCCTGTTAAATGTATATGTGTTATGATTATTGCCTTTTTTTCTCACCGGCTACATAATAATTTCCTTGAGGGAAGAAGTTGTTTTGTAATTTAAACATATCACACACAATACCTCGCACCCATTAGCCTTTTAAAAAAGTTTTTGTTGGTAGTAATTACAATGGTGATGATCAGTAAATATTTAAAGTAAGCAAAAAGATCTTTAATATAAAGATCTCACATTGTGAGAGTTACTCCCCACATAATTTTGTTCCATTTTATTTTTTGAAGTGGTGCATTATTTAAATTTAGAAACAGCTGGGCATAGTGGCTAGCACTTATAATCCCAGTTACTCAGGAGGCTGAGGTCAGAGGATCACACCCAGAAATTTTTTTTCAGGGACAGAGTCTTGCTATGTTGTCCAAGAGTTTACGTCTAGCCTGGGCAACATAGCAAGACTATCTCTTAAAAAAAATCTAAAACAAGGGTATGTTTTAATTCAGTATTTATTAGTATTAATCTCTCCCCCAAACTAGATGTGGACATTATTATAAACAAAGTTATCAACTGTCAAAAGAAATCACATGACAATTTAAGAAAGTGATACTACATTTTGAGTTGTTTCTAAAACTATTTCAGACACACCAACTGTTAGCCATAGGTTGATGCTGGTCAGGTACGTGTAGAAAATTATATGCAGAAAGGAGCTTAGAAACACTTGTGTTACTCAGCAATTAATTCTATTATTACTTTTTTAGGAGGACTTCTGATGTTATTACCTTTTAGTTTTGTGAATATACTGTACTTCTGAGATAAATAAATATTAATGTTCACTGATTACTACTTCAGATAAAAATACCATTTTGGTCTTCTTACCAAAGCTCTTCATTTACCTTTTTTACTTTTCATATTAGAAAACTTTCTCAAAGTTTCGCATGATTCTACATTGGTAAGCCCCTGAAAAGAAAATACTACAAAATATGTGCAATATTGTTTGTTAAATAAAATTAAACGAGTAAGCAAGAGACTGAGGTGAAATTGCAAAATGATTTTTAATAGATTATTGGAAAGGAATTTTTCCCCATTACCTAGTTAGATGACATGTTTCTTATTCTATCTTTATTCCAAGCAATCACATAGGCATTGCTGTTAATTTTATTTGCGACTACGAAAGTCACATGGATAGGTGTAATTCCTTACTCATAAGATTGTAAAATATAAATTTTGTGCCTTTGAGAGGAATATGTTTATAATTTCCTGGTAGAAGTATCTTTTATTTGTAATATGGGACTCAGCTCATTTGTTTTACTTTCTTCATCACTTGTACAACAAAGATTTAGTGAGTGTGTACCCAGTGCTAGGGATGGAGTAATTAAAAGATGAATGGTTCTGGCCTCATTAAGCTTACAATCTGATTAAGCTATAGTTCTACCTCTGTGGGTTCATAATGACATACTTTGTTATGCTACCTCTGCTGTGCTATGAAGGGGGTCTCTTGAGACCTGGCGTTCTTACCTTGTGTGCCACCGTTGTTTGCACTTGCCCACGGGACTCTCAACTTCACTGGACATTGGGTTTCCAAGTGTAATATGGGGCAGTTGTGCCTAGAGGATTTCAAGGTTTCCTCCTGTTCTTACATTTTACATAGCACAGATCCCACAGAAATATCAGTGTTTTGTATACATACTTGCATTGTTCTGTTGTCTTCAGTGCCCCATAAAGTATAACTGTAAACAACCCACAGATTTGCCCACGGACTATTTTACAAGTGAAGAAACTAGGGGACAGTGTTCTCTGAAGTGACATCCCATCTGAGGAGGCGAACCAAGATGTCTTATCTTTCGGGCGAGTGTACTGTTAAACCACACTGTTCTACTTCCCACAAAGGGGGACTTCCTTAAACAGTAACTTCACTGACCACCTCTATTCATATGTTTCCTTCCTCCTTCCCTTCTTTGGCTGTATAGATAACAAACCTTGCAACGGGTGTTCTTTTACCAGTGGTTCATTTATGTTTGTTTTTTTCCGCACTGTACCCCTGTGAGGTGTTAGGAACCCTGTGCATTTAAGTAAATTAGAATTGTGCAGAAAAGAGAGACCAGCAGAAAAAAAATATTTCTGTGAATGCTTTTATATACATATATATATATATATATATATTTTTTTTTTTTTGAGACAGAGTCTCACTCTGTCACCCAAGCTAGAGTGCAGTGGCATGATCTCTGCTTGCTGTAGCCTCCGCCTCCGGGGTTCAAGTGATTCTCATGACTCAACCTCCTGAGTAGATGGGACTACAGGTGCGTGCCACCACGCCTGGCTAAGTTTTTGTATTTTTAGTAGAGATGGGGTTTTACCGTGTTGCCCAGGCTGGTCTCAAACTCCTGAGCTCAGACAATCCACCTACCTCGGCCTCCCAAAGTGCTGGGATTACAGGCATGAGCCACTGTGCCCAGCCTGTGAATGCTTATATTAAAGAAGCTGAAAAGGGTTATGCTTAGGTGGTAAGGCTCAAGAACTTTAAAGTGAGTTTTGTTAAATGGTACATTTCATATATACTTTAAGTGATTCTTCTTAAAGAAAACTCACAAGTGACTCAAAGATGAATTTATTCACGTTCATTGTCTATCTCAACAGCAGAGAAACTGTCACAGTTGAAGACTCCTGGACATTTACTGCAATATATTTGTAATTTAGTTTAACACTTTAGAAAATAGTAAAGTAAGCTCATTTTTGGGTTAACTTATCCTGACTAGGACTGATTGTAGTACAATATAAGGATAAATAGTAAAACTTTGAATTTTCTTGGAAAATGATGAGCAGCTTGATGCTAATGATCAGATATAATTAAAAAAATTTTTTTTGAACCTCAGAGTGATTTTTTTATTTTCAGACTTCACAATCACTTTCTAATGATAGGTGTTCTGATGAAAATATCTGCAGGAAACAAGACCAAAATTCACTGGATGAGATAATATATTTCTTGAAGTTCTAGAATCAGCTTATCAGCTGTATTCTGTTCCTTCTTAGTTGTAGGAAACTTTAGCTGTGGTCTAGGTCCATCTCTGAGTTTACAGAATTTCTGTGAAGTTAGGGAGTGAGAGACTAAGAGGATGGACTCTTGTGCCAGATTATCTGGGTTCAAATTCTAAATCTGTTACTTATTAATTGCATGACCTAGGACAAATTACTTAATCTCTCTGTGTCTCACCTTTAAACTGGGGAGAATAATAATACTTCCCTCATAGGAGTTTTTGAGGGGTAAATGGATCAGTATAGATAAAGTGGCTAGGATAGGTCCTGGTAGGTAAGTGCATGTAAGCAGCTGTTATTATTATATACATAAGGTAGGTTGCATTGTTGCCCATTGTGTCTTTACATGTTTCAGTCTTTGCTCTTGCCTCTGTTTTTTCCCAGATATCAATGCATTTGCAATGAGTGTAATTGTGTCATTGTGTTATTAGGTCACTAATCACAGGTGATTCACTCTTTAAATTGATCTGTGGTGCTGGTAGTCTGGTTATGTTTTGGAGTTCTGGTAACTGGTGGAAATGCATACCTCGGGTAGGTTCATGTGTTTGACATCTCTGAACCATGTTCATGGAACTCTGTTGGGGGTCGTCTGCTGTGGATGTTTTTCTCTGGATGTTTGCCAGTGGTACACATATCGATAGGGTGCCAGTTGTGGTAACTGTGGTGTTGCTTTCTCAGTTTTAGTTTTTCTTTCCTCCCTCTTCCTCCTCCTCCTCCTCATCATCCTCCTCCTCCTCCTCCTCCATTTTTTTTATAAAGAGGCAGTCTCATTCTGTCACTCAGACTGGAGTGCAGTGGTGTGGTCATAGCTCACTGCAGCCTCAAACTCCTGGGCTCAAGGGATCCTCCCACCTTGGCCTCCTAAGGACCAGGATGACAGGCACGTGCCACTATTCCTGCTAATTTTTTGTTTTTAGTTTTGTAGAGATGGAGTCTTGCTATGTTGCCTAGGCTGGTCTTAAACTTCTGGCCTCAAGGGATCCTCCTGCCTCAGCCTCCCAAAGTGCCAAGATTACAGGCATAAGCTACCGAGTCTGACCAACTTTACATTTTTATGACAACAGAGGTGGGTCTGCTATGGAGTTAAAGAAAAGTAAGCTTTAGGCTCTTTCAATTCCATAGCCCTTCCTAAGGCCTCTGGAAGGGCCCCAGAGCTTTTGCATTTATGATTTTGCATTTTAGTTTTATTTTTAATTTTTAATTGACAAAGATTTCTCCTCCAAAGTGTTTAAGCTTCAGATCCCTCAAAATCTGGATCTGCCTCTGTAGAGCACATAACATTTCATTTGTTCTAATATCTGACAATTTCTGCAAACTCTGACAGTGAAATACTCTCAAACATTTCCACTGTAAAACAGCTAATAAACAAGCATGTTTACAATTGGTTTATGTTCTCTAAGTTCTTCCTTTGAAAAACAAAGTGGTGTGTCTCTACTTTAATCTGTTAATTTTATTTCCCTGAATAGAGTTAAACAGTTGTTGTTTTTGAAGTCCTATACTTTTCTTGTTAAATGTATTCCTATTTTATAGTTTTAGCTACTCTTGTGAATAGGTTTTTTTCCCCATGATATGTTGTAATTATTGTTAATATATCATCAAGCTTGATTTTTTATAAATCTATTTTTTTTGAGACAAAGTCTCACTCTGTTACCCAGGCTGGAGTGTATTGGTGTGTTCACAACTCACTGCAGCCTCAAAATCCTGGGCTCAGGCCATCCTCCCACCTCAGCCTCCCGAATAGCTGGGATACAGGCGTTTGCTACCATGCCCAACTAATTATTTGTTATTTTTAATTTTTTTTTGTAGAGATGAGCTCTCTCTATGTTGCCAGGCTGGTCTCAAACTCCTGGGCTCAAGTAGTCCTCCCACCTCAGCCTCCCAAAGTGAGGTACTGTGCCTGCCTACAAATTTATTTTGTAACCAACCATTATACTCTGCTACGTCTGACTGTTACATAGAGACATAGTTTTCTATCATCAACTTCATTATGGAAGGGTTATTTTCTACTGAATTTAATCCAAATTACGAGAAGAAAAAAATTAAAAAAAATTAAAAGGTATTTTAAGTGCTAAACAAGAACATTCAAAAGCATGGGATTAAAACTTTCTGTGCTGAGAAAGTTATAAGCTGTGTGTTCTGGAGGGAGGCATTGATGGGGAGTGGTGGAGGAATATATCTACCCAGTAACCTTAAATTTTCTGAATTGACCGAAATACAAATTTAGAAATAGAGAAATCTAGATTTATAATTCATAGTGACTACCACGGTGGGATAATTGAATTCAAACCCAGCCTATCTAACTTGGAAGGCACCCACAGACATCTCTACTTGAATTTCTTAGCCACCACCCCCAATTCTTTTTTACTTGAATCTGTTCATTTGACAAAAATATTTTAAGCACCTACTTTGTGCCAAGTACTGTTGTAGGCTCTGTGGACACAATAGTATAGAAGGTAAATGCCCTGCTGTCCTGGAATTTACCTTCTAAAGGGGAGATGCAGACAACGTACAGATACCAGTAAATATCCCCCTGCCATGAGAAAAGTAAAGCCGCATGAGAGAGATGGGGCCTTGCCTGCTGTTTCTGTAGGTAGGGAATAGAGAACTTAGGAAGAGCAGGGCAGGCCACGGAGAAGCCAAGAGTACAAAGGACCCCAGGGAGGTGGGAAATGCTTTATTGCTCAAAGAACAGCAGAGAGGGAAAGGAACTGAGGTGGAATGGGGTGGGCATGGGAGGGGAGGAGGCCAGAGAGCTGGGCAAATTCATTTTTTTGTTTGTTTTGTTTTTGTTTTTTAAGTAACAGGCAGATTTTGGAGGGTTTTGAGATGGGAGAGACAAGATGTTGCTAATTCATGTATGTTGCCACGCCAGGGCACAGTGAAACATGAACTGGCAGTTAGAAGCTTGGAGTTAGTTCTGGCTCTGCTAGCCAGTGTGATCTTGGAGAGGTCAGTCCCTCAGTTTCCACCCTAAATTGAGGAAATTAGACTGTGATCACCAGAATCCCTTTCATGGCCAAATATTATGATTCTCAGATGGAGAAATTGTTATTAAGCATTCATATGTGCTGGCCACAGTTGTTGGCTAAGTGGGATAGAGGAGACCTGCCACTCCCACCCTCTGCTCAGACTTTGGCTCTTTGCCTCACCCCTGCCTCTGGGAAGCCAAGTTCTGAGCCTGCCTGGACCACAGATGGGTGTATCACTCTGTTCTCACTGGGGTCCTCATCGGTAGGTGTGGGCATGTTGACTTACTCTGTTTGCCTTGGTCTTCTTTCTTCCAAATGGTGTTGTTCTCTTTCATTCAATTTCCTCTTCTTTTCTTCTATTAGGATTTATACATTTTAAAAAATCCTTTTCCTATCATTTTAGTGGAGTGCAATAAGGGAAAGGAGTTAAGAGCTTGTGATCAATCCATTATGCTTAAATTCTGGATTTTTGTTTTTTTATTTTGAGACGAGGTCTCACTCTGTCGCCCAGGCTGGAGTGCAGTGGTACAATCATGGCTTACTGTAGCCTCAACCTTTCGGGCTCAGGTGATCCTCCCACCTCAGCCTCCTAAGTAGCTAGGACTACAGGCATGTGCCACCACGCACGGCTAATTTTTTTTTTTTTTTTTTTTGTAGAGACATGGTCTTGCTTTGTTGGCCAGGCTGGTCTCGAACTCCTGGACTCAAGTGACTCTCCTGCCTCAGCTTCCCAAAGTGCTGGAATTACAGGCATGAGCCACCATGCCTGGCCTGGAAATTCTTTAACATGTTTATTTTATAATGTTGAAAACATATTTTCCTTGAGGACGTCTTGAAGAATGCCTTTCCTCAGAGGAATACAAGGAGCCTAAAAGGACATTTGGGAATGAGACACACAGGGTTTGTAGTTACAAGCAGTATCCCAGCAACTCAAGACCTGAAGGGTTAAAGCACCTGATGCCTGCCAGATAAATTCCAGAATCACTAGTCTGTCAGGCTGTCTTCTGGGGCCTCAGTCTACCTTTTCAGCTTCATTCCATATTTTTTCCTCATGGTTCTCTGCTGCTGCAATCAAACTGTCTGATTCCTGTTGAACTCTATTTTCATGTTCCTACCACCTGGTCCATTCTTCTGACCTGGAATGCCCATCCTTTTTTGCCTACCTAAACCCTACACATTCTTTAAGGCATAGTTCAAATTCTACCTTTCTTGGATTCCTGTCAACGGTGCAGAAGATCTCTGTCTCCTTCCTTTGAACCCTTGCCCCTCGTTCTTTATTTGTGGGGTTTTTTTGTTTGTTTGTTTTTGTTTTTGAGACTTAGTTCCACTCTGTTACCCAGGTTGGAGAGCAGTGGTGTGATTATGGCTCATTTCAGCCTTGACCTCCCGGGTTCAACCAATCCTTCTGCCTCACCCTCTCTGGTAGCTAGGACTACAGGTGCATATCACCGTGCCCAACTAATTGTTTTCATTTTTTTTTTTTTTTTTTTTTTTGTAGCAACGAGGTCTCCTTATATTGCCCAGGCTGGTCTTGAACTACTGGGCTCAAGCAATCTACCTGTTAAGCCTTCCAAAGTGCTGAGATTACAAGTGTGAGCCATCACGCCTGGCCAACTTTTCATATTTTACACTTTTAAATATTGCTTTCTCTGGTGTGTGTGTAGTGGTATTTCACTATATTTTTAACTTGCATTTCTCTTATCACGAATGAAAATGAGCAAGTCTACATGTGTTCACTGTCCATTGACATTTAGTCTCTATCGAAATACCTATTTCTACATTTTGTTTCTTAGGTTTTCTGTTCTTTTCTTATTTGTTTTTAAAAGGTATAAAAAATATATATATTCTGAATGAAGCTCATCTGTGTGTGCTTTGTACTTTGTGGCTTGTCTAACTCTCTTAATATCTCTTTTTTCTTATTGTGGAAAAATACACATAACATAAAATTTACTCTTGTAACCATTTTAGAGTGTACAATTCAGTAACATTAAGTACATTTATAATGTCGTTTAAAAATCACCACTATCTAGTTCCATAACTTTTTCATCAACCCAAACAGAAACTGTCCCCCTTAAGAAGTCAGTCCCCATTTCCTTTTCCTCCCAGCCCCTGGCAACCCTAATCTACTTCTTGTCTATATGGATTTGACTATTCTGGATACTTTGTATAAGTAGAATCATACAATATGTTACTTTTGTGTCTGGTTTTTTCCACTAAGCATAACGTTTTCAAGGTTCATTCAAGTTGTAGCATATATTAGTACTTTGTTCCTTTTCATGGCTCCATTGCATGGGTAGACCACATTTTGTTTATTCATTCATCTGTTGGTGGATATTTGGGTTGTTTCCACCTTTTGGCTACTGGAAATAGAACCGATATGAATATTCATGTACAAGTTTTTGTGTAGACATATGTTTTCATTTCTCTGGGATATAGGAGCTGAATTGCTTTGGCTTTGAGTATGTTTAACCTTTTGAGGAACTGTTAGACTGTTTCCCAAAGCAGCTGTGACTTCTTACATTCCCATTAGCAGTGTGCAAGCGTTCCAATTTCTCCAAATCCTTCTTTACACTTGTTATTTTCTCTTTTGTTGATTGTAGCTGTCCTAGTGAGTGTGAAGTGGTATCTCATTGTGGTTTTGCCTTTCCCTATGGCTAATACCATTGAGCAACTTTATATGTAGCTTATTTTAAAAAATGCATATAGGCTGGAAAACCTCCTGTCTGGTGGGAACCTCCTCTTTATTTGATTTTTAAAATGCAGGGGACAGTGATGTGCTAATAATAGTATATATTTAGCAACTGGGAGTAGAGGAAGAAGCCCTGATTTTCAGCATTTGCCAATTTTCATGGTGTTAAGTACTCCCACTATGGCAGATCTCCGGCCCCTGCATGATGTCATGGAGCACAGAGCTGGGAACGGCATGCACAGTGGGCTCTCATGAGCTGTCATGAGCTGACTCCAGCACACCAGTGAGTGGAAGGGAGAATCAGGTGAAGTGAGCCTCACTGAGGCTGCCTGCTATTATGCAGGCCAGGCACTGCATAACCCTAGAGGGTGCCATTCACATGTTAGTCTAAAGAGAAAGGGATATAACATTTATTGAGTGTCTACAACTTATTTAATCTTGACCACAGTCTTCTGAGGCAAGTTGTATTATCTTAGTTTTCAGAGAAATCCAAGGGTTAGGGAGCTTAATTAACTAAGTCAATGATTTGCAACTAATAAGTGTCAAAGTTGGCATTTAAACCAGGTCTTTCTTACAGTGAAGCTCATTCTAGTTCACCAACTGTGTCAGGGGTGGGGATCTCCAAGACCACCGCCAGGTTTGATGATTTGCTAGCAGGACTTACAGCAGGGGTCCCCAGCCCCTGCACCACGGACTGGTACCGGTTTCGGTGCGTGGCCTGTTAGGAACTGGGCTGCACAGGAGAAGGTGAGCAGCCAGTGAGCAAGCAAGCATTACCCACTGAGCTCTGCCTCCTTTCAGATCAGTGTTGGCATTAGATCCTGATAGGAGCACGAACCCTCTTGTGAACTGCACATGTGAGGGATCTGGGTTTTGTGCTCCTTATGAAAACCTAATGCTTGATGATGTGAAGTGGAATAGTTTCATCCTGAAATGATCCCGCTCACCCCAGGTCCATGGAAAAATTGTCTTCCACAAAACCATTCCCTGGTGCCAAAAAGCGTTGCAGATTGCTGACTTATGGGACTTAGATAATAGCTGTACTCATGACTGTCATTTATTACAGTGAAGAGATAGATGCAAAGCAAAATCAGCGAAAGGAAAAGGCACGTGAAGTCTGGAGGAAACCAGGTGCAAGCTTCCAGAGCTTACAGGAGTCCTCTCCCAGTGGAGTCACATAGGGTGGGCTTAAAACCTCCATCAGTGAGCTGTGACAACAGGTGGGATGTTGCCTACCAGAAAACTCATCACTCAGTGTCCACGGTTTTTAACTGGGAGCTGGTCACTTAGGCCCCTCTGCCTAGCATGTGCCCAAATTCCAGACTCCCAGAAGGCAAGCAGGTGTTCAGCATGAACCATTTTGTTTGTATAAACCGTTAAGACCCCTTGTGGCACTCATCACTGCTAGAAATCATGGGACCCTCCCCAGATTCAAGTTTCCAGATGCCAGTCAAGGGCCAATCTAGAAAGGCAAGTAAGCCTGGCTAAGAATAGCAGTGTCAGGCCTGCTATGTTAACTGTTTTCTGCACATTGACCAAATGCAAATATAGGAAAGCAAATTGAGAAGGAGATCCTGTCTGCTTATCATTGTATCCTCCTTCCCCCAGTGCCTGCACAGGACTTGATATGTGGTGGTTTCTAATAATGGCTCCTTGCGTTGTACAGATTCCCATGGATACTCAGCTCCTCCCTGTGTCTGTGCTGCCTGTAAAGCGAGTGCCTCTGTGCTTGCAAGTTTCTCTGAGTTAGCCCAAAGTGGCTGTTCTTTCAAATTCTGATGAATTATGACTGCTTATTTTAGACATCTCAGTGTAGCTTCATGAACCCCTACTATGAATTCTCAGTAACTTTTCTCTGCTAAAAAGCCTTCATTTGAAATGCTGAGGCCTGCTCTTTGTGTCTCCGGTGGAAATATTGGTTCTTTATTTCCAGAGCCCCAGACACCCTGTCTCAGACTCACTTATACATCAGTGAGCTTTGACTAAAAGTGGAACAGTTTCCTGCACCTGACCCCAGTGTCTGGGTCACATGGGGACCATCATGTTGGGGTTACACCTTCCTTTGCTCTCATGGGCAGGGCTGACTGAATGGTCTGCGCAGTATGCATTTGTGAGAAGCACATTGCAGGGGGCTCTGTGTAGAGGAACAGTTCTGAGAATGAGCAAACTGGTGCTACCATGAGCTGTCTAAACCCCAAGTTTTTGTTTTTGTTTTTTTGAGACAGAGTCTTGCTCTGTCACCCAGGCTGGAGTGCAGTGGTGCAATCTCGGCTCACTGCAACCTCCACCTCCCAGGCTAAAGCGATTCTCATGCCTCAGCCTCCCCAGTAGCTGGGATTACAGGTGCACACCACTGTACCCAGCTAATTTTTTCTATTTTTAGTAAAGACAGGGTTTCACTGTGTTGGCCAGGCTGGTCTCAAACTCCTGGCCTCAAGTGATCCCCCTGCCTCAGCCTCCCAAAGTGTTGAGATTACAGGTGTGAGCCACTGTGCCTGGCCATAAAATCCAAGTTCTTTTTATTCTTAGTTACTGTGACAGACCGAGTTAAAGAAAACAAAAGGAACTCACCTCGCCTTTGTCTGGCTGGTTCCCTCAGTTCTCAAGTGAAGTGAAAATTATTTTCCTGCCTGCAGCTTTGCATAGTTATTTTCCCATTGCTTACTTTAATGTAATGGCCAGCAATGTTCTTTTCTATAGTTAGGAAAAGCAGATTTTCTGAAACCAGAAGCACTAGTTCTGATGTCAGACAGTCAGTGTTCAAATCCTGGGTTCTGTCACTCCCTAGCTTATATGATGCTGGGCAAGTGAGCATAGCCACTTTCTTCCTCAGTTTCCTCATCTGTAAAACAGAGACAATAAATAGTTACTACCTCAAAGGGTTGTTATGGGGATCAATTGAAATGATACAACTACAACATGCACTAAATAAATTTAAAGCAAAACTGGCATATGGTAAGCCTTGAAGAAAAGTTAGTAATATTGCCATTGTTGTTAAGTTTCAGGATATAAAAATCCATTTTTTTTTTCCTTCTGCCACCCAGGCTGGAGTGCAGTGGGGCGATTTTGGCTCACTACAACCTCTGCCTCCTGGATTCAAGCAATTCTCCTGCCTCAGACTCCCAAGTAGCTAGGATTACAGGCATGCATCACCACGCCCAGCTAATTTTTGTATTTTTAGTAGAGACAGGGTTTTGGCTTGTTGGCTAGGCTGGTCTCAAACTCCTGACCTCAAGTGATCTGCTCACCTCAGCCTCCCAAAGTGCTGGGATTACAGGCATGGGCCACTGCACTGGGCCTAAAAATCTATTCTTTTTGGTGGTTCACACTGATTTGAGTAAATAAAATTTCTTACTCTCTACCCCATATGCCTTTACACGTTTATTTATTTAAAAATGAAAAACTGAAGATAATTGTTTGAAAGAAGTTCCAGTGTGGTAGGTGGAAACCTGTCCACCTTAAAATAAGCCACAGTACGGGCGCCTGTAGTCCCAGCTACTCGGGAGGCTGAGGCAGGAGAATGGCGTGAACCCGGGAGGCAGAGCTTGCAGTGAGCCGAGATCCCGCCACTGCACTCCAGCCTGGGCGACAGAGCGAGACTCTGTCTCAAAAAAAAAAAAAAAAAAAAAATAAGCCACAGTACTTTGGAATCTGGCAGCCTGGGGCTTCCCCTGTGACTCTCCCTGCCTTTGTGAGCTGAGGAACCACTGACTGGGCTGTTGGTTCTCTGGGGAGAAAGGGAATGATTTCTCCTCCCCTCCTCTGGCATGGAGATCCCTCCACAGTCTTTCCCCAGCTTGTCTCTCCAGGTGGAGGCTGGAACATGCCTCCTACCTCACCAGACTCATAACATTCTGCTTCCCGTCCCCTTCCTTAGCCTCCTTCTGGCTGTCTGTCATGCTCCTCTGAGAGCCCGTGTCCTTGCTCTTAGAACTCCAGTGAGCAGCTCTCTCTCCCTACTGCTTCGGTAGCCCACGGCCCTTCTTGCTTGTGCAATAAATAATTAGTGTGTATCTCTTCTTGTGAAATCCATGGTTTTCCTGTATCCTTTCTGGCCACTGCTTGTCTCCTTCCAGGGCTGCCCTTTCTCTGCCCGCCTCTCACATGTGCGTGTTCCTCAGGGTTCTTTCGTGGGGTCTCTTTTCTCACTCTGTGCTTGCCTTAGAAGACATCATCCGTTCCAGTGGCTTCAGTTAACTTCTGTGTGCAGATGACTTTCCCAGTCTTTGTTTCCCAGCCTGATATCTATTCTGAGGTCTGAGTTCTCACAGGTATCTCAAATTCAAATGTCTGAAAAGAATCTCAAGATGTCCCCCACCCCTGTAATCTCTAGTTCAGTAATTGGTACCATGGTCTACCCAGTTGCTTGTGCCAGGAACCTGAGAGTCTGTCTCAACTTATCCCTCTCTTCACCCTCTCTTGTCTGGACTCTCAACAGGTTCTATTGGTTCCACCTTCTAAATATATCTCAGTCCTGCTCTTTCTCCTCCCATCTGTGCCACCACCATGATCCAAACCACCATTACCTCTTCTTGGGTGAATACAGCAGCCTCTGTATCAGTTAGGATTGGGTTATGCTATGTACCACACACAATCCCTAAGTAATAGTTTAAACAAGATAAAGTTTCTTCTTTTTCTCAGTGTGGAAAAACCAAACCAAAAACTGGAAGTGGGCTGTCTAGAACTGCTATGGTGGATACAATCCAGGGATCCTGGATCCTGTCTTTCCTCTCCATAGTCCTAGCTTATCTTTTGTTTTTGCCAAAGATGGCTCCAGCCATCTTGTCTGAATTGCAAGCTGGAGGAAGGAAGAAAGACAGAAAAGCAAGAAGGGACATCTCCCACCAGAGTCAGATCCCTTTAGCAGCTTTGCCTTATGTTCCATACAAGACTTCTGCCAATATCTCATTGACCAGAACTTAGCCACATGGCTATACCTAGTAGCAAAGGGAGGCTGAGAAGTGCAGTCTTTTATTCTGAGTACCAAGGTACCACCTAAAAATCAGGGTTCCATTATTAGTGGGAAATGGATGTCATAAGCAGACAGCTAGCAATTTCTGCCGCATCCTAATGGGCTCCTCTTTCCACTCTTGCTCCTCTCCAGTCTGTTGTACCCAATGGCTGAGTGATCTTTTAAAAACACAAATACGATCATGTATCTCTCCTGCCTAAAACCCTACAAGAAATTATTATCCCAATTTTAATCTCAAAAGTCCTCAACATGGCCTATGGGACACTGTGTGGTCCAGCAGCCTGCCAGCCTGTCCACATTGATCTGCAATTCTTTCTCCTCACTCCCCACCCCCCAGCCCACCTGTTTTTCAGTTCCTCGAAGGTACCACCTCCTTCCCATGTTGAAGCATGTACATTACCTATGTCCTTTCTCTAGAACCCGTGTATCCCCTCCCTTGAATGGCTAACTTCTCCCCCTCTTTCAGGTTTCAGCTTAACTATTACTTCCTTGGTATATTTGCTGTGATCTTCCAGATTAGATTAGATTTCCCTGTATAATGTCATTCTGCACTTTTACTTTGTACCACCTATCTCTATTTTATTTTAATACATTATTAATACAATTAGTTTTTCAGTCTCTTTCTCTCATTCTCATTTATAAGCTTCACAAAGCAGGTGAAGGCATCACTTAACCCAGTACTCATCCTCCTTCAGAGGGTTGTTATGGGGATCAGTTGAAATGATACATCTACAACATGCACTAAATAAATTTAAAGCAAAACTGGCATATGGTAAACCTTGAAGAAAAGTTAGTAATATTGCCATGGTTGTTAAGTTTCAAAATATAAAAATCCATTCTTTTTGGCCAGGCATGGTGGCTCATGCCTGTAATCCCAGCACTTTGGGAGGCCGAGGCGGGTGGATCACGAGGTCAGGAGTTCGAGACCACCCTGGCCAGTGTGGTGAAACCTCATTTCTACTAATAAAATACAAAAATTAGACAGGTGTGGTGGTGCGTGCCTGTAGTCCCAGCTACTCGGGACGCTGAGGCAGGAGAATTGCTTGAATCTGGGAGGCGGAGGTTGTAGTGAGCTGAGATCGTGCCTCTGCACTCCAGCCTGGGTAACAGAGTGAGACTTTGTCTCAAAAAAAAAAAAAAAAAAAAAAAAAAAAAGAAAGAAAATCCTTTCTGTAGCCCAGACTGGAGTGCAGTGGTTGTTGAGTGATTGAATGGAATCCAGGTTCAAGGAAAATATGATAGATTTGTTTTGTGTCATGTGAAAGAGATGTAAATGAAAGAGATAAGGAGAGATGTTTGCCTGGGTAGTTTAGAGATACAGATTTAAGACGCAAGTGAGAAGTTGGGGTTAGAGAAGTAAATTTGGAATCATTGGATCTGGTTCATTTAATGCTGTTTATCCTAAAAGGAGGTGGCTTCCTGAGAGGACATGCTGTGGGCTTTGAAGCCAGGCAGATCTGCTCTGAATCTGGATCTGTCATTACCAGCTATGAAATTGGGCAGTTGATGAAACTTTCTAAGTCTCAGTTTCTTCACCTGTAAAAGGAGAAAATACCTGCCCTGCCAGGCCATTTGTATTTAAGCCTCTGGCCGATAGAATATTAGAAACCTTTCTGTCCATTGGCTTCAAAGATGCTTTAAGAATGAAAACATTTCTACCTTAAAAACAGAGACAATGGAAAACATTACTTTCTTTATCATCTCCTTGGTACCTTTGAATATACATTTTGCACAGTGAAAATCAAGACTGGCTTCTGGGATTAGAAACAGAAGGGCTCTGTGGCCTTTTTTAGTTTAGTTTTTTCTTTTTTCTTAAATTTAAATATACTTCTATTGTGTGAAGGAGAGAAAAAAATATATTTTTTCCCCTTGCCTATCTTAGTTTTTCCAGCTGGGGCCTTTTAAATTAGACCACCAAAAGAGAGATTAACAGGAGAAAAGCATAGAATTTTTATTTAGTAATTTTTACATGTACGTGGGAGCCTTCACCAGGAAAATAAAGACCCAGGGAAGTTGTAAGGGTTGAAAGCTTATATATTATGTTGGACAAAGAGTAGTAAATTGGTAAATTGTAAAGATATGACAGGGAAAAGGAGTTGGGGCTATTTTGAGAGCTTCTAGCTAATGGGATTCCAGTACCAGGTTGGCTAGCAACCCTGTCCTGATGGGAAATGCAGGGTAGCTGGACATGAATGTCTACAGTGTCCCTTTCCTGGGGTACTTCTTTAGCCTGGAGGATGGTTTTATGCCTAGTTAGCCCACCTGGAACCTGGGGACTCCCTCACATGGGGAACTTGTTTATCTTATTTATCTGGCAGCCACTGTTGTGGCTCTTGTCTGACCCATGTCCAGCTTACACCTGCCTGACCATCGCCCTGGCGCCGGGAGCCTGACTTGATATTCCCCCCAGGATCCCTGGGAAAGCATGGCCTGAGGCAGCTGCAGCCACTGGTTCTTCAGATGAAAAGTGGAAACTCAATACATCACCAGGTAGGAAATGAGTTCAGAGATTTTTACTTACAGATCTTGGACAGGAAGGGCGGAATGGGCTGGGAGGGCAGTCCTCCATCTCCGGGTTGCATGAGGCAGGAATGGAGTCAGGCAGAGAGAGAAAATGCATGTGGGAATTGGCAGTATATATAAGGGGTAGGGTGTGGGGTCACTTTGAGTTCCTGGGCAAAGGCCTAAATGGTGCTTTTAAGGGAAGCTTCGATAAAGTGGGGAACCCTGTCTGCTAGATAGGAGAGATGCCTTTAAATTCTTATCTCTGGCTGCTGGCCTGAGCCATTTGGGTGTGGTGTGGAACTAGAACTATCAAGGGTGACTGAGCCCTGCTTTGGGTATGAAAAAGTTGAATCTATTCAAAATGGATGCTGAGGCAACATGAAAGTATAAGAATTCACTTCAGGACTAGGACAGTTAATTGTGGAAAAGTAGCAAGATAAGGACTAGTATAACAAGGTTTGTACAGCTTTCCCTCAGCCTCAGCTCCCCATCTCTGGTGATAAGAATGAATGTCTTTCGTCCTCCTGGTATAAGGAGGGCACCTTTTTCATGGGAGTTAATCTCATGCTTTCAAGAAGAACAAGGAAGGTCACAGTGCCCTTCTTGCATGTGCTGTTTTTTTTAAGTGCCTTTAACTCAATCCATATGCCGAAGTAGCATATTTTTGGGTGCTTACCATGTGCCAAACATGGTCTTATATGCTTTTTAAGTATTAACTTTAATCCTGTGAACTGTTTGAGGCAGATACAGTTACTATTCCCATTTTACAGATGATGAAACTAAAGAACAGAGAGGTTGAGTACTTTGCCCAAGGTTGCAGAGTGAGCATGTGGCAGAGCTGGGACCCCAGCCCATGCAGCCTGATTCCCAGAGCTCTGAACCATTGTACTGCACTGCCTCTGGATAGCTTTGTGATATTTTTTGGGCTACCAAATTGTGTGTTTATAGAAGGATCAAACATATATTAATCTTTATATTCACCGGAATATGACTTAGCCGTCAAGACAGCCTGACAAACCGGCAAAATATGTCTTTGTAACATTACTCTTGTGCTTTGAAGAGGAATTTTTGACCAAAGATGCTCCCTGCTATCGTGTGTTAAATGCTGTGAGTTACCAGAGATCAATTGTTCCTAACGTAAAAAGGAAGTGCTAATCTAGTCACTGGCTGGCTCAGTATTGGTTTCATACTGTAAGATAGAACTAAAATAACAGCCTCGAAGGGTAAAAATAGTGGAGTCACATGAAGCATCAACCGTCATTTTAAAAACAGAATTGTAAGACCCATGAGGAAAGGTTAATTTCTTTTTCTGTTTGAAAAGAGTGGATGTTGGTAGACACTGGTCGTTTCTATTACGGCCTCCTGTAATTTTAGAAAACCGATATTTGTCATGACCTGAGGAAACATCTCATTCATGGCTTTTATAAGACATAGTCAAATTCAGCATCAACTCTCAGAAGATCTTTCTTGGAGTCTAGAAGGTAGGTGTGAGGATCGTTTCTTAATCAAAACTAGTGGCTCTCGCTTTTAGGTTTCCTAAGGGCTAGTATGCTTTTCAAAAATAATATTAGTAGCTAAATTGATCAAGCACTTAAACTGTTTGTCAGCGTTCTTCCAAAAGCTTTACATGAATTGACTCTTCGAATTCTTACTGCAATCATATGAAGTTCTGGTGCTATTATTCATCCCATTTAATAGCTAATGAAGTGTAGGCACAGAGAGGTTAAGTAACTTGTTCAAGGAGATACAGTGAGTAAGTAGCAGAGCTGAGATTCAAACTCAGACAGTTGGGCTTCAGACTTTTTGCTTTTAAGCAGTAAGCTCTATTATAGAGGCCTGCTGGTTCTTAGCCCAGGGAGATCTAAGACGTGTAAACCAGAATGCCTGCCCACACTGAGTAGGGATCTTCCCCACTCAGTCTACTAACTTGCATGCCAGTCTCCTCTGGAAACACCATCACAGACACAATCAGAAGGAAAGCTTTACCAGCTCTCTAGGCAGTCCTTCTTCCAGTCAAGTTGATACCTAAAGTTAACCATCACACCTTCCAAGACTGGTTGCTGCATAGGTGCTATAATGTGGTATCTCTGTACCACCAGAAGGGAGGTGAGGCGGGGGTAAGGAAGAGAAAAGCAGACAGATAAAGCTTCTGTTGCAGGTGCTGGTGGGCACTCAGTGAGTGGCGTGGCTATTGGACAGTGGGGATTCTGTATTTTGCACTGTGGGGGCATCTCTCAGAATGGCCAGATATTCTGCAACAGGGATGAATGAGAGTTAGTTTCACTAGAGCAATTGAGAGTTAGTTGCATTAGCAAGAGCAAACTAAGAGGGAACAAATAGTTTAATTATGGCTCCTAGCTGTGATAGCCAGCAAAGAGTACAACATTGCAGCCTAGATTTCTGTATCTTACTCATTTGCCCTTGATCAATTTGTTTAACTCAGTGCCCCATTTACCCAACAGTAAATTGCAGATGCTAAATGACTCATTACTTTGGCAGAGTCACTGGTTCTGTAATTAATTATGGAGCACTTTAAGATTGATGAATGCAAGGAGCTGTGCACACACGACCTGTACGAGCAGTTGTATAAACATCGGGATTGTTGTTGTTTCTAAGGCTTGCTTCCTGTTCTGAGCCCAGTGTGCACTTTACCACAAAGGACAGCAAAAGCTTTATTAGTAGCAATTAAGAAATGTGCCATCTCTGCTTTTACTGGTTTATGATGGGCTCTTTTTCTATTCTCAAAAAAAAAGTTTGTAAGTAGATTCAGTTACAACTTTGATCAGGCTTTAAAAAATATTTGAGAAGTGTTTTTTAACCTTTTATCATAGAATATTTACAACTTACTGAACAGTAGACAGAATAGTACAGTGAACCCCGTGTACCCATTACCCAACCAAGTAACCCTAGTCACACTTCCTCCCACCTCATTATCTATAACAAATCCCTTCTACTCCCATTGTCTTGCAGAAACCACATCATTTCTTCTACAGATGGTTCAGTATTCATCTGCAGAAGTCAGGGAGCCCCCAGCTTAAGCAGAATCTTAGTGCCATCACCACACTCTTAAATATCAACAGAACTTCCTTAATATCATCAAGCACTCAGTCAGTGGAAGAAATTGTTTTAAAAATAATTTTATCTACAGAATGTTCACAGTTGATGGGTTGTATTACAAAAGTTTGCTGTAAGTTGGTTATTTGCAACACCAGTTGAATGAATATTCCTGTAGAAACTGTAGTAAAAGCAGTGATTGGCCCGCATTAAACCCACAAAAACCCATGGAATACATAATGAAGCAATTCTGTGTATTTCTCTTTGAGTATTTTACTGAGGGGAGAGTTGATGGGCAATTCACCGTCTGCTACTAGAGACCTGGCTCCAAAATACATTTTCTCTTTCTTGTGGGTGTTATTATGGTGATTCCTTCTCCCTGTGCCCACTTCCTCACTCCCCCCAACTCTCATCATCTACTCATCAAACTTCCCATTAGAGAAGCGAGAGGAAGAAACTTTACCTGGTATGGCTGACTGTATTCATTGAAAACAAGGAGGGAATGTTTCTCTTTTAGGGGGTAGCAAAGGGTATAGGAAAGCTGCCATTATATGCAGTTTAGTATTTTAAAGACGTCTAGAAAACAAACTGCAATGTGATCTCTTTAACATTGAAGAGAACTAGAGAGATATATAGGGCTAAGTAGCAGCTGATTTAAAGACCAGGTTAATGTTCTGCTTTCGCAGTTCCCTAGCAAAGCTCAGTTCAGTTTTAAGTAATTTATATTTCCAGTCCATAATTGTGTGCATGCCTCTGTGCCCTCCACTAACATCAGATAAGCAGGGAGTGGGGCTCTTCTTTGTAGAAGAACTGGCTAGATATAGGCAGGGTAGAGGCAAAGTTTCCAAGAGGCTGTGAGCCTTTCGATGCACCTTTCCAGAAATCCAGCCCCAGGGGAAGGCTTTAGGAGAATTGCCACAGGGTTTCCCACCCTCAGGGCTGTCATTGCTCTGGGTTATCACTTCATCAATCCATTGGTCATGGTTGGGATACCAGGAGGTGGGGTGGGAATGGTGTTCCCCCTTGGGCTGCAGTGGTAGGTTTTGTTCCACAGATTTGGCCATTGCGTATTTGGATTACTTGCTGCCCCTGCCACCCACCATCTATCCCAGAAATTGCATTTTCTGTCTTGCCCTATTTGCCATCTGTAACTCTCACCCACCAGAAACTTACAAAGCTTATCTCTCCCAAGTTCCTCTTGATAAGAAATCATGTTTATGTGATTCTAGTTATTTCCACTTTCATAAAGATATAAAGTATCATTAAAAAAAAAACCCTAACACATGAAGTGCTTACTGGACAGCCTCAGAACACACACGCAGTCCTACTAGAGAAACAAAGTGCTACTAGTCAGTATTAACCATAGAAACCTAAGAACTGAAACCTAGGCTAAAGGGCCTTCCTTCTTTTTTGTTGCTAAGAAAAATAAAACAAAACAAAAACAAACAAAAAAACAGGCCAAAAGATGCTCACTAACATATCCAATGATAACCATCTCTCCCTTGACAGTAGTTACGTTTATCTCTGAAGATTGTAATGGGACAGTTACTCTGTCACTTGGGTATTACTATGTGCAGCAGTACACTTTGATGGAATAGAGAGGAGAGGAAGCAGAGTCTGGGATTATTTCCAGGAAGCAGGTCCTGGAGATTCCTGGCTTGCCTGTGCCCACCTGGTGTGGTATAGGTCTGAGAGAACTGCAGCAGAAGAAAGAAAAAAGATAGAAGATAAAAAATATGAGCAAAAACTCTTCTCGAAAACGGCGTAGTTAAGAAAAAGTGGTGGTGCTGGTTATGCTCTTCAGGAGGCTGAGGTGGGAGGATCGCTTGATCCCAGGAGTTCAGTCTGGGCAATGTAGCAAGAACCCTATCTCTTAAAAAAAAAAAAAATCAGAAAAAAAGGAAAAGAAAAAGTGGTGGCTACAACTGGATATTGTGAAATTAGACCTGAGAAAAGTCTAACTGCTCAGCAATTCCACTTAGTTGAGTCCTCTCCTATTTATTTATTCATTCATTCATTGACTTATTCAACAAAGTTATTGGGCACCTGCTAGGTGCCAGGTTGCCAGGTGCCAGGCTCTGCTGCAGGTGCTGGAGAGGGAGTAGCTGTGCCTTTGCTGAGCTTCCAGTTGGTGACCTTTATTAGACCTGCCTTGAAGAAGGGGTGATAAAGAGAAGGCTAGGACCAAGCAGCAGCCTTGGTAGGAGGTGTTGAATTTATTTTATTTATTACTCATTTTCATTTAAGACTGAGTGAATCAAATGGATGGGTGAGTTCTTTCTAAGTTGGAATAAATACTAGGGCAGAGCCTTCATTTAAATGAGAGCTGATCAATTACCTACTTCTGGCCCATTATAAACCAGAGTTATTTTGCTTAATCTTTCTACTCATTTTTTTTTCTTTTACCATTGTTGTTATTGCAGTTTTAAGCTTATGATTTAGAACATTAAATTATTACCAAAGAATTTTATAGTTTCCAAGTATCCCCAGACTTCAGGGTTTCCGAGAGCAGGGGCCATATTTTTTTCAGCATTATACAGGTATGCTCCAATGACTGCACGTATTTAAATTGCATTATTTGATGAGTTTTCACATTAGGTATACATCCATGAAACCGTCACTACAACAACTGAAACACTGAGTATGCCCATAACCCCTAAAAGTTTTCTCATGCCACTTTATCTTCATACCTCCCTCTTCATGCCCACCATCCCTAGGTAATCGCTGATCTAATTTTTGACATGATAGATTAGTTTGCATGTTCTAGAATTCTAGAATAAACAAACTTATATAGCAGGTACTCTTTTTTAGACTAGCTTCTATCACCCAGCATATTATTTTGACATATATTAATTTGGTTATAACAATATTGCATTTCTATTACTGTGAAGTACTCCATTGTATGGCTATACCACAATTTGTTTCCCCTGTTGATGGATGTTTGGGTTGTTTCCAGTTTTGGGCTATTATAAATAAAGCCACTATGAAAGTTTTTGTGTTAGTCTTTGTGTGGACATATGCTTCCATGCCTTTTGTGCTTAGTGCATTATCTAGCATGTAGTATATACTGAGCAAATATTGTCCTGAGTGGTTGTTAGACTTCACCTGCATATCTTTTATGGTCTTAGTCTGTCACCCAGGCTGGAGTGCAGTAGTGCCATCATAGCTCACTGCAGCCTTGAACTGAGTTCAAGCAATCCTCCTGCCTCAACCTCCCGAGTAGCTGGGACTGCAGGTGCACACCACCACACCTGGGTAATTTTTAAATTTTTTTTGTAGAAACAGAGTCTTGCTATGTTGCCCAAGGTGGTCAACATAGCAAGTGTTATGTTGCTGGGATTACAGGCATGAGCCACTGTGCCCTGCATTGCCTACATTTCCATGGTAATTGATAAATAAGACCAAATTACTTTTAAAAATAGTTATTTAAAATATTATTCTGTTTTAAGAGAAAGAATGGTTCTGCTATTATCCTATTTCCCTAGTTTGTTCTGTGATATTTTATGCATTATAGTCAAACTTAACTGTCTACTCCTATATTTATTGAGTTCCTGGAATATTTACTGAATTCATCCTTAAGGAGAAAGTGAAAAACTATTGGTATGTTACCTAATGAAACAATGTAAATGCCAGTGAAATATTTAAAAGATCTGTATTAAATATTTTTTTATTGAACTGTATAAGAAAATTAGAGAGTATATAATATTAAAAGTTAAGGCTGTTTATATGGGAAAAAAGTTTAAAGGCTGAAAAATTGTATAAATCTTATATTTAAAGGCAAAAACAAACCAAATAACTGACAGTAAGTGATTGTGAGGGTCCAGATAAATTATGCTATGTGCCTGTGAGCATCTCACAATTAATCCTGAAAATAATCTAGGAGATAGGTTATGTTAATCTAATAATTTTAAGATCCCCATTTACAGATAAGGAAATAGAGACTAGAAGAGGTTATTTAATTTGCATGGGGCCACAGAGCTGGCATTTAAGCACAGCTTGCTGGTCACTGAAGCCTGGGTGCTCAATCATTATGTCATATTGACTCTGCTGTGTTAAAACATTGAGACAATACTGAAAATATTGTGGCATGTTCAATAAATTTTTTAAAAAGTCCCCTAGCAGCATAGTCAATTGCTGTGTATATTATTCACATACATGTCTCTGAAAGTCAGTCAACTTTACAAGTTCTTCATCAGTTTTAAACTTTCCTAATAACTTCTGATTTTATATTTAGGGTAACATTTTTGTAGTTTTCCCATCATTTACATTTGCCAGCCTGTTTCTAGTCACTTCTTATTAGTCTCAGGAGACAGCAATATCCAGTCTTTTTTCCTTTAACAATCAAATCACCATTGTCTCTTGCACTTGAGGCTCTTTGGCACTCTGGATCCAGTTGTGATCCACAGATAATGCTCTATGATTATCTTTCTATTTCTTGCCTCAAATTTTAAATAACTTTGGGAACTTTGATT
This sequence comes from Homo sapiens, assembly GCF_000001405.40. Lineage (NCBI taxonomy): Eukaryota > Metazoa > Chordata > Mammalia > Primates > Hominidae > Homo > Homo sapiens. Next base: position 48,190,579 of record NC_000004.12, on the reverse strand, counting down.
CGTCTTGCTAGGGCGTCAAAATGCTGTCCATGACTTATTTCCTACCTCGATTATAAATGCTTTGTAGGTAGGAAATCTATCCCATATTTCTTTGGTTCTTGCTAAAGAGGTTTCTGACATCACATTGGTCTGAAATCCTGGAGTCAGAGAAATTTGCCTCTCAGTAAAATTCCAAGTGAACCTGGGAAGATCATTTTAGCAGACACATGGAGAGTAAGAGGGTTTTGCTAATGTGTAATGATAAATTGAAATTTGTTGTAGAGAGTGCCTCTGTGGGCTTCTGTTTCTTTAGAAATTGGCTCCATGAAGGCTTAAACTTTAGGTGTGGCAGTTAGTAGAGTTAATTTAGGTTTTTAAATGGGAAAATTCATAGTTATAATCTGATAAATACTCACCTGGCATTTCAGACAGTATTGAACAAGTCTCCAGTCAGCATACATACTCACTAGAATTGCAGGAAAAGTACTTAAGACAAATGAAGTATTTACATGTTATTGCTTTCAAATCTAAATATTAATGTTTGTGGTGGTAGTTAGCACCCTACTTCCCATGATGCTTAGCTCCGAGTGCTAAACAGATGGTAGATATTTCATATACTAGATATGGCCAGGGACTGTTGTCCCTCACAGATCTGCAAAGTGGGAGTCCTTTCTGTTGCTGTCACCTAGTGTCAGTTTCCCACAGGTGTTTTTGCTCTTGCTATTTTTGGAGAGGTAACATGGTATAGTGGTCATTGGAAGGCTTAAACAAGTTGATATGCGTAAACCATAGGACAGCACCAGGCACACAGTGCTATTATAAATCTTACCTATTATTCTTTATTATTTGAATATGGGTTAAATCAGATACTATGATTTAGTATATTTCCATTCACCACATGGAATCTGATCATTTTGCATCTTTGCTGCCAGATTCAGATCCCAAATGCCAACACTGAGTTTCACGTAAATTCTTATTTCCTAGTGAGACATTTCCCCATGCACCATTCTAGGCTGAAAATGTGTCCAGGTGGGAGATCTATCTCCAGAAGCCAAATGTTGCCATAAAAATCCATTGTCTATTTCTGCATTTTCTGTATCTTTTCAGTAAAATGTATTGAAACCTCGGGGGTGGGAATAAGTAGGCATTTTGGATTTGTCTGGAAATGCTTACGTCTCAGGAGAGGTGGCTGAGAGTTAGTGTGTGTAACCTTTATGGGGTTTTACCTGAACATATCCCTGTAGATTGAATCTTGTTATGTGTAAGTCAGTGTTCTCAGGGTGCTCTTCACACATGTGTTGGGAGCGTGTTAGGCAGGCCTGGTGGTCAAGGAATACAGGTACAAAATAACAAATGTCAAGGAATGTTAGAATTCAAAATAAAGAGATAATTTCAGCCAGTGTTGCCCAAACTTCAGCCGTTACATATACTACTTAGATGAATTTGCCATATATGTGCCATCTGTAAAGCACTATTTATCTAATGTTTTCCTTTAAATAATTTAATGTTTTTTTCCTTAGACACAATTATTTGAAAAGGAAACTGTATCAGTCAGTAAATGAAAAACCATGAATAAAAGGTAATCATAAAACTATATACAGTAATTACAAATGTTTATCCAAGTTCCACCTAAAACCACCTCAGCTTGAGATATTTAACTGATCTTTTTCCTGGCAATTCATGCGTGTGTGCGCGCATATGCATGGGCGCGCACACACACACACACATGCACACACACACCTTGTTATATTGCTGTGTACTTTCCATCAAGCATCATCATAAGAAAACATTTTCTTTAAAGTTTTAGTACTATTAAAAAGAATTCCTTTTAGTCCTGCATGTATTGACCTGAGATGTCTATGGTATATAAAAGTGAAAAAAATGCAACACACTCCCAAATATAAATGAAAGTACTTGTATAAGTATGTGAATGCACACATACGCGTGCATGTTTATGTCTGTGTATATGTATGTATAGCATACATACATACATATGCTTGTATGAGTATTCTAAATACTCATACAGTGTAGAGAGAACACTTGAATTGTTAAATTACTTTTGAGAGGTATTGGAATGACTGGGAAGAAGGTTTGCTTCTTCTTGTTGGCAGTGAGCATGGAAAAAATTAAATAATGAAGATTATAAAGGAAAAAACCCTCAGAAACCACCAGAGCACTCTTTGGGAAACACTGATTTAGTTCAGCATGTCTCTTTATCAATAAAAAATCTGAGGCATTGAGTAGCTGAGGTGTGGAGTACTCTTAATCTAGAATATATTCTTTAAGATAGCTAACTGCTATAGCTTACAATACCCTGAAACTCCTGCCTTACCACAATAGAAAGTTTCTTTCTTCCTTACATTATATATAACTGCCTTCTACATGGTGTTTCAGGGACCCAGACCTCTTCCATTTAATGGCTTCATTGTTTTTCAGTCCCCACAATCTTTCAGTGGATCTTTTGAGTCCAGTAGGGCGACAAGGAAGGGGATGGAACAGGAAGGATAGTGTGAAAGGTTTTAGAGGATGGGAAGTAATGTTATGTCACTTCTTTCCATGCCCCCCTTGGCTAGAACTCAGTCTTATGGCCTCACTTAAGTGCATGGCAGATAAGGAAGTGCAATCTAGCTGAGCCAACTCCCCAGAAAGGGGAGGAAAAATGTGGCAATCAGAGATCGCTAGCATAGTCCTTGCTCCAAGGGAATTTGTAATCTTTGGATTGAATTTATTAATTTTGGCATTCCTTGAATTCAGAAGTCTATTACATGAAACTTAGGCAGTAAGAGATCTGTATACATTTATTTTTACACAATGTATTGTAATTCCTACTAATGTTAAGAATTAAACCATTTAAATCACTTTTAGACTTAATTCAAAACACATAGGTTAGTAAGTTTTGCTTTCAACCGTAATAAAACACATCTGGTGATAGGTTTTAGCTCTGGGGCCACAAAGGAGAGTTGTGAAGAGGGTTGCCAGGAGGTATGGAAAAGTCTTAAGTGGTCATAAGATCACTTAGGGGGAGAAAACAACACTTGAATTTTAAATACAGTGAAAATATGTCTTCAGAAACTATAATTGCCTACATCAACACGATCTTATATGAAGATTCTGTGATTTTGGAAATGAAATTTTTGCCTTCATATTTCTTTTTTTTTTTTTTTTTAGTATTTATTGATCATTCTTGGGTGTTTCTCAGAGAGGGGGATTTGGCAGGGTAATAGGACAATAGTGGAGGGAAGGTCAGCAGATAAACATGTGAACAAGGGTCTCTGGTTTTCCTAGACAGAGGACCCTGCGGCCTTCCGCAATGTTTGTGTCCCTGGGTACTTGAGATTAGGGAGTGGTGATGACTCTTAACGAGCATGCTGCCTTCAAGCATCTGTTTAACAAAGCACATCTTGCACCGCCCTTAATCCATTTAACCCTGAGTGGACACAGCACATGTTTCAGAGAGCACCGGGTTGGGGGTAAGGTTATAGATTAACAGCATCCCAAGGCAGAAGAATTTTTCTTAGTACAGAACAAAATGGAGTCTCCCAGGTCTACTTCTTTCTACACAGACACAGTAACAATCTGATCTCTCTTTCTTTTCCCCACATTTCCCCCTTTTCTATTCGACAAAAACGCCATTGTCATCATGGCCCGTTCTCAATGAGCTGTTGGGTACACCTCCCAGATGGGGTGGCGGCCACGCAGAGGGGCTCCTCACTTCCCAGACGGGGCGGCCGGGCAGAGGCGCCCCCCACCTCCCAGACGGGGCAGTGGGTGGGCGGAGGCGCCCCCCAACCTCCCTCCCAGATGGGGCGGCTGGCAGGGCGGGGGCTGACCCCCCACCTCCCTCCCGGACGGGGCGGCTGACCGGGCGGGGGCTGCCCCCCACCTCCTGGACGGGGCGGCTGCCGGGCGGAGGGGCTCCTCACTTCGCAGACGGGGAGGCTGCCAGGCGCAGGGGCTCCTCACTTCCCAGACGGGGCGGCTGCTGGGCAGAGGGGCTCCTCACTTCTCAGACGGGGCGGCCGGGCGGAGACGCTCCTCACCTCCCAGACAGGGTGGCGGTCCGGCAGAGACACTCCTCAGTTCCCAGACGGGGTCGGCCAGGCAGAGGCGCTCCTCACATCCCAGACGGGGCGGCGGGGCAGAGGCGCTCCCCACATCTCAGACGATGGGCGGCCAGGCAGAGACACTCCTCACTTCCTAGACGGGATGGCGGCCGGGAAGAGGCGCTCCTCACTTCCCAGACTGGGCGGCTGGTCAGAGGGGCTCCTCACATCCCAGACGATGGGTGGCCAGGCAGAGACGCTCCTCACTTCCCAGACGGGGTGGCGGCCAGGCAGAGGCTGCAATCTCGGCACTTTGGGAGGCCAAGGCAGGCGGCTGGGAGGTGGAGGTTGTAACGAGCCGAGATCACGCCACTGCACTCCAGCCTGGGCAACGTTGAGCACCTAGTGAGCGAGACTCCGTCTGCAATCCCGGCACCTCGGGAGGCCGAGGCAGGCAGATCACTCACGGTCAGGAGCTGGAGACCAGCCCGGCCAACATGGCGAAACCCTGTCTCCACCAAAAAATGCAAAAACCAGTCAGGTGTGGCGGCGCGCGCCTGCAATCCCAGGCACTCCGCAGGCTGAGGCAGGAGAATCTGGCAGGGAGGTTGCAGTGAGCCGAGATGGCGGCAGTACAGTCCAGCCTCGGCTTTCACAACTTTGGTGGCATCAGAGGGAGACCGGTGAGAGGGAGAGGGAGACGGGAGAGGGAGAGGGAGAGGGAGATGGGAGAGGGGGAGGGGGAGGGAGATGGGAGAGGGGGAGGGGGAGGGAGAGGGAGAGCCTTCATATTTCTTATAGAGATTTTCCTCTTCCTGTTTATATTCTGGATATTACTTTAAAAACTATAATCTTTAAAATTATGCCATGCTTATGTATATATTATGCCATGCTTATATATATATTACTGGTTTCTTAATATGTTTCTTTTTCTCCTTAGTGTAAAAACACTTTATAAAATATAAATCACCCATATAAGTTACTATTATAAGCTAGTTTAAAGGGAGGAAAAAATAATGAGATACCAAGTAATGGAATGCCAAGTTTTTGTTAGAATTTTGTCCTTGGTAAAGAGGCAGCAGTTTCTCATAGAATCATCAAATTGGAAGTGCCTCTAAATTCTATTCATTTGACTTCTCTTAGAAAGCTCTATGTAAAAAATTATTCCCAGTATTCACAAGAAAAATGTCAAATCCATCCTTTTTTTCGTTTCTCTTAATTAATGTGTTCTGCTGTACTTAAGACCCATTCTTCTAAATCTGTTCTGAGTGGAAAGGGAAAAGACTACATGTATGAATAGAATAGGCCTTTTAGGGTCATTTGGTGTTTTTAGTAGAATATGTCATTCATTTTCTTTTCTGTTAAACAGTTGACTGGAACTCTTTAGTCTTTCACTATTGACTCACCCGAACTTTCATTGTAAATATGATCATTTGTCTCTGTAACCCTAGAAGATGTTGGGTTTTTGTACATTCCATAAGGGCAACGGATTGTGTGTGTGTGTGTTTTCAAGTCTCTATTATGGTACTTTGATATCTGTGCTTTGCAGATGGTAAAAGGACACAGCAGTCAATATTTAATGAACATGGCTGAAGGACTAAACCAAGTTCACAAACTAAATACAAATTGTCGTGAGGGAATGCAATGAATGTTAGCCACAGGTTTAGTGCTATGCATGTGTTGAAGACCGCAAGTTCTAAATTTTGTCTTCTTAATTTGATGAAATATTTTATCCCTCAATAATATTTAATGTGTGTGTGTGTGTGTGTGTGTGTGTGTGTGTGTGTATTTTTTTTGTCTGCCTGGTCCTTTGTTGCTAAACATGCCATTTCAGCAGTCTGCTTTGGGTTTGTGTTTGAGATCTGTTTTAATTGTTGTGGCCTGTTGAGAAAGAACACAGACAGACTGAACACAAAACAATTCAGTGGTGCAAAATGAGGCCTAATGATAGGATAGCAATATATGTACAAACAGAGGTTCTTTATAATTGAATTGAGAAAAGAGGTGGGAGAGGGTGTCATGTGGCACACAGTAATATAAGCATGTGGATGGCAAGAGAACTACTTACGGAGAGATTCAATTCCAGCCAACACCCCATCTGTCACATCCAAGTAATGTTAATTTCACTTTATTTGCTGTATAGTTTTGTTTGTATTTAATTTGTGAACTTTCTTTGATTTTATAGTTGTATACAAGCTATAAGTTTAAGAAATTTCTACTGAATTTATGTTTGCACATAGTTAAATGATACCAAGTTACTTAGGTATAGGTGGCACTTACAAATTCAGGATTGGAATTAAAGTTCAAATCCTGGATTATTGTGTGACTTTGGGCAAGTTAATTATACTCTCTATGTATTGATTTCTCCATCTGCAAAATGGGGGTGACAGTAATTCTCATGTTATAATGCTGTGAGGATTCACTGAGATTATCCACATTAAGAGGCTAATGTATTGCTGGTTTATAGTAAGTGTTCTATAATTGTTAGCTATGGACATGATAATATTCTTTTTTTTAATAATAAAAGTCCATAACTATTCAAGCTTTACAGACCTGGAGTCAGGTAAAAGCATTACTGTTTTTGAGGGATTTTAGTTCAATTCTGGCTCAGCCTCTACAATCCTTAGCCAGTCTCATAGCCTCTCAGTGCTCAGTTTCCTGCAACTTCCTAGGGTTACTGTGAAAACTGACAGTATATGCTACTATTTGGGGAGTGAGTTTGTATTAATCAGGGTTCTCTAGAGAAACAGAACCAATAGGATACATATAGATGTATATGAGGAGATTTATTATGGAAATGGGCTCACGCAATAGATTATGGAGGCTGAGAAGTCCCACAATCTGCCATCTGCAATGTGGAGACACAGAAAAGCTAATTGTGTAATTCAGACCAAGTCCAAAGGCCTGAGAACCAGGAGTAGGGGAGGAGGCTGCTGGTGGAAGCCTTGGAGTCTGGAGAGCCAGGAGCACCAAAGTCTGAGAGCAGGAGAAGATGGACATCCCAGCTTTAAGAAAAGAGTTCGCTTTCCCTTTGCCTTTGTTTGTTCTATTTGCCCCCTCATCGGATTGGATGATGCCCATCTGCGATGGCAGAGGTGGATCTTCTTTACTCACTCAGCTGATTGAAATGCTAATCTCTTCCAGGAACACCTTCACAGACACCTGGAAATAACGTTTTACCAGCCGTCTGAGTATCCCTTAGCCTACTCAAGTTGACACATGAAATTAACCATCACAGAGTTCCATGTGTCAGACACTGTTAAGCACCTATGAACATTATCTTTAATCCTGCTGATAGCTTGGCAAAGAGAGCAGCATTGTCCTATTTCTACGGAGAAAGGAACTGAAGCACAGAGAGAAAACTGGGATTGCCCTAGGTCGTATGGCTTATAAGTGGCAAAGCAGAGGCTAGAAGTCAGGATCTGCTTGTCTCCAAAGCTCATGCTCCTTCTCTGAGGTCCTCTTGCAATGCAGACATGATTCACCCAGGAGATTTCCTCTGCCACAAGACCCTGGGAACAGCCACATCAGGAATAAAATTTGTGATGTGGGAAAGGGACGAATCATTTGGAATATTGGAGGGACACCCTGGCAAGCCTTTCCCTGTGTGTGGTGGGGACTCTGGATGCCTTGGGAAAAGGACAAGAGGGTGTCCTGAGATAAATGACTTCTCAGATCACCTGAGACCAGCCTGGTTATTTGTATACATTTTTTTCTCACTTAATTTCTTTAGATTAGGATGGATATTTGTATTATTAAAATACAGAGTATTCTGGAAATTAAAGGAAAACAGTGTACCTTGTAAGTCTTGCTGGGGGACAGAATCTCATCCATCTAACTCCGAGTTCTGCCATTCAGTTGATGTGTAGTTTAAAGCAAGTTATATTTCATCTTAATGCCTCATTTTCCCATATACGCTGGTTTACAATATATAAAATGGTCATTGCTTACTTCCATTTTCAAGCTTTGCAAAGTGTGCAAGAGAGGACACACACACACACACACACACACACACACACACAGAGTATTGCCCATGGTCCTTTGCATACTGGGTCAGCACACTGTTGAATTAGTATCCACTAAGTGTCAGGTGGTCTTCTTAGCTCGGCAGATTCATAGAGGATTCAAAGGTGAGTCAGGGAAAGTCTCAGCTTTATCATGATTTTCAGTCTAGTAAGCAGGGCAAAGGCTATAGAATAGAAAGGAAATATAACACAAAAAAAAGTAATGACCTTGGATATTTCCCCTTGGGCCACAATTTTTTTTTTTTTTTGAGATGGAGTCTCGCTCTGTCACCTAGGCTGGAGGGCAGTGGTGCGATCTTGGCTCACTGCAACCTCCACCTCCTGAGTTCAAGAGATTCTCATGCCTCAGCCTCCAGAGTAGCTGGGATTACAGGTATTTGCCACCAAGCCTGGGTAATTTTTTTGTATCTTTAGTAGAGATGGGGTTTTCCCATGTTGGGCAGGCTGGTCTCAAACTTCTGACCTCAAGTGATCTGCCTGCCTTGGCCTCCTAAAGTGCTGGGATTACAGGCATGAGCAACTCCACCCAGATGGGCCACAATATTAACAATAGCATATAGCATATGCCATGAATCATGAAGTATTTTCTTACTGAAGAAATTCTAAAGAATAGTCTAAATGGAGGAGAAACTGTGAGTTCCTTCTACGGTAACTGCTCAGAAATCATTTCCTAAAGCTTTTATTCCTAAAGGGCCCCACTGTGGAAAAGCTTTAAAAAGCTGGCATGTCAGGAGTTAAAGTGGGCTCGGGGAGAAAGTGCATGGGATAGCATGCCTCACTCAGTAACTCTCTGTTCCCTATGGTGAATCCTTTATCCCTTCCAATTCTTTTCTTTTTCTTTTTTCTTTTTTTTTTTTTTTGAGACAGAGTCTCACTCTGTTGCCCAGGCTGGAATGCAGTGGCACTATCTCGGCTCACTGCAACCTCTGCCTCCCAGGTTCAAGCTATTCTCCTGCCTCAGCCTCCCAGGTAGCTGGGACTACAGGTGCGCACCACCATGTCTGGCTAATTTTTGTATTTTTAGTAGAGATGGGGTTTCACCATGTTGGCCAGGCTGGTCTTGAACTCCTGACCTCATGATACACCCTCCTTGGCCTCTCAAAGTGCTGGGATTACAGGAGTGAACCACGGTGCCCAGCCCTTCCAATCCTTTTTTTCCGCAGCCCTGCCTAACCTCCCAGGGTTACCTTCAGATGTGGCTAGAATAAGCTGCCACTATATATACTGTATATGTGTTGTGAAAAGCAGAATTGTCTTTATAAAGATGGCGCTAAGCATTTCTGCAGCAGAATTGTCTTTATCTATAAAGACAGTGCTAAGCATTTCTGAGTTCTGGACCCATATTTTAACTTTCACCTGGTTGTTCAATTGTCACTCAAACATTTCCCAGCCCTGCCTCCTCGCACCTGATTGTCCTTCTGTGTTCCTTCTCATGATTCATGGTGTCCGTGTTTCCTGGTCACTCAAACTCAAAATCCGTTAGCCCCCCTCAGTCCTTCTCTACTCTTAATCCCCATATCTAAGTGGTCACAAAGTTTTGTGAACTCTGCCTTCTAAATTATCTGGTGTCTTTGCTTTTCTTACTTTACTGCCACTGACTTGGTTTAGAACTTCATCTCTCACCTGAACTATTACGGCAGTTGCCCAGCCAGCCTCCCTGTCAACACTCACTCTTCACCTGCCGTTAATCATTATATTTTTAAAAACACACCGCAGTACTGCACTCCTGATTCTCCATGTAAAACTGCTCAGAATAAATCCAAACTTGTAAGGCTGGTGCAGAAGCATCTTCCTAATGTGGCCTCAGACAGCCTCTTTGGTGTCATTCCCTACAAGCCTCCTAAAGCACCCTGAGCTTCAACCACAGTGAATTTCTTTCTGTTCCCTAAATACTCAGCACTTTGTTGTTTTGCAGCCTGAAACTCTCTCCATTATCTCTGTAGGAAAACTCATACTTATCCTTTAAAAATAAAATCAAAATATCACTTCCTTCCTGAATCTTCCCCATCTTCTTGTGGCCCCATCACTGCCCCACTCTGTAGGATACCACAAGAGAACATTGCTTGATCATTACTAGACTGTGAATCATCCCTCTTCCCCTTCCACCCATCATATTATGAAATCCTCTTGAAGAGACCCTCAACCCTCCTTTCATAACTTTGAAACTCCAGCACTCAGCATGGTGCTTGTTGCCCAGTTGGGTTGGTGTCCCATAGTATTTGCTGGCAGAATAAATAAAAGAATGAGTGATCAACTTACATGTGAACCTGTATCTGCTAGTTTCATAACAAGATATTTGGAGAAAGTCAGTCCAAATATTGTTAGGTTGGTGCAAAAGTAATTGCAGCTTTTGCCATTGCTTTTAATGGCAAAAATTACAATTACTTTTGCACCAGCCTAACCGTACAGGATATTAGGAGATTATATATCACAGAGTATGAATTTAGGGGACATAAGTAAAATCAAGTCATCCCAAATTTTCTTATATCTATTTATCCACATCTGACAGCTGCTTTTAGAAGCCAGGCCAGGTGGTACATGGAGATATGGGTGTTTTGAAAGCAGACCATGGCCTGCTGCTCCTAGAGCTAGACAGTTATTTACTAAATACATGCAGATGGGCCAGACATTCTTCTAAGCACTTTGCAAATATTAACTCATTTAATTCTCATAACAAACCTAGGAAATAGATACTATTATTATTCCCATTTTACAGATGAGGAAACTGAGGTCAGGTGGAATGTGTTTTTTCTTTGCATCTACTGTTCATTTCACTGAGATTTCTCTTCCTGCCATTCCTCTTCTGAAATGTAAGCCATTGTTCTCTGTGCTCTCTTAGCATCTTTTTTATATGTAGTGCTCACGCCTGTAATCCCAGCACTTTGGGAGGCCGAGGTGGGTGGATTACCTGAGGTCAGGAGTTTGAGACCAGCCCGGCCAACCTGATGAAACCCTGTCTCTACTAAAAATACAAAATTTAGCTGGGCGTGGTGGCACACGCCTGGAATCCCAGCTACTTGGGGGGCTAAGGCAGGATAATTGCTTGAAACCAGGAGGCAGAGGTTGCAGTGAGCCATGATTGCACCACTGCACTCCACTCCAGCCTGGGTGACACAGCAAGACTCTGTCTTGAAAAAAAAAAAAAAAAAAAAAAAATATATATATATATATATATATATATATATATATATATACTACCCACGTCATTACATGATAGTTGCTATGTCAGTCTGTTCCACAAGTAAACTTGGGCACATTACTTAATTTTAGTTTCTTTGTCAGTAAAATGGGTGTAGTAATCCTTACCTTGCAGAGCAGCTGTGAGGATTAAAAGCACCTGGCCCAATTCTGCGGCTACAAGCTCAGGAAATGAGCTTGTCCTATTGTCTTTTTGTCATTCTTCACACAGTTGTTGACACATGACAGGTGTTGTCCTGTGAGAAACTGAAGGGAAGGGAGAAAAGGAAAACCAGGACAACCCAAAGTCAGGGCCACTAAGGGCGCAGAAGAGTGTCAGCACTTGCAAATCTCAGAAGGTGGCTTACAATTCAGAGAAGACCGTTTGGTTTGATCATCAGTAATGTTTTCGATAACAGCCTTAGCAGGCTATGAGGTGGGAGGCAGATGCAAGTGGTTAAGGAGGGAGTGGGTGGTAAAGAAATGAAAACTGAGGGTGCACTGTCTTCTCTTTTAGGAACAGAGGAGAAGGGTTAGAGTAGCAGCAGGTGAAAAGCATGCTTCCCGGTTTGGATAGGAGAGCCCTGAATGCGTCTGTAGGCAGGGTGGGAGAAGCCCTTAGCAGAGAATGACCAGAGAGGATGTCCTTCCTTCTCCCTGCTCTGGTGGAAAGGCTGCTTAGAACCCCTTTTGTCCATGGTGGGACTTGGCTCCATGAGTCCTCTTACTGCTTTGCATCTCGGGCATCTCTCACAGTCTAGCTGGCTTTGGGTAATGTACCCAAAATGTACCCTTTCAGCTCAGGGCCTGGGTAATGTACATAACTTGTCTCAGCTGCAGTTTCCTCATCTGTAAAATGAGGAGAATAATGTGTACCTCACAGGGATATTGTGAGCACAGAATGAGATAACATGTGTTCAGTGCCAACGATAGTGTCTCAACCATTGTGTCTTTTTAACTTTTCTCTTAGAGACAGGGTAAAAGAAAAGCAAAAAGGGTAAAATCTTAGCATTTTCTTGAACTGCAGAAGGAAGAATTTGGGGATGTGCCCCTGGATAACTGCTGTCTCCTCTGTAAAGCAGAGAGGGAGTGAGTCCACCGAGGCAAAGGGAATGGGAAGTTTGTAGTTTTGAGGGCACTGGTAGTTTGAGGCCGCTGGGTTCTCTTCACTACACAAGGGCTGATGAGCAGCAGCGAAAGCCTGGCTGGGCATAGAGATGGCAGTTAGGATTGTGTGTGTGACCTTCCATAGCCAGGCATGAAGGGAATAGGGAAAGGTGTGGACGGAACTGGGGACTGACAAAACTGTTGTATTAGTCCATTCTCACACTGCTATAAAGACATACCAAAGACTGGGCAATTTATAAAGAAAAGAGGTTTAATTGACTCAGTTCTGAATGACTCGGGAGGCCTCAGGAAACTTACAATCATGGCAAAAAGGAAAGAGGCACATCTTACATGGCGGCAGGCAAGAGAGAGAGAGCGAGCAGAAATGAGTAAAAGGGAAAGAGCCCCTTATAAAACCATCAGATCTCCTGAGAACTCACTCACTGTCACAAGAACAGCATGTGGGAAACTGCGGCCATGATCCAATCACCTCCCACTAGGTCCTGCCCTCAACACATGGGGATTGTAGGGATTACAATGCTGAGATGAGATTTGGGTGGGGACACAGAGCCAGACCATATCAAGTGTCAAGGGGGTGTGGGGTTCTAGTGTGTGCATATGTTGGGGGATATAAATATGCACTGGGGAGATGGCAGCCAGTCCTTTAGTCAGATGGGAGGTGCTGATGGCCCAGGTGAATGAGGCAGGTGTGGAAGTCCTGTGGTGACAATGAGGATGCAGAGCAGGTTCCTGGGAGTGGGGTGGGGACCCCAAAGCTTGTGGCTAGAGCTGGGGTTTCAGAACATTAGATAAAAGAATTTTCAGTGACTAAGGCCAAGGGATGGCTGGCATCTCAAATACGATGTTCTTCATTTCTCTACTTTTTCTTCTATTCTTTGTCATATGAATACCTACCAATGAAGAAAAAGTAACCTTAGTCTTTATGCAACTTTTGTGTGGAATTCATCTGTTAATATTATTCAGCAAATATTTTTTATTTCTACATTGTGTTTGTAATAATTTTTAGTGGCTGCATTATATTATCTTTGCACATACTGCTTTGTCTTCTTTTAGATTTTTCCCTAGGATAAATTCCCAAGTGTGGGATAACTATGCTTAAAGGTGTGGATGATTTTGGAGCAGGGAGTCTTGATGGGCTGTTAGTTAATTGCTGCAGGCAGATCTACAGCAGGCAGGGAGGGCAGGCAAATGGGGAAGAAAATTAGAATATTTAATAATAGACTCTGAATGGAAGCTTTCTGTGAATATTTTAAGTCCACCTCACATAACTCTCAATTCTGTGTGCTGCCTCTACTGGAGGCATTTACCCCAGTGAAGGGGAAAACAGAGCTGGCTGGAAGTTGCATGTGTGATTGAGTAAATGGAATTTTGCTTGGCTTGGTCTTTGACGCTTTCTTTTTGGGGACTATCATCAAGAACATGAAGAAGTTGAACAAATTGTGTATCTGGCAGGGGCAGGTAGCAATGAAAGGGAGTTTTTCTGTTCTGGAGTTATGTATTTTTTTGAAATAGAGTCTTACTGTGTCACCCAGGCCTGAGGTACAGTGGCCCAGTCTCAGCTCACTACAACCTCTGCCTCCTGTGTTCAAGTGATTCTCATGCCTCAGCCTCCTGAGTAGCTGGGATTACAGGCGCACAGCACCACACCTGGCTAATTTTTGTATTTTTAATAGAGATGGGGGTTTTGCCATGTTGGCCAGGCTGGTCTCGAACTGCTGGCCTCAAGTAATCCACCCGCCTTGGCCTCTCAAAGTGCTGGGATTACAGGGATGAGCCACGGCACCTGACCCATTCTGGAGTTTTTTTGGGGGGGCAGGACAGAACAGTTTCATCTTGATAAATTAAAGGATTTAATAATTTTGATTACAATAATCACAGTGTTAGTATTTTGAATAATTTTAGCAGTTAGTGGGAAACATGATTTAGATAATTTTAAAGAAATTGCAATATTTTGAATCAGAGCAAAATTTCCTTAACAATATTACTGTTAATTTTTTTATGTCTTATGATTCTAATGTTTCTCCTTTTTTTCTTTTAACAGAAGAAATACAGAAAGGGGTTTATTGATGTTTCAAAAATCAAGTGTGTGGAAATAGTGAAGAATGATGATGGTGTCATTCCCTGTCAAAATAAGTATCCATTTCAGGTGAGCTGGTGTATTTTTGTGGCAGTGCAGTGCTGGGCTTAGTCATGTTTGCTCTTTGACATTACAGTTTCCTGTCCTTGCTTTGCTGGCTGATTTGTAGGTTCATTTGCCACTTTAATAGTTGTGACTTTTCTTCATGAACTGTTTAAGTCTTTGTGGAAACATTTTCTGATTCTTAAGGAGTTGGGGCTAAGACTGAAAAGTGAGGTTGAAGTGTTCCCTATGAATCTGAGAAACTGAGAAGTGAAAGGCTCAAGTGGAAATGAGATTAAAAGGCTGCTTGTGATGAAAAAAATAATATTAGACATATATTAATTAAACTATGCTTCTTCGGGGTAATCATGTTATTTTTTTTCCCGACAATGGTTCTGTTGCATAAGGGAGGTAAATATCTCATTATTCTCATTTATGTCTGAGGAAATCAGTGCTCACCTGTTAAATAGCTTCTCCAAGGTCACCTTGTAAATGAAAAGTCTGCCAAGCACACACACGCGCATCTCCTCTCCAGAAGAGGAGGGTCCGGCGTCCTGAGCTACTCCGCATTCCTGCCAGTATCTTGGTTCCCACCTGCCTTGAGAACTCAGGAATGTGGAGTTGGATCCTGATAATCTGGAGCTCTCAGCCCCTCCCCAGCACCTCACCACTTCCTTCCCTGCTCAAGGATGTTTTTATGCTCTCCTTGAGCAGTGAATGTCCCTAGTGAAAGTCGCCTTTTACCCATGGCTGTGGTCTCACCATGTCCTGAAAGGAAAGTTGCAAAAGTCTTTTTCAATGTGGTGGAATTTTTGCTTGTTTTTAATTGCTCTTATGAAGTTATCAATTACGTTGGAATTATACATTTACCAGTTTTGGGGGATGAAGATGTTTGGGAAGCAGTGAGCCAAAATATCCAAGCTCCTGGCTTATTCTCCGCTAGAGTGGCAACATCACAAATGGAGGAAGGGCTACATTTAATTTTCCTTTTCCCTGTTCCTTATTTTATAGCTACCATTTCTCTGAGTGAAGGACAGGGACAGTAAGTGCTTAGAGAGGTGACTCTGAGGCCAAACTGCCTGATTTGCTTACTGGCTATGTGAGCTTGTGTAAGTCACTTAACCTCTCTGTGCCTGTTTCCTCTCTTAAAAAATGGGAATAATAACAATAATAGTACTCATTTCATGGGGTTGTTGTGAGGATTAACTGATGTGATATATAAATAGCTTTGACATATAATCAGAGCAAGGTAAGTGGTAGTTGCTATTATTACTATTGCTATTCTCTTACTACTGCTGCTGCTATTAATATTACACCTAATATTACACCTACCACCTGGATCTAGAAGTAAGATAAATTTAAACCTTCTTCTTAAGTATGTTTAATGCATATATAATGGAAATTTAGCAGAGAACCATTCCTACCACACTTCTTTTTTTTTTTTTCCTTTGAGATGGAGTCTTCCTTTGTCACCCAGGCTGGAGTGCAGTGGTATGATCTCAGCTCACTGAGACCTCCACTTCCCAGGTTCAAGCGATTCTCATGCCTCAGCCACCCAAGTAGCTGGGATTATAGGCATATACCACCATGCCTGGCTAATTTTTGTATTTTTAGTAGAGACAGGGTTTCACCATGTTGGCCAGGCTGGTCTCGAACTCCTGGCCTCAAGTGATCTGCCTGCCTCAGCCTCCCAAAGTACTGAGATTACAGTCGTGAGCCACTGCACCGGGCCTCCTACCACAGCTTTGATGGCTATTAGACATGCTAGGGATTGACAGCATTGGGGAGCTGTGGCTGTCATGATTCTGGACCCAGCATTAGGATTTTTGCTGTCCAAGAAAGAGAGATTCACTCTGCAAGTTTTGGGTTGCTTTTAAGAATGATAATACAAGTAGAACAGAACGCATTCCATCCCTGAACTACTAAAATTGTTGAGATGAATAAATATGAGAAAAGTTTGAAAACAATCTGAAAAATTAATCAAGAAGGGATAAGCTTGAGCTTTATACAATTTAAAGCAGCATGATTTAAAAGGTGAAAAATACCCTCTCTTATTATAACTTAAGTATAACTAAGAAAGTATAGATCCTAGTTTCACATTTTCATAGTGAAATTTTACATTAGGTTCAGATGCAAAGTGAAAACAATAAAAGTAGAAGTAGACATTTTCAAAAGACACTGGGAGAAGAAAGTAGGACGGATGGAGAGAATGGTGGGGAATCCACACCAGCTGCCTAGATGGGATGGTTGCTCCTTCATGCTTTTCTAGATGAGTCATTCTGATGGCAGCTGGGAGATCCCCAGGAGCTGGCATGTCTTCCCTGGGCTTCAAACCCAGATCTGTCTACCTTTTGTCTGTGCTGTTTCTCCTACACCACACTATTAAGTCTATGGAATAAATGAATGAGTGGATGGAAGATATAAATAGGAGGGTGGGTAACTACCAGTGGGTAGTGTTACTGAGGGAGAGTATTCCCTCCTTGTTTAAATGGTTTCTGCACTTGAAGTTTGCAAAGCTCTTCCCTCCCAACAGCCTCTGCTGTGGTAGGATGACTCAGCACAAGAATTAAGGCAGAGAGAAACACAGCTCCCTGGATCCTTCTCCCCAAGAGGCCAACATTGTGTGATCTGAGGTTTGCTCAGGGAGATACTGGCCCACAAATACCTCTTCAGCCTGAGATGCCAAAACAGGGTGCTATTCCTAGAAACTTCTCGTAGAAATACAAATGCCCCAAGTTAGCTAGGTAATATATCAAGCTAGTTTTAGTTATCGAAACTCTGAATTTGGATTAGGTTTTTTTTGGTGGGGGGAGGCGGTTAGCTAGTCTAACAAACTTTAAGGAAGTTTCACAGGCTCACGGTACTGACACGAGATGAGTTTTGTGGGGAAGTTAGACTGCTTGGAGTCTGGAAAGGCAGATTCCAGGAGGGGAATAGTCAAGGGATATTTGGGGGTTAAATATCCTACTCATATGACTTAACCTCAGCCACTTTGGTTTTGTCATTTGAAAAAAGAGGATTCTAACACTAAGAAAGAACTGGATTGCTGTATGGATGATATGAGGCAGTGCATATAAAGTGCTTAGCCCAATTGTGGGGACTCAGTAAATTATTATAATAAATTAAATTGTTATTACAATACACCACAGGTTTCTGGAAGGTCCAAGGCCCTAGCAGTCTTTTCCAGACATCTCAATGTCAATTCAGAATGACTAGTTCACGGTGCATAGTTCCTTCTGTACAGAGTTGGTTGTGTGGGCAAGCCTGCATAAATGTGAAAATCATGGAGCAAATGAGGAAACACATCTCTTCACATCTCCTTTAGCACTTTATCGCTCTGATATCATGGCTCACTTTCTGTCTTGTAATAAGGTATTTCTATATTTGTCTTAGAAACAGGCTTCATGTCCGATTCATTTTTGTGTCTTATGCAGTTCCAGCAAGGTGCGAATGGTATATAGCATCATTTGTTCTATGGTGTTCACATTACTATTACAGTGCATTTCTGGCTGGTTACCGTGGCTCTCACACCTGTAATCCTAGCACTTTGGAGGCTCAGGTGGGAAGATCACTTGAGCCGAGGGGGTTCCAGGTTGTAGTGAGCTGTAATTCCACCCCTGCCATCCAGCATGGGCAACAGAGCAAGACCCCATCTCTAAGAAAAAAAAAAAAAGTACATTCCTTTGATTTAAATGAATAAGAAGGAATTCTCTATTGAATATGGTCAGTGATAACCATTTATCAATGAAAGAGCTATTTGGTTTTCAATCCAGTGGGTGTGGACGTGACAAAGGGAGGTTTCTAGCCATGTATTAACTTTTTAGCCAGTCTAAACAGATTTCTGCCTTGTGACTGACCATGAAGAATAAAATGAAAAAATTTCTGGCTTAGTTTCCCAGGGTTATCTTATTAATAATATTAGAAATGTTAAAAATAAGACTGTCTAATTGCCCACCAAGGACTACCTCTAAGTGAGGCACTGTGATTAAGAGGCTGGGCTCTGGAGTCTGAATTCTGGCTTTCTGGATTACCAGCCAAATGGCAATGGGCAGGTTAGGCAGTGCAACATCAGGGGACAGCATCTGCAGTGCATGGTGCATGAGTGGTATCTGCTGAAGTTACACAGGAGTGGGGGCCTGGGTAGGCCTTTATTTTCTCATTTATAAAATAGAAAAACTCGTACCTTGATGGCAGGATTAATTGAGTTAAGGTCTGTAAAGCACACAGCACAGTGCTGGCGTAGTCGGTGCTTAATCCAGTTAGCTACTGCAATTATTGATAGTGGCAAAAGGAAACTATAAGAGTGATGCTGAAGGAGTAGTCCATTCATCTAAAATATTATTTAGAGAAATACTGAATCTCTGTTACAGTTTAGTTAATTGGATTGAAAGAAATACTGAGATTAATGAAGTATCCTGGCCTTTATATTTTTTTCTATAAAACATGGTCTTTTGCAAAACGTGTATTCTACTTAATGTAGAAATGAAGAAGTACTTGTGCTTTTGTAAGAAAGTAACCTGGGTTTTCTGGATATGAAGTTATTGACTTTCAGTTATTTGAGAATCATTTATTGGTGTCTGTAGTACCAAGGGTTCTGTGCTAGACAGAAGTGCTGTGTCTAAGTCCTCTTCACCAATTCCATCTTTTGTTTTATTTTAGGTTGTTCATGATGCTAACACACTTTACATTTTTGCACCTAGTCCACAAAGCAGGGACCTGTGGGTGAAGAAGTTAAAAGAAGGTAAAACTCAATGAAATATTACTCTGTATATAATTTTAGGAGATGTAATATTGTTATCATTAAGACAGAAATACAGCTAATGTATCTATTGCATTTGTAATCTCTTAATCTACAGTAAGTGTTTCTCCAAGGATATGCTGTTGTTGTAAGTTATACCAGCATATTGAAGATAACTTTCCTTTTTAAAATCTGATTTTTTTCTAGTAGCATATAGTTTCTAAGAAAAGCACGCTCTCATTTAATGTGTAATATATCTGAAGGTGATAAAGCGCAAGCTTTTATGATAACAGAATTTGGTGTTTTCTTGTTTTTTTTTTGAGACAGAGTTTCACTCTGTCACCCAGGCTGGAGTGCAGTGGTGTGATCTCGGCTCACTGCAATCTCCGCCTCCTGGGTTCAAGCGATTCTCCTGCCTCAGCCTCCTAAGTAGCTAGGATTACAGGCACCCACCACCATGCCCGGCTAATTTTTGTATTTTTAGTAGGGACAGGGTTTCACCATGTTGGCCAGGCTGGCCTTGAACTCCCGACCTCAGGTGATCTGCCCACCTCGGCCTCCCAAAGTGTTGGGATTATAGACATGAGCCGCTGCACCCGGCCCAGGATTTGGTATTTTCTAACAAAGTGCCCATGTAGTCAATATTTGGTGTGGATGGAATGACATATTCATGAAGGGTTTAAATGGATGATTTGTCCTGCATAGTCCTCATTGCTTCTCCTGAAGAACAAAATGGTGGCAGGTTGACTTTTGCATTTATCCATCATTGGTGTAGCAGCAGTCATTTCTGCTAACAAGGGTGCTTCACACACAAAAAAAGAAGAGGTCAAAGAGAACTATAGAGCTTTTCTGAATGCTGAGTCCTGTGATCTAAGGGCGTTCTTATAGTAAACATAGTGTCCAAGAAATAAGTAATGATCGACACTGTTATTTATGAAACATTCTGTAGTTGCTTTTGTATTTCACTATTAATTACTATATCTGTGAATTACAGAAATAAAGAACAACAATAATATTATGATTAAATATCATCCTAAATTCTGGACAGATGGAAGTTATCAGTGTTGTAGACAAACTGAAAAATTAGCACCCGGATGTGAAAAATACAATCTTTTTGAGAGCAGTAAGTATTCATTTTATTCCATAATTATATTGTGCTTAGAATGAACGTATTATTGGTATGGTAAGAAAGTGACATGGTTTTGATTAAGTACAGCACACTTTCTAGTACAGTGAAAATGTAGGGTAGGTGTGTTTTGTAAGAAAAATTATATTTAGTTACAGTGAGACCTTCTCGTGGAATCAGAAGGTCTATTTTGGGAAGCTTTTATCACAATATTGAATCTTGTTCAAAATGAATCCATTGAAAGTGTGAGCCTAATGTGGCACTGTCAGCAGCTTTGAAAAGCATTAATGTTCTTCAACAAATAAACCAAGATGTGGAGCTAGAAACCTCATGTAGCAGTGCATCCACAGTCTGATTAGGGCTGTTCTCATTTTGATGGGGTATAGCAGTATGGATTTCAGTAGTGGCTTCAGTCTGTTAGAACAGTAACATGTCATAATGATACTCACATGTAAATGTTGAGATGAACAATGTCTAAGGTTAATTTTGACACCTAAAACCTTTATAAATCCTGGGAATGAGAGACCCTTAGTCATAAGCTAAAAATACGTGGAGATTGTTAAGTTACTAGTGCTGTAGTAGGACACCCATAGTAATGATTGGATATACCGTTTCCTGCTGGTGCCATGCAGAATGCTCACTGGGTCCATCAGAACTGACAGAGCTTCTGGATATGAGCAGAACTACTACTTGGCAGGGATGCTGTATTATGAACGAGGCCAGATCAGATGACCTTCTCAGTCCATCTAGCCCTCAGTTCTATGAGTCCTGGCACCCTGATTCTCTTGGGATATCCTCACATTAACTTAGCACATTAAAGAGGAAGCCCAAGTTTCTAAGGCTGTTATTGTTCCTTATTTTTTTTTTAATGTCTTAAGGTTTGGTATTAGTGAATGCACAGTCTGACCTGCTGTAAAAAGGGACCCAAAAGTTACAGTGACTTAAACTAGAGAGAAATTTATTTCAGTCTCATGTAATAACCCAGAGGTGAAAGGTGGGTGACCCGGGGCTGGGGGTATTCCTGCAGTGGTTCCTCTGGTTGCTCCAGCTCTAGCAGTCTCTCTCTTCCTGGAAGCAGAAAGAAGGGGGTCAAGGATGCCCATGGGGAATCCTTTTAGGGATGAGATCTAAAAATGGCACACCCCATTTGTACACAGAATCCTTTGATTAGAATTTGGTCCCATTGCCACACCTAGCTGGGAAACATTCTTTATCTTGGGTAGCCATGTGTCAGCCAAAACTCTAGGACTGTGGACTGTAGAGGAATGGACAGCCAAAGCTGATTAATTTCTCAGTGTTGTCATGATTTCAATGTTTGATTCCATGAGCATTATTGAGTGCCCAGTTTATGCAGTGGTAGGAATACAAAGAACTGGCCTGGCTTCAATCCCTGTGGCATTTATTGTGCGTTCAGAAAGGCAGAAATACAAACCAGCTATAATAGCAGTTTTTAATTCTGTTCTAGAATAGAGATACAAGCAGCATACACCAGAGTTGGTCAGAGTGTGCTGCTTGTCTATGTGTTAACTTCCACTTTTCCTTAAAACTACCCATATCTTATTTTTATCAATTATTGGTAGATAGCATTTTAATCTGTTTTTGTTGTTGGCATTTTCAGGTATAAGAAAAGCACTACCTCCAGCACCAGAAACAAAGAAGGTAGGTGGTCTTTAGCTTTTGATAGTTAATCTTTACATTTTAAGCCTTTAAGTCTTAAGTTTTGGTAGTGTTTGTGACTTACTGAGTATGCGGTTTATTCATTGATGTGACACAATTTTTCCCTAGGATCGTCTCAGAAGCAGATGTGCTGTAGCTTATTTCAATTTTTTGTGGTGTCAAATAATACCAATTTAATTGTATGAGATTTTATCATTGGAGATCCTGTTATCATCTGGCATTTTGCCTCTATTTTCACTTAAAGAGTTGTATTAAGAGGAGTGGGATTTAGATAAATATTTCAGTCTTAAGACCACAGTGTGACAAAGAAGTGACTTCACTGATATAATGATATGCCTTTCAGGAGTGGGGTATAGTGGAGGAAACATGCACTTTGGACTCATTCAAGACTTGATCTGATATGAGTGACTTTGAGTGGGTTAATTAAATCATTGTTACCTTAGTTATGAAACAGGAATTATAATACTCTTCTTCATGAGAGTTTGTTGGATTATAGTAAGTAGACTTGAAGTTTCTAGTTTATTCTGTGGTGATGTATGACTCATTTAGTGTTTTGATTCATGATCAGTTTCATATAGAAGACTAAACTTTCAAATGTTATCTTCCTTGTCTAGCGAAGGCCTCCCCCACCAATTCCACTAGAAGAAGAAGATAATAGTGAAGAAATCGTTGTAGCCATGTATGATTTCCAAGCAGCAGAAGGACATGATCTCAGATTAGAGAGAGGCCAAGAGTATCTCATTTTAGAAAAGAATGATGTTCATTGGTGGAGAGCAAGAGATAAATATGGGTAAGTATTCCCTCTATGTGTGTGATATGCAGTGGGTAGGTGGGAGTCAAGTGTTGAGTGAGAAGTAGATAAGTCGTAACTATCGTGTAATGAGACTAATTTCACCAGCCATAAATGGAAGCACACCTTATTACTTGGTAGTAACACAGTCCTTTCTTAGTGGTCACTCAGTAAATGCGAATTGATCAATCACTTCTTTTCAAAAGTTAGAATACATTGGTCTCTTTCTCATCTGATACATGTTTAATGTGATTATTTTGACCTTGAGGGAAATTAAATTTTATATTTTGTCCCCACCTGCCATAAGTAAGTAATCTTAGATTTTTCTAAGAGTTTATTGTAATTTTTTTCTTAGACTCTCTCTCTCTATATATACGTATGTGTATGTGCGTGTGTGTATGCATACACATACACAGTATAATGAAGCCTCTTCTCACTTCTTTCTCTCTCTCCATGAATATATGGAGGAATAAGAGAATATATATATATGTATATGTGTGTGTCTATATGTGTGTATATGTGTTTGTGTATGTATATATAAAATATATATATGTACATGCAGGAAATTAAACAGCAAGCTTTTTTTTGTACAAGTTAATTTAGGATTTAAAGAAAACAGTCCTTTCAACCCTATCATTGATAAATATATGGGCAGATAGGGGTAACTGTAGGGGATGAGTATCTTGCAGGCTTCATAAGCAAACTCTGTATCCTGTGTTTACCTCTGCAGTGCAATCCCACTTATACTCTGAGTTCCAGTGGATGAGAAGAGGAGAACTTTTTGTCCTGCCAGAGCACACTCTTCTTCCACCTGCCCTCTCACCTCCCAGCCCCAGCCCCAATTTCAAGTCACTGTTCCTCAGTTCACTTCTGGAGAAGCAGTGGAAACCTCTAGTTTAGGCGGGGTCCTTTTCTTCTGCTTGATTCCTAGGCATGGTGCATATATGAGTGCTGTTTTGCTGTGCATTATTAACTTATTTGCAACTCTTAACCTTTTATTCCATGTTTACAGGAAGGTTGTCACTGCTTCTCTTTATCGGATGCTGTATAAGATTGATTTCTATTTTTAATTTTTTTTTGTTGTAGAAATTTTCAAGCATCCAAAAAGTATATAATAGTATAATAGAATCTCTTTTTGCTTGACTTCAAAAATTACCAACATTTTGCCAGTCTAATCCTTCCATTTTTTTCTAGAATATTTAAAAGTAAATTCAAGTCATCATGTTATTTCACTCCTAAATCTAAATTCTAAAGACTTAAAAAAAACACCACCATGTCATTATCATTCTTAATAACAGTATTTTAAATAAGATCGTCTGTAGACTTTCCCTTAATATTTTTGTACCTGGAGGAAGAGTACAAATGAGAATCCACATAACATATATCTAAGTATTTAGGAGTTATAAATCAAGCTAGCAAACTTTATCCTCCAACTTGACAAATACCCTTTCATAGTGACAAGAAAGGCACGGTTTGGATTTAGAGCTCTGTGCCAGAATGTTGCAGTGCATGGAAAGCTGGCTCTGGGGGGGCTACCTCTCTTCTTTCTTCCCTCCTGCCCTGGCTCTATCTCTCATGTACCATATGGATCTTCCAACCTGTACACCCACACTCTTACTGCGTGGCTTGCAAAAGCTACCCCGCATCATGGCCACACCTTCAGCCTCAGTGAAAGGGAATGCACATGGCCAGCCAGCACAATTTGTTTTTTAGAAGATGGACCCAGTAGAAGGCCCATGTAGACCTTGGAAATGAGCAGGGTGTTCTGGGGTCCTAGTTACCCAGAAAGGAGCATGGGAACACAGGTCAGAGGGAACACGCACTTTTGCAGAGCTCTCAAAAGTGTGGGGTTAGAGCAAGAGCTTCTCTGGCCCAGGTCTAAGGATGGAACCAATTATGTAATTCCAGTTTCCCCGATTAGCTCTAATACTTATTTTTACTGTTGGTTTATTCAAATCAGGACCCACACACTGCATTTTGGTTAATATATCTCTTATGTTTCTCTTATTCTACATTTTTGATTTATTGATGAAAGCAGGTCATTTAACACTAAAATGAGCCATAATCTAGATGAAACAGATTGTTTTCTTGTGGTGTCACTTAATATGCCTGTGTTTCTTGTATTTCTTGTGAACTGGCGAGTAGAGCTAGAGGCTTGATCACATTAGAAGGTGATCTCTGGATGTCCTACTTTTAGTAATGCTAAGATTGCTTAGTGGTTCAGGTGTCAGACTTGTTCCTCTGTCATAAAGTTCTTCATTGGTATTTACCCTGATGATTTGGGGGTTCATTAATGATTCTTTCTTAGAGTCATTATTTCATTAGGGGTTACAAAATGGTGATTTCCTAATTTTGTCATTCCATCTGCATTTAGTAGTTCTCTAAAGAAGAACTGCCTCATATACCAGTTCATTTAGTTCATGAAGGAAAGGAAAGATGAAATTTGGATTCTTAAACTTTTACTAGTTTTCAGAATAATGAGTTGATGACTGAGCTTTCTCTAGTGATAACAATGGTAACCAACAGTTTATTTTTAGTGTTATTATGGATACTTATATATTTGGTTCCAATCCATTGCCACCATTATTCTCTTTGCTTGAATTGGCCAAATTAGGTCGATGGTGGCTGTTTTTGGTAGAGGATCCTGTTAGTTTTTCTTTCCTACTTTCTGGCTCAGTGAAATGGCTCAAGTTATCTTGTATTTATTTTTCTGGCCAAACTTACAATTTGACATTTTTCTTTTCTTTTCTTTTTCTTTCTTTTTTTTGAGATGGAGTCTCGTTCTGTCTCGCAGGCTGGAGTGCTGGAGTGCAGTGGCGTGATCTCGGCTCATTTCAACCTCCGCCTCCTAGGTTCAAGTGATTCTTGTGCCTCGGCCTCCCAAGTAGCTGGAATTATAGGCATGTTCCACCACGCCCAGCTAATTTTTGTATTTTTTAGTAGAGATAGGGTTTCGCCATGTTGGCCAGGCGGGTCTTGAATTCCTGGCCTCAAGTGATCTGCTTGCCTTGGCCTCCTAAAGTGCTGGGATTACAGGCGTGAGCCACTGCACCTGGACACAATTTGACATTTTTCTAAGGGGGACTGGCTCCTTTTAGTCACAAATGGTATTTAGAGACAGTGGCAATGCTAAGATCTTAACTGCTGCTGGATTGCCGTTCCTTCTGGGCCTTTCTCAGTGCAACAGAGCTACCTGTATGCACACATTTGTGTGTGTGTGTGTGTATTATGAGTTCTTACTAATACTTTAAATTCAAATTTAAGATTATAAGGTTTCTACTCAATTTTTAAATTTTATATGTATATCTGTTTTCTTATGCTGAAAACCTTAGCTCCTACTTACATAAGAGTGCATCTTAAATTGTGATGTGTGTGAAAGTCATTTGGGGTAAAATCGGACATTTTTTGACCTCACATAGGTCTTCTCAGTTCACATTTATTGGGTTATGACCCAAGAATTTGCTGTTTTAACAGGTGCCCCAAATGATACTGACCGAAAGGCCAGGAATTATCCTTTGTGAAACTATTCTATAAGAACTATTGAGGTATTAGAGTGGTGGGTATTTTTAATCCAACACTTTGACTTTTCTCAAGTAATGGTTTCTTTAACACATATCAGCAAAACTGTGAATTCTGGAGAAGTATTGTGGAATGTTGGAGGAGCACAGGAGCTAGTCACAAGTCCAGAGTTTGAGTTCTGGCCCTGTTGCTGGCTAACTTTAGGACCTTTGGGAAAAAAAATCCTATAACCTTTCTAAGCTTTAGTTTCCCCACCAGAAAATAGGTACAATAATGCCTGCCTACCGCAGAATTTTTATGGAGACCAAAAGTGAAAGTACTTTGTAAAATGTCAAGTGAATTACAGATACTGCATTTTGGGGGGTCAGCTAGTCTTTCTTATAATAAGCTTTAAGCAATGTCATGCTTTATTTCAAAAGGCAATAATCTTTCTTTCTTTCAATAACCTCCCAGTAAAGTAAGTTTACCTAAAGTATTTTTCTTATTTCTAGGAATGAAGGATATATCCCAAGTAATTACGTAACGGGAAAGAAATCAAACAACTTAGATCAATATGAGTAAGTAAATGTTTATTTTGTGAATGTGGAAAATCAGAAACTTTTCATTTTCCTAATTATGTAAGGCATTTTGAAGATTAATGGATATCTTTCATGATTCTTTGAAGGGGGTGCTAAAATATCCTTAACTCAATTGCCTGATGTGGTAAAAGACTGAGAATTAATCTCTATAATATATTTTTCCTGAAGGTACTGTGTGAATGGAGTTACATAGGCTTATGTACATAAATTACATAAGCATAATTGAATTGATTTGAAATAAATCACAGATTAGCTGACTTTGAAATACAGATCATGTCCATTCATTCAGGACATAAGCAGAACAGTTTCCAGAGTGGAAATGTTAATAAGAAAAAATTACTGAAATTAATTAGAGTTGACCTTTGTCAGCATTAGTATATTTCCTTTCAATCTTTTTACTATTTTTGAAAAGATAGAATCATGCTTATTTCCTCATACACTTTAATATTCTTTGAAAACATTTTCCTAGCTACATTTTATTTCATTTGATCATAAATTTATTAAATATTTACTGAGATCTTAGCATGTATCAAGCATTATGTATGGCCTTAGAGACATAACCAGGCAGATGGCACGTGGATGTCCAATAATTTATGTAATCATTTCCTTATTTGTGTGGTTTAGGTTGTTTTAGGTACCTTTGCTATATTAAAAAAAAAATGGGATAACGTCTTGTTTCTTATCTTAAACTGGATCTCTAAAATCTATGTGCTGGGCTACAGGCTGTACGTGAACATTGTTAGGGTTCCCAACGCATGCTGTCAAATTGCTTTCCAGATAACTTGTATTATTTATATACCCACTAGCAGTGTGTGGCCAAGTTGTAACGTGAGGCTCATATACATTGAACGCTCTTTTATGGTCATTCTGAGGTGGTGTATTGATGCTTCATTCACTTCCTTGAAAACAATAGCAACAACAAGCTGTTCCTCTCTTCATGTCACTTGCTATACCATAAGTGTACCTTAACATCTAGGAAAGGGTTAACAAGTTCAAAAAGCCACAGCGCTCAGTGGATGTGATCTCTCAAAGTAATTTTAGAAGTAGAAGAGAGTATAAACAATGTATAAATAAAGTAGCATTTCTGCCCTTAAGTCAAATAGATTTTTGGAAAAATTATAAAATCCTTAGAATTAGGGAAGGTGCTAAAAGGTGAAAACTTGGGCCTGGTTTTAAAGCGATAGCGTGGAGAACTGATTGAATTTGGGGAAAGAGGATGCTTGGAAGCCAGATAATCCTTATCTAAATATGAGAACTCCTTTTATGACTCATGTGATTTCAGTTGAGGTTTTTCAATATTGAAGTTTATGATTCATGGCCTCGAGTGTTTCAAATGTACCTTAATTTGGAAATTTTCTCTCTTCCAAGAAATTTTCTTCCTCTGCATAACTCTGTACTTCAGCCTCCAGCGTGGGAGTGCCACTGCATTCTGTTCAGAGGCCAGGGAATCCACATGGCCTTTGTACCATGCCCAGTAGATGACCAAGGGGAAACCTGTTCCCATGTGGGCAGGCAGAGACCCTATTCTGTCTTCCTACTCCATGTTCTGTTTTGTTTTGTTTTGGCCAAAGCCCACCCTGTAACACAATTGTATTAGTCAGGGTTCTCTAGAGGGACAGAACTAATAGGATAGATGTATATATAAAAGGGAGTTTATTAAGGAGTACTGACTCACGATCACAAGCTGAGGTCCCATAATAGGCCGTCTGCAAGCTGAGGGGAAAGGAAGGCAGTCTGAGTCCCAAAGCTGAAGAACTTGGAGTCCAATGTTCGAGGGCAGGAAGCATCCAGTACGGGAGAAGGATGTAGGCCAGAAGACTAAACCAGTCTAGTCTTTCCAAGTTCTTCTGCCTGCTTTTATTCTGGTTGTGCTGGCAGCTGATTAGATTGTGCCCATCCAGATTGAGGGTGGGTCTGCCTTTCCCAGTCCACTGACCCAAATGTTAATCTCCTTTGGCAACACCGTCATGGACACACCCAGGAGCGATACTTTGCATCTTTCAATCCAATCAAGTTGACACTCAATATTAACCATCACAACAACTTAAATGTTCTCAAGTATTAAAAAAAAAAAAAAAAAAAGCCTCTGGCAGCTGTGGAGTGAATAGTTCTCTTTGCTTGGGCCCAGGAGGAATCCCAGGCCACAGACTGTCACTGGGCTGAACTCAGGATTTCCAGGCCCGCAGCTCCTAGTGTTATCAGTAACCTAGTTCTAACTTCCATACCCAGTCAACAGTGTAGGGAG
Source organism: Homo sapiens (assembly GCF_000001405.40). NCBI lineage: Eukaryota > Metazoa > Chordata > Mammalia > Primates > Hominidae > Homo > Homo sapiens. The sequence goes on along the minus strand of NC_000004.12, from coordinate 48,161,435 downwards.
GAGAAGATCGGAGAGATCAGTGCTGGAAAAGAAAGCAGATTCGTTGTGATGGTTAATAACAGGATGTTCTTGGTGGAAAGATGGTAAAGGGAGAAGGTGACAGAAATGAAAGCGCCCTTAGGACTGGAAAAAGCTTAGGATAAAGGCTTTGAGTGGGTGGCATAGTTAGAAGGGCAGAATTAGAGAACAAGCTAAGATGTATAACTGGTTGGTTTTATGTTTTTCCTTTGTTCTACCTCTTGTCTTCTTTTCATGATTTATTCTCACCCATTCTCACCAAGAAGCTTGGCAAGGGTCTGACCTTTCCGGGTTAAAAGATGAAATGCCCTCAAACCTCTTCTTTCCTTATTGACACTGCTATTTTGGGGTAACTAGCTAATCTGAAAAACTAATTCACATTAGGGATTTAATATCTAAGAAGAATCTGACAAATGACCTACAAATTCAGGGCCTAATTTCTAGATGTATAGTTCCTTCATCAAAAGGTATTAGCCTCTAATAAAGCTTTTCTGTGGCATGCTTTTTTTTTTTAAATCCCTACTTTTCAACCCGCTGCTTTTGAATTAATTCCTTCCTCCCTTCCTCCCTCCCTCTCTCCCTCCCTCCCTCTGTCTCTCTCTCTTTCTCTTTCTCTTTCTTTCTTCTTTTCTTTTCTTTCTTTCTTTTTTTCTTTTCTTTCTTTCTTTCTTTCTTTCTTTTTTTTTTTCTGGAGACAGAGTCTTACTCTGTCACCCAGGCTGGAGTGCAGTGGTGCAATCTCAGCTCACTGCAACCTCTGCCTCCCAGGTTCAAGCAATTCTCCTGCCTCAACCTCCTGGGTAGCTGGGATTACAGGTGCCCACTACCACACCCAGCTCATTTTTGTATTTTTAGTAGAGACAGGGTTTCAATATGTTGGCCAGGCTGGTCTCAAACTCTTGACCTGAAGTGATCCACTGGCCTTGGCCTCCCAAAGTGCTGGCATTACAGACGTGAGCCACCTCCCCTGGCCAAAGGTTTTTCTTTCAATTGTTGGGCCCTCTTTCTCCTGTCTCTGGACTGCTGCGCTGGCAACATGGTTGTTCCCAGCATTGGAATTAGGCTTGGGTGTGTGTTCTACTTCAGGACCCCATTGATTAGCATAACAGTAGGCAAATTTTAACCTCTTAGAATCAGTTTTCTCATCTTTAAAAGGTCAATAGGAACCATTTTAGCACTGCACAGGCTTTGAGACCAGACCTTTGGTTCAGTTTTTGGCTTTGCTGTTTCCCAGCTGTATGCCCTTGAGATATATTTTGCTTCTCTGTTTCTCAGTTTTTTCATTTGCAAAACAGTGGTGATAATACTACTTAACCTCCTAAGAGTTGTGAGGATGAAATGAGGTAATAAATGTAACGTGCTTAGAGCAGCACCTGACTGCTGTGGCTTGGATCTGGAGACCTTGCCAAGTCTCATGTTGAAATTTGATCCCCAATTTTGGAGCAGGGGCCTGGGGGAAGATGTTTGGATTATGGAGGTAGAGATCTCCCTCATGATGAATGGCTTGGTACCATTCTCAAGGAAGTGAGTTCTCACGCTTAGTTCCCACAAGAACTGGTTGTTGAAAAGAGCCTGGGCTTGGCACAGTGGCTCACACCTGTAATCCCAATACTTTGGGTGCTGAGGTGGGCAGATTGCTTGAGGTCAGTAGACCAGCCTGGCCAACATGGTGAAACCCCATTTCTACTAAAAATACAAAAAGTTAGCTGGGCGTGGTGGCGGGTGCCTGTAATCCCAGCTACTTGGGAGGCTGAGGCAGGAGAATCGCTTGAACCCAGGAGGGGCAGGTTGCCAAGATTGCGCCATTACACTCCAGCCTGGACAACAAGTGTGAAACCCCATCTCAAAAAAAAAAAAAAAAAATTAGCGTGGTGGCATGTAGTTGTAGTCCCAGCTACTTGGGAGGCTGAGGCAGGAGAACCACTTAAACCCAGGAGGTGGAGGTTGCAGTGAGCCGAGATCGTGCCACTGCACTCCAGCCTGGGCGAAAGAGCAAGACTCTGTCCCAAAAAAATAAAAAAGAAAAGAGCCAGGTGCCTCTCTCTTCTCTTGCTTTCTCTGTCTTGCCATGTAATGTCTGCACGCCAGCTCCCTTCATCTTCGGACGTGAGTGGAAGCAGCCTGAGGCCTTTTTTCAGATGCTGGTGCTGGCACCATGCTTCTTGTACAGCCTGCAGGACCATGAGCCAAATATACCTCTTCTCTTTATAAATTAGCCAGCCTCAGGTATTCCTTTATAGAGGTGTGTGGTATCTGTGTCACATTTTACCTGTGTGTATAGTTATTCCTGACAGGAGAATTCAGGGGAGCCTTTGTTGTCTTTTTTTTTTTTTTCTTGCCTGGAGATAGATAATCACAGGAGAGGAGAAAGAAGCCACCAAGAACTGAACTGTTAGAAAATCCCGACCATGAGTTAATTCATTTATTTATTTGTGTATGACTCCTTCCTCCTTTCTGTCTTTCAACAGACACTTAAAGGTCTGAATTGATATCCCAAAGAAGGGAACATCCTTTCCAGGGAACATCCTTTCCAGGGAACTTGCCAACACCATAAAAATGATCCCTCAGAACAGGATTTTCAAGAGCCTTCCTTTTGTGCAGTGGATTCCTTCTTTCCTCCTCCTTCTGAGGAGCTGGAAACAGTAGATGAGGAAGGGACCTCCTTCTTTTTCTGAGTATCTTATGTTTGGTTTCCTCTTGAGAGCTACAATTTAGCTTCACTGATTTCTTGTATCTGAACCCAAGATGAAACCACCTTTGCTTACTCTTATTGTGAAGATGGACTGGATCTTCTGTTTTTAATAACTTTTTTTCAGTCTCTCAAATCCTGCTACTTTATAATTCATAATTAAAGCTCCAGGTGTGTTTCCTTAGTTAATTTTTGTGAATGTTTTTGGCACTTGACAAATGTTTCTTATATCAGTGGAAAAGCGTTAGGGTCAGAATTCTGTTCTCCTAATTTACTATATTTCTTAATTGCATTCAGAAATGTATTGATCACAACTGCAATTTTGTTGAACTTGGTCTCATTTTATAAAGCGGGATCCATGTAATGAGATGTTTGCAATTCTGAGGCCTGGTTCAACACCTCCGATTCCAAATAAAATATCTAACAGTCTTTAGCTTGGATTGAGGCTGTAATTTGCATTTGGCTACTATATAAAAGAATCTGGACAGAAAAAGATCTTGTATTGTCTTTTTTGTTCTTTGTGTTTTTCCCTTCTTTAGTCAGGGAAGGCCTGTGTTTCCCTGTTTTAGGGTTTTTGCTGGGCCAAAAGCAGGTGCTGGTTCTCTTATGGAAGGCTGAAGCAGTACTGGGAAATTTAAATGTCCAGAGGAGCTGAGCTGATTTTATAACATTTGAATTCTCAGGGTATATGACTGTGGTGGAGAATTCTTTGCCAACAAGTAAGGATCTAACAAAATAAGTTTAAAACCAAAGACCGAAGAAAATTGTCTATGTTCTTATAGCCTATTTGCTTAAATCACATGGAGGGATTGATTATGCTGGGGAAAGTAGAGAGAGGCAAGTATCTCTGAGGATGAGGTGGTTAATGACAGTATCAAGAAAAGGGCTTTCCAAAGGATAAGAAGAGGTACAGGGCCAGGCATGGTGGCTCATGCCTGTAATCCCAGGATTTTGGAAAGCCAAGGTGGGCAGATCCTTTGAGGCCAGGAGTTCGAGACCAGCCTGGCCAACACAGTGAAACCCTGTCTCTACTAAAAATACAAAAATTAGCTGGGTGTGGTGGCGCATGCCTATAATTCCAACTACTCAGGAGGCTGAGGCAGGAAAATTGCTTGAACCTGGGAGGTGGAGTTTGCAGTGAGTTGAGATTTCACTACTGCACTTTAGTCTGGGTAATGGAGCAAGACTCTGTCTCAAAAAAAGAAGAAGCGGTGCAGATTGGCAGGGCCTTGGGATGTGGCACAGGGTGGTGGAAAGATCTGGTGGGAGGGAAGACCAGCTGCTTGGTCATGGTAGACATTTCTACAATAGAGTCTTGGGCAACCACAGGGCTTGGGGTTCTGCTGGAAACCAGTAAGTCTGAAGACCCAGGAGGCCTGTGCTTATGTTTTGCCGTTTCTTTTGTCACCTGGGACCTTTGTGAAATTCATTGAGGGAGCCTCCATTATGACTTGAGATGAAATCTGCTGCCATATTGATAGGAGGAGGGCTTGGAATAAGATTTAGTTTGAATTACAGACAATAATACAAAGGGACACTTCCTGCATGTTTTAGTCAGTGGAGTAAAATTCATTCTTGCCATGATTCTAGTAGTGAAAAATTAAAAATGATTTTTATGTTGAACAGTGAAGAAGAGCTTAAATAAATTATGACACATGCATACTATCATATGTAGACCTATATTGATTTGCAAAAATATCCTATAATGTTATATGAAAAATTCAGGTTATCGTATAGCCTATGTAGTTTGATCTCACTTTAATGAAACATAAGAATATGGGCATACATACATGTTTTCATAGAAATATGGGTAGAAAAAGTCTGGAAGTATATACATCAAAATTATTAGTTGTCTATTATTGAAATTATGAGTGATATCTTGTTCTTATTTGTTATATTTATTATTGATGAGCAGAATTACTTTATTAATTCTGAAAAGAATAAAATATATCCTAAAAACCTGAGGCCTGAAATGTATTGTTTTTTCTGTTCAGATGGTATTGCAGAAATATGAATAGAAGCAAGGCAGAGCAACTCCTCCGCAGTGAAGTAAGTGTTTGTACTTGTGGGTTTGGCTTAAGGGCAAATTAATTTTAATGAGTCCATAATAAGTAGTTCCACATATCTCTCTTTCTAAATGTGTTCAGCAGTGAGCAAGTCTATGCAAAACTATTCCCAGAGGCTGAGGGAGCTGAGAGGCTGAAGAAAGAGGCTGACAAATCCAGTTTCTAGAAATAAATATTTAATAGGGACTTACAAACAGAAGTAATCATGGGTGGCCTCAGGACAGTTATCCCCACACCTGCCCTCTGGACATTATTCTTTATATAGCAAACTTTTAGGGTGAAACATGTGCAGCTGGACATGTCTTCAGCCTTTCTTACCAACACACATGACCACTGGTGAGGTTAGATAAACATCTTTATGAAAGCATTGTTTAAACACCTTGCTGCAGAACACCTTGATAAGTGGGGATCGAGCACTGGTCATCATTGCGGTTTCACTTCAAGGTTACATCACTCTTGCCATGTAACAGGCTGTTTTCCTACACGCTACACCTTGAAACTGGCCCTTACAATTTCATATACCCAAAGCCTTGGTAAAATAACCAGTGTGGTTATTGTAGCAGTGGTGTCCCCAGTATGTCCTGTTACAAAAGAAAACATATTCTTATTGAACTTATGCAAGTAACTGTATTGCCACAAAATAAGAATACTCACAAATAGCTTCTAAATTTTGAAGAAATCAGGTAGAGAGAATAGTTAGTGCTTCAGTTTGGCTCTCAAAAGTATACTTTACTCAATTGCTGTAAGTTTTAAATAGTTCAAAACACACAAAAACACATTTTCTTGACTCTTCTTCAGAGTAGCAGTCTTCTGCACAGGATGTTGTCCATTCACCTTGGAACTGCCATCCACAAACCTAGCAACTCTTGGTAGGTCAGTTGAGAGCTGTTTATTGGGCACTGTAGAATCCAGCAGCTACTCACACAGTTCCAGAGTCAGTCTTTGGGTTAGAGAAGCCCCCTGCTCATGAGTGTCTCCTCCTTGCACCCACCAGATAGTGTGATCCTGTATCAACTATTTCCATTTTATGATGGAACTCTTTTAGATACTGCTGTCTCTATTAGAGTGTTCCTCTGACATCACCTGAAACAGCATGGACATTTCAGGTGTCAAGATCATTTTATATTCTTCAGTCATAGATGTAGCTATAGTTAGCATCCATAGCAAGGCAGTAAATGCCCGTCTAGTAGAAGTTCTGTAGTCCAGAGTCCCAGTAGTTGTCACTGGGAGGTGCTAACTGGCTTTTGCCATAAGACCTACTAAACACTCAACAAAAGACTATCAAGTAGAAAATTTGTCCCTACCAGCATTCCAACTTCCTCTACGCTATGAGCTTGGGCAGTTATACTGGCTCCCATTTATCATGTCCAATTAATATTGCTTGAAAGGCAGATTTACATGCCCTCTGTTTTACAATAGAAGAAACATTCCCTAGTCAGATACAATGTTCATTCCCATAAAACATATAGATAAAGGAGACACAGCTACTTTACATAAAGCCTGTTCAAACATTCCAACTTTCATAGTCTTATAAACCTTTATGATTTTATGTTTTAGTCCTAGGAACTTCTTTTCTCTACCTCCAGAACATTTTACCCTCTGTTGTGCAAAAGGCTTTAGGTTCCCAGTAGGGGGTTGAGCCAAGGGACCCTGGCCCTTTTGTCAGTCTTTATCTTGATTAACCTGCTTCAGTTTTGCCCTGAAACAATTGTTGGTCAGCCTTATCATTATAATCCCTGTCTTTTAGCTTTTTAAGTTTCTGCAGACTGGGGATATAGCAAACTAATTTTGGGCTCTTTAATGTTGGGGACTCAGCAGGGGCTTCTTTTAGTCCACACAACCTTCAATAGTGTTGTATTAAGACCCTTGTTTTAACCCCATAAATTTCCATTTTATTCATTTGATTTTTTTAATAACCATCCAAAGATTTCCTCCCTGCTGGGACAAGTTCCATGACTCTTTCCTTTCTTTTTCTTCATTCTCTTTCTACCCATTTAGTTTTATCTATATCATTTTTTCCCTTCATTTTGAAACAACCTTTAAATAACCTCTAAACTAGAAAAAATTACTTTTTCTTAAGCAAAAACCATATCCTATCTTTTATGTAGCCTTCTTCACCAAAAACTCATCTTCCTTTCTTTATACACTGTGTATATAGAATTGTTTCTCTTACATGTGGTAGTTTTAATTACATACACTAACTACTATTGTAATTCTTAGTAGTACTAATTTCCAGTAAAAAATCTAGGAAGTGATTAATTTTAATTAAGCTCACATGCAAGTCAAGCAAGTGTCAAGAAGGTCACAGAAGCAGCAGTTTTATGACCTTAATCAGAGACAACCTAAACCTGTCTGACCAGTAGGTCTAGGCAAAATGTCTGAATTAAATTCTGAAGATGTTTCTATTTTATTTTACCAACAATTTAAAAACTAGTTTCATTTACCAAAAGTTTTCTTAGATCACATAGAAATGTCACACACACATAACACATATAGACATATAGGCATACAGGCACACAGGAGCAAACCTTACAGCTTTCATAAGGAGTTGTCACTGCCAGCTTTCAGATAGTTTTCATTTTCCCTTTTGTTAGCACAGCATACCCTGTAGCAATTTATTTTTCATCCTGAAAGTAAAAGTTGCTTTATCAAGTCCCATGAAAACCTGAGCATAGATGGTTTACCTCATTCTTAATTCTTAGAGAAGCCCCTGGGGCTTTCCACTGACCACCACAAGGTTGTCCCTCCTGGTAAATTTCCTTCATTAGGCCAAACCTCTGTCACAGCCAGAATGATCCAGGCCATAAGGCTACAATTCCCTTGTGTATGCCTTGCATTATGAAGGCGTTGCTGCAGGGCTGGGTGGGTAGTAATGTCACTCATTTTTTTCTGCTTCATTCCTGGCTAGGGAAATACCATCACCCACTGTGTCCCGCAGTTAGACCATCCAAGCAGCCAGGGGTTCCCTAGGTAGTTGTTGTTGTTGTTGTTTTTAACTCATTTGTGCTGGAGGTTGCAAATTTTTTGTGTGTGAAAAATCAGACCTTGGTGATGACTTTGAGCAGTAGAATATAAATAACTCCCACAGCTTAGTGTTCCAATAATGGAACACTAGGCATAAATGGGTTAAAGGCTAATCAAGTGACGCAGTGGGAGTAGAGAAGGAAAAAAGAAATCTGTAACTGGTTGTCATCAATTAGTAGTAAACACTACTGTGCTAGGACCACCCAGTAGTTGGTTAAAGGTCTTTGCAATCTCTGAGTTCTGCAGCAGTGTATTCCCTGGCCGGGAGAGTCTCCTGTAGTGGCTCATCCTCATTTTCCTGCAATTGTTGCACTTTCACTTTCCTTAGCATGAGGGGCAAGCTTACTCTAATGCTTTCTTCCTGATTGATCATTTGCTCCCTTGACTTTTAGTACTTAAGTATTTCTTTTTTTTTTTTGGCTTGAAGTTAGTTATTTTAAAATAATTTACATTGATATTACATAATGTCTTTTATAAATAAAGCGTTAATAGATGTTTAATTCCATTTAGAAATAAATGTGCTGAAATTGCTATACCTTTAAAAAGAAATAAAATGAAAGGGTAAAATGTATAGAGGGAACTACTCTGTGCTGAGTAAGGGGACCTGGGTCTACCTGTGACTTTTCTAGTCTACTTTTTGCATCTGTAAGAAAAGGAGTTAGACTAGAAGATGATCTCTACAATTCTCTGCATTTCTGATTTAGTATTCTATTTAGTTATTGTTTCCAGCCTTTTAAACTCATGCTTTCTCATTTTACCTCCTGCTTATTATCATGCTCAAGATTTTGTTGAGTGCTTGTTTTTGTAGTTGATGTTAAAAAAACAATAGTAGGTGACTTTGCTTGACAACTACACATAACCATGCCCACAGGATTCTTCCATGACTCTCTGGAGACCCTACAGTGAGAGGCAGATGTAGGGGAGTGAGTAGCTAAATGGCAGCCTGGGGACCAAATCCTGGCTCTGCTACTTACTAGCTGCATGACCTGGTGCAAATTACCCAGCCAGTCTTTCTGTTCTCATTTCCTTACCTGTGAAATAATGTGGGAATAACAATAGTACCTATGTAATAGGACTGTTTCGATGATTAAATAAATTAATATGCTAGAACATTAGAACAGAATAAATTTTCGATAAATAAGTGGGTTGCTGTTAGACTGTATTTATTTATTTATTTATTTATTTATTTATTTATTTATTTATGATAGTATCTCTCTCTGTCTCCCAGGCTGGAGTGCAGTGGTATGATCTCAGCTTACTGCAACCTCCACCTCCAGGATTCAAGTGATTCTCTTGCCTCAGCCTCCTGAGTAGCTGAGATTACAGGCGCGCACCACCACGCCTGGCTAATTTTTAGTAAAGATGGGGTATTTTTAGTAGAGGTGGGGTTCTGCCATGTTGGCCAGGCTAGTCTTAAACTCACGACCTCAACTGATCTGCCTGCCTCGGCCTCCCAAGGTGCTGGGATTACAGGTATGAGCCGCTGTGTCCGGCCTCTGTTATACTTTTTACTGACCAGTTACAATTATTATCCCTAATTGTTACCAGATATTTTTGTGGAGCCTTATTTATTTAATTCCATTGTTTTTCCTATCAAGAAGAGTACAATTTATTTTATTTTTCAACTAATAAAGGACACACTTTTCATTTTAAAGCAATTTAAATACTAGAGATTGATGGTAGTGTTACTGGACAGAGAGGTATTTGAGGTTCGTAGGGTCTATTTCTTGCTTTTCAGTTTGGAAGCTGAGAAAGATTTGACCTTTAGTGCTTTAGCATTGTTTCCAACTATTGATTTTCTCTGTTTAAGTTACTTGTGCCTCCATCTCTCCTTTTGTAAAGGCTGATATTTGGCTGGGTGTGTTGGCTCACGCCTGTAATCCCAGCACTTTGGGAGATCAAGGCGGGTGGATCACTGGAGGTCAGAAGTTCGAAACCAAGCTGGCCAATGTAGTGAAACCCCGGCTCTACTGAAAATACAAATATTAGCTGGACATGGTGTTGCACACCTGTAATTCCAGCTACTCGGGAGGCTGAGGCAGGAGAACTGCTTGAACCCAGGAAGTGGAGATTGCAGTGAGCTGAGATCGCACCACTGCACTCCAGCCTGTGCAATAATGTGAGACTCTGTCTCAGAAAAAAAAGACCGATATGACTGATATTTAACTTCAACTTCTAGAGAATTAAGAATTTTTAAATTCATTCTTATAAAAAGCACTGAGACATTTTTAGGAAAATTCAGCATGGATTGAAAATCATACTGAGTCAGGAATCAAAGCTTATAACAAATACAAAAAATGTATGAAATGAAACCCAATCATTAAGAAATACATTTTTTCATGACAGTTTTCCTACATGTCCAGGCCTTACAGGAATTGCAAAATCTTGTCTCTCAGTTCTGGAAGGGCACTGAGAGATTATCTGATTGAAATGTCTCACCATTCATGAGGATTTGTGATTGTGGGGAATTGAGTGTGATTTCCTTAACTACTCTCCTAGCGCAGTAATTTGAAGTACAAAGTCATGTGGGTGGGAGAAACCAAGGGGCCCTACTGGTAAGTTGTGCTTCTTCAAAGCATTTTTTTCTGGGAAAGAATAATAATCATAAAATTATAATATTAGGTTCTTTAGTCTTCTCCATGGCAATGCTATTAGTAATTAGAGTAAAAAAAATTTTTTCTGAACTTGGATTTTAGGATAAAGAAGGTGGTTTTATGGTAAGGGATTCCAGTCAACCAGGCTTGTACACAGTCTCCCTTTATACCAAGTTTGGAGGGTGAGTAATCCTGCCATTTTTTTTTATAATTTAGAGTTTTTGTATGAACTTCCTATGTAGTTTATATGGATTCCTAATTTTCATAAAAATATGCAGCATTTCACCATTAAAAAGAAAACCTGAACTTGATTTCTAAAGTGTATATACTGTTTTTTGTATTTATATTTTCAGTAATTTTCCTTATAGTTTTTCATATATATTTGTTGAGTATGGCTATAATAACTTTAGTAACATTCAACAAACATTTATAGTGAACTGTGCTGGTCACTAAGGATAAAAATATGAGCAAAGGAGGCAGAGACCCTGCCCACCAGTAGGTTAGTAGATGCTGCAGCCCAGTAACAGAGAGTGATGGTAGTAAGTGCCATGTGGGAGGGTAATGTGTGTGTGTGGCGGGTTTGGGGATGGGGGATGGTACATACACAGCCCAGGCACATCTTGAGTTAGTCATGAACGCTCTCCCAAGTGATATCCAGGCTGAGACCTGATAGGCGAGCAGGAAAAACTTGGAGGGAGGAGACGGAGTGTTTCTGACCCAGGAAATTGCCTGGACCTAGACGGGAGAGAGTATATGGTGAGTTCAAGGCACTGAAAAGTATGTTGTAGCTGCAGGTAGAATGGGAGCACAGAGTGAAGGGAGGAGAGAGAAGCCTCAGAGTTGAAGCAGAGGCAAGTTCATGTCAATGTCAGTGACTCTGAGCTTTACCCTAAGAGCAACAGGAGTCATCTTGAAAGTATTTTTAGCAAGAGAGGACTAGAGAAGATCTGTGCTCTAGAAAGGTCCCTCAAGTTGAATATTTAAAAGTCTAATTTATTCACTATTGGTGATTTAAGTGTTCTAGACATTTGTAAGTTTATGCAACAGCAGGAACAAAAAGCAGTAGCTGCTAATAGCTATTTTAAGACTTCCAACTGTTGTTAAATGGAATTCATAAATGTTCTCTTTCAAAATCTCATGCAAAGGGCCAAGTATGTTTTCAGTGAGTAATTTAAAAACTTTGACATGCTAATATGAAAGACAAAGCTAAGAAGAACAAGGGGAAAGTAAAATTTGTGCCAGGAATAGATGGGATCATATGGAGAGACACTGTGGTTGCCCTTGTAGAAAACATCTTAAGAATGAAGTTCTATTATTTCAACTTGGTTCTGACACATTTTGATTTTTGTTCTAGAGAAGGTTCATCGGGTTTTAGGCATTATCATATAAAGGAAACAACAACATCTCCAAAGAAGTATTACCTAGCTGAAAAACATGCTTTTGGCTCCATTCCTGAGATTATTGAATATCATAAGCACAATGCAGCAGGTAAGTGAGCTGTGAAAACCTACTTCAAATATAAGGTAGTGATTAAAATGATCAGATACTGTGATTAATTCCTTGAGCAGTTTTATTTTATAGTTAGTTCATTGTAGAATGTGGTTGATTTTAAATTACTGCATATTAAAGGAATGATATATACAAAGAAAATTTAGAAATAATATCAAGTTTTATAAAAAGCTCTGTCTTGACCTTAGGACATGAGTTATTCCAGTGGTATATAGTAAATGTTCACATTACATTTATACACTGTTGGTGGCAGTGTAAATTAGTTCCGCCATTGTGGAAGACAGTGTGATGATTCCTCAAAGACCTAAAGACAGAAACACCATTCAAGCCAGCAATCCCATTACTTGGGTATATACCCAAAGGAATATAAATCATTCTATTATAAAGACACGTGCATGTGGGTGTTCATTGCAGCACTATTCATAATAGCAAAGACATGGAATTAACCTAAATGTCCATCAGTGATAGACAGGATAAAGAAAATCTGGTACAGATACACCATGGAATCTATGAAGCCGTAAAAGAAGAATGAGATCATGTCCTTTGCAGGGACATGGATGGAGCTGGAGGCCATTATCCTTAGCTAACTAACACAGGAACAGAAAACCAAATACTACATGGTCTCTCTTATAAGTGGAAGCTAAATAATAGGAATACATGGACACATAGAGGGGAACAACACACACTGGCATCTTTTGGAGGGTAGAGGTTGGGAGGACAGAGAGGATCAGGAAAAACAACTAATGGGTACTAGGCTTAATACCTGGGTGATGAAATAATCTGTACAACAGACCCCCATGACACAAGTTTACCCATATAACAATTTGCACTTGTAACCCTGAACTTAAAAGTTTAAAAAGTTCACATTTATGTGGTATATATGTCCTTGACACTAAAGTCCAAGATATGTCTATTTCAGAATAGTCACAGAAGATGCCAGATAAGCCAGGATTCAGTCCTATGCTATAGGTTTCCAGAGACTAGAGTAATCATGTCCCACAAGTTAACCGTCTTGAATCTCTGGTACACTTACCACCAGAGTGGGAACAAACTGAATACCAAAAAATAACAGAAACCACATTCATGAAAATTAGAGTTCCACAGGATTATATAGAAAGATTTCCAGCCTTTGACTTTAAAAATGTAACTGGGCAGGGATAGCCCAGTGCTTCACACAACTTATGAAAAATTTTGAAATTTTATTGAAGGCACCCTTTGCAAAGCCTATTATTTTGTGACTGTTCACTTTTTTTTCAGATAATAATAATGGTTATTTAGATAAAATTTACATACTATAAAGCTCACCCATTTAAAGTATACAATTCAGTGGTTTTTAGTATATTTACAGAGTTGTGCCAACTATCAGCATAATCTAATTTTTTTAAAGAACATTGTCATCATCCCAAGAAGAAATCTTGTGTCAAATAATTGTCATCCCATCCCCCTTCACCAGCCCAGCCCCAGGCAACTATTAACCTACTTTCTGTCTCTCTTATAGATTTGCCTATTCTGGACATTTCATATAAATGGAATTATACAATATGTGGTCTTCCGTGACTAAGCTTCTCTGACTTAACTGTTTTTGACATTGTCATGTTGTAGTATGTAGATGTATTCCATTCCCTTTTTTAAAAACATACATCACAAGTTTATTGAAATAATCAGATAATATAAACAAAATGAACAGGGCTTGACACATAGTAATTGCACAATAACTTCTACCTATTATTGAGTTACAACCCAGAGCCTAACACAATATTTGTGGAATGCTTAGGTTCTCAGGCCAGCATACAAGTCTACATTTAACTCTTAAATAAAATAACAGTTTCAAATTGAGTATAATAATGCTAAATGGTGAGACAGGATCAACCCCTCTATCTCCAAATATAGGGGGATTATCTTACCATCCACCTGTTGTATTAGAAAGTCATGCTTCATCTACTTATGGAAGCCAAGACATAGCCTAGATATGTACAAACTATAGATATAACGATGTTAAGGAAAAAAATTGCTGACAATATCACTAGGGATTCTAGACAATGTAAATTGCCATTAATGTTTATTGCTGTGATGGACTTCCTGAACACATTGTTAGAAATTGGTTTGTGGCCAGGTATACAAATAATTCATTGTATGGATTTTATTATTCATCAGTTGATGGACATTTGGGTTGTTTCCACATTTGTTCTCTTATGAATAATGCTTCTGTAAACAGTTGTGTACTAGTTTTTGCATGGAAATATGTTTTCATTTCTTTTGGGTATTTACCTAGTTATGGGTATGCTGCGTCATATGGTAACTCTGTGTTTAACATTTCAGGAACTGATTTCATATCAATTTATATCTCATTCTGTTGTTTTCTTTTTTGGTGTTTTTGCTCCCTAATTTTTTCTTCCGTGTTCCTGTATAAGTTTTATTTTTCACCGTCATCTCAATTCATTCAACAAACATATATCAAGTGCCTACTGCATGCCAGAAACAGAGCCAGGCTTTGGGGAGACTTCAATATTTCAGTGGTGGACTAGGTGTAGTCACTGATCCTGATTTTCCCAGACCCTACCACTTGTGGGGAGACAGAGAAGTACATAACGATTTTAAATTGCTTTGAGATATCTTGTAGTAGAGGAAATACAGAGTGCTATGGGTGTTTATGGAAGAGACATCTCCTGTTTCTTATTTAGTGCTGTATGCGACTTGGGTTAAAAGATCCACACTGATTTCCAGTAGTTGGTATTCCCAGTTGTTGCTATCCTAGAGCCCGATTTGTATGCTAAGATTGCTAATACTGAGTCATGTCAGGTGAATAACTTCCATTTTTAGCAGACTAATCTAATTCCCTTTCATAGTTCAGCTCTCATATTGGAAAAGAACACGAAATAACTGTTAGAAACCTTTTAACATCCTTTAAAATATTTGAAAAAAGAGAAAGCTGGCATGGTGCCTGTTAAACACTGTAGTATTTAAAAGAAAATGTTTGTTGAATGAATAAAAGCATATAGCAGAGTGCTGTATGTACACACAGAGGATGAGCAGTAAATGAATAAATGATGAATTTTCTAAGTGAGTTTCCTGTAGCATGTGACCAAGCAGAATGATTATGAATGAGTTTGACTGCAACGCTTTCTTTGATTATTAGGACTTGTCACCAGGCTTCGGTACCCAGTTAGTGTGAAAGGGAAGAATGCACCCACCACTGCAGGATTCAGCTATGGTAACTCTTATTTTGTGGTTGCATGAGCTAATTTTCCTTGAAAAGAATCCATTGTCATAAGATAAATTTGGATGTGTACTATTTCACATACTGGAACTGTTTTTTATAAGTTTATAGTATAGGTTTTTAGATAATTATACTTAAGACCATAGCAGCCTAGGTATTCAATTTTCATCATTATTCATAATTCCATAGAAAACTTTCTGTCAGTGAAAAATAAGCATTATCATGTTAACATCTAAAATAAATCAAAGCCCTTCCTGGTTCTCACTAGCTTTATTGGCTACAAGAACGTGAGTAAGGATGGAGGTAAGAAAGCAAGCTTCCAACTTAATTGTCTTTGTTGCTTCTGGCAAAAGCCTTTAAAACAGCAAATTAGATTATTTCCAACTTGATGGAATTGAAAAAGAACAACAACAAAAAAAAAACCTGAGAAGGAAGAGTGGTAAAGAAGGAAGTATTTGTTTGACAAAAGTACCTTTAACTTTCAGGCTATATTATTATTAGCTTGTTATGCAGAATTGTCTTGCCTTCTTCATTTCACGTTGGTTAGAAGGGATTCATCCTTCCCACCTTTGGCAGTTCAGATGCAGGTTTCAAGTCTGTTCTGTGTTTTACCAGGAATTATTACAGTGTTATCCTGTAATTTTGAGGTTGATCTTGGTTGTAGGTTCTTTTTCCCCCTCTCTGATTCATGCTACATTTTCCTTTTTAAATATGAACACTTTCACTTTCTGTCCTGCAGAGAAATGGGAGATTAACCCTTCAGAACTGACCTTTATGAGGGAATTGGGAAGTGGACTGTTTGGAGTGGTGAGGCTTGGCAAATGGCGAGCCCAGTACAAAGTCGCAATCAAAGCTATTCGGGAAGGTGCAATGTGCGAGGAGGACTTTATAGAAGAAGCTAAAGTGATGATGTAAGTTGCTATCATCTTTCTGGCTCATCTTTTTGTATTAAGAAGTGGCCCCTTACCAAAAACTTGGTAGTTTCTTTTCCTATAGTAACTATATATATGTCTTCCTTCCCAGGAAACTGACACACCCGAAGTTAGTGCAGCTTTATGGTGTGTGCACCCAGCAGAAACCAATATACATTGTTACTGAGTTCATGGAAAGGGGCTGCCTTCTGAATTTCCTCCGACAGAGACAAGGTCATTTCAGTAGAGACGTACTGCTGAGCATGTGTCAGGATGTGTGTGAAGGGATGGAGTATCTGGAGAGAAACAGCTTCATCCACAGAGATCTGGTAACCCTAGCCACCCATATTCCCACTCATTGGCTGAATTCCTTTGTAACACTGGCTCAGCAAATGTGCAATGATGTATTAATAGCCAATTTTTGTTCTTAACAATCTTTCACCATTATTTTTAAAGTTGGTAAATTTAACTTGCCCTGTAATTTTAAACGAAAGATCTTTATTCAATCTAATGATTTACTTAGTTAATATCTCCAAGCAAGTTTCCATGTTTTAATTTTTCGATCTCCATAAGAATCCCATGAGATAGCTACTCACAGTGGATTCTCTTACCATCATTCTTGTACAGATGAGAAAATTAGCTTCAGGGAAGTCAAAAGGCTCGCCTACTGTGATAAATAGGGAAATTGGGGTTGGCCTTGACTTTCTAACTAGAGCCCAAGTTCTTTTCCACCTCACACACTATAAAAAGAAACTATAAGAGAAATCCTTTGGATTTTTAAAAAATCTCTCAAATCACTGGGAAAACATGGAGGTTCATGTTAACTTCTCAAAATGCTAGAAAAAGAAATCCGTTACCAGTTCTAAATTATGATGGAGACAATTTTTCCCTTCTCACCTGTTCTCACTCTCTCCTCCATTCTTCTTTTCCTTCTGTTTTTCTTCTCTACCTGTTCTTTACAGATGCTTTCAGCTATCAGTAGCACTCTGTCCCCTGAAAATAATCAGCTGAAAATGTCTGTTTTCAGCATATCGGTAGCACTGTCTGTCCCCTGAAAATAATTCTTTTACCAAGAAGAGTGTAATTTTCATTTGGGACTTTCTCCCATATTTTAGTTTTAGCTTTCTAGTGATAAAGCATGGACACATTTCTTTTAGAAAGCAGAAAAACTTTAAAAAAATTTTTTTTTCCTTTGAGACAGGTCTCACTTTGTCTTCCAGGCTGGAGTGCAGTGGCGCAATCTTGGCTCACTGCAGCCTCAACCTCCCGGGTTCAAGCGATCCTCCTGCCTCAGCCCCCAAGTAGCTGAGACTATAGGCACGTGCCACCATGCCTGGCTAATTTTTGTAGAGATGGGGTTTCACCGTGTTGCTCAGACTGGTCTCGAACTCTTGAGCTTAAGCAATCTGCCTGCCTCAGCCTCCCAAGTGCTAGGATTACAGGTGTGAGCCACTGCACCTGGCCTTAGCAAAACATTTTTTAAAGTTAACAGTCACCTTAGACAGACATTGTTCTGATAAGTATTTTACAAATAAACTTGTTTAATCATAATTCTGGGAAGTAGATTTTCTTATTATTCCCTTTTTACAGATGAGGAAACTGAGGTGCAAATAGGATAAAATAACTTCCAATGGGCAAGTAAATTGTAGAGCCAGGATTTGAACCCAGGAAGTTTGGCTCTAAAGTCCCTACTTAACTACTATGCTATGCTCTCTAGAATTAAAACATATTAGAGAATTGAAGATTTGGAGATGGAACACTTTATTTCCTAGGTGTGTTTTGGGATACTTACCTTATCTTATATTCAGTTTCTGTGTCTGTAAATTGTGGGTTATAATGTTGTTTGGCTTCCAGGACTGTTTTAAAGGTCACATTATTTGACTGGGGCAATGGGCTTTGTAAAATAGACATGCTGTAGATAACATCAGTTATTGTTATCATTGTGTCAGGGATGATGAAGAACATCTCGTCAGTTAAAACTTGTGAACTAAGAACTAAGAACAAAATAGATGTCCTTATAAAACTGATAAAAACTGAGTATCTACGTGGGTGTGGCAGATTACACCTGTCCACACAGATGATGTTTTGGCAAAAACGATTCTTACATTTCTGTGCCTGTGATATTGGTATTACTATGGTAGGTTTGTGTCACCCCTTATGGGAAACTTTGGATGCTCTTGTCTCCTTGGTAAAGAATCCTGTTGACCATCCAGTGCAGGCATTGTGGAGTTGTGAAGTGTTTTCATAGGAAGATGCAGGCAGTCCAGGGAATGGATATTAACTCTCACTTTATAAGACTCTTAAAATGCACTCAGCAAGAAGGAACCTCATATGAGTGGAATTGCCACATAGAGAAAATAGAATTATGAACAGTCAGGAAGAAAAACATATCTTGGTCTATGGGTTATGGTATTAAAAATATTATCGGCCAGGTGTGGTGGCTCACGCCTGTAATGCCAGCACTTTTGGAGGCCGAGGCGGGCGGATCACGAAGTCAAGAGATCGAGACCATCCTGGCAAACATGGTGAAACCCTGTCTCTACTAAAAATACAAAAAAAATTAGCCAGGCGTGGTGGCAGACGCCTGTAGTCCCAGCTACTCGGGAGGCTGAGGCAGAAGAATCACTTGAACCCAGGAGGTGGAGGTTGCAGTGAGCCAAGGTCGCACCACTGGACTCCAGCCTGGTGACAGAGCGAGACTCAGTTTCAAAAATAAAAAATTAAAAAATTAAAAAAAAATTCTTGTCTTCCTTTTGAGAAATACCACGTCTTTCTATCAAACTATTTTCTTAAACCTTGTAACCTTGAAGAACATGCAAGAAAATATAAATTAAATAATCCACAATTGTATTTGACCAATTTTGTACATCATGTTATAATATACTGGGAACATAAATGAAAAAGCAAACTGTATTTACACATAGCTGTTCTTTTTGAGACGGAGTCTTGCTCTGTCACCCAGGCTGGAGTGCAGTGGCGCGATCTCTGCTCACTGCAACCTCCACCTCATGGGTTCAAGCAATTCTCCTGCCTCCAGTCCTAGGTAGCTGGTACTACAGTTGTGTGCCACCACACTTGGCTAATTTTTTTTGTATTTTTAGTAGAGAAGGGGTTTTGTCATGTTGGCCAGGCTGGTCCCGAACTCCTGACCTCAAGTTATCCACCCGCCTTAGCCTCCCAAAATGTTGGGATTGCAGGCGTGAGCCACTGCACCCAGCCTGTTCTTTGACTGGGATGAGATGACCAATCACTGAGCAGAAATATTGGATAAGAGATTGGTCGCCCATCATTTTGATGGTTGTGTGTTATTAAGCTCACCTAGTGAGAACCGGATTAAGGACTTCAAGAGATGTTCTCATTGTCAGTAAGAAAATTGGATAGTTTAATAAGAACAGGTCTGGGAAGGAGAAAAGTGAGTTGACCCTTCTATTAGCCCTTGTTTAAGAATGACAGTTGGCCGGTGAGGTTGCTCGTGACTATAATCCTAACAATGGGGGAGGCCGAGGCAGATGGATGAGGTCAGGAGTTCAAGACCAGCCTGGCCAACAAATACAATAATTAGCTGGCTGTGGTGGTGGGTGCCTGTAATCCCAGCTACTCTGGAGGCTGGGGCAGAAGAATCACTTGAAACTGGAAGGTGGAGGTTGCAGTGAGCCAAGATTGTGCCACTGCACTTCCAGCCTGGGCGACAGAGGCAGACTCTGTCTCAAAAAAAAAAAAAAGAAAGAAAAGAAAAAAAAAAGACAATTGGTAAAGATTATGTAATAATGCCTTATTGCAAATACAACTTTCTGACCTGCCTATTCATTTTTTTCAAATACACAATGGAAATACTTCCATAGGGGTAAAAACAACTTATTAAAGGGTGTTTCCACTCTCTGCAAATGTTGACTAGGTTACACTAAATTTAATATAAATAGAACTTACATTTTCCTACTTAAATGATAGAATTTTTAAACTAATATACCATCATAATGTTGTTTTCCAGGCTGCCAGAAATTGTCTAGTAAGTGAGGCGGGAGTTGTAAAAGTATCTGATTTTGGAATGGCCAGGTATGTCCAAGTATACGTGGTTTTAGGTGATGTTTGCATTTTTTTGGTGGAATTAATAAGTGTGGGAATAATTTGCACTGATGAAGCAGAAAGGAAATCTTGTTAACTGGTTCTCAGATTAAATTAAGTATATATTGTGATGGTAGTAATTCTCTCCACTAGGTGGTAGTATAGCCTGTTAAATACACTGTATTTCCTGGTGTGGATTAGATTTCTAGAATCTTTTGTTTTCACAAAAACATATTTGGTGGTGAGGTTCTTAGTATGTCCATGTCTGCAGTGTTTTTCTTCTCTTAATTTTTATAATTTAATAGTATTATAAAATACCTTTTAAAGGTATTTAGTTTATTTTTTCTCTCTTCTCCCTCCGTCTATCCATTCATTCATCCATACATCCACCCATAAAAAATCAGGTGCCTGCTCTGTGCCAGGCATAATGATAAGCTGAACCATATAGAGAATAAGACCTACAAGTCCTTGCCCGCATGCAGCTTACATTGAGGAAGAGGGTGAATCAGAAGACCTGATAAAGTTACATGATCGAGCATGGTCGATACTGGTAAACTGTGGCTGTCAGTCTGACCCAAACCTCATTTGGGTTTCACATTTTTAAATGGATGAAAAAAATGAAAAGAATATTATGACATGTAAAAAAAAATCTGAAATTCCAATGTTGCTGTCCATAAAAATAGCGTGATTGAGACACAGCCTCGCTCATTCATTTAGGTGTTACCTGTGACTGCTTTCCTGCTACAGATGCAGAGTCAAGTAGTTGTCACGGGGACTGTATGGCCTGCCAGATCTGAAATATGTGTTATCTGGCCCTTTACATAAAAGTTGACTGATCCCTGTAATAGAGATAATTTGGGGTGGTGCTGAATGATGATGCAGGGCAAGAGTGAGGGTGGCTACTTGATCTGATGTTCAGGATGACCTCTTTGTGATAGGCAGATTTGACTGGAGACGAAAAGGTAGGAAGTAGCCAGTGTAGGTGAAAATAAAAGGATAAACTATTTCAGGTAGGAAGAAAAAGTGAAAAAGCTTGAAGTCTGGGACACGTCTGGCCTGCTCAAGGAACGGAAAAAGCGCCAGGGTAGCTGGCCAACGGGCAGCGCCAGGAATGCTCATAAATGCAGGCAAAGACCAGGCCATGTAGGGCCAAGTTTAACTCCTAAGGAAACTCAGGCCCAGGGAGATTAGAAAACTGTTACTGTCAGAAATGGGACCAGAACTTCCAACTCTTAGGATATTAATTACCCAATGCTCTTTATTTGCTTTTATATACAGATACTATATATTTGACAGGCTGTCTGCCGCTTTCATCTGTTCAATCTTCATATGTTAGGCTTTCAGAAAATCTGCACTTTTGTATCAACCACTCAAAAACCTCTTTATACCCTAAATTCAGACTCCACTGGCTGACAGTTTGATCCAGCCCACAGTGGCATTGTCTGCCAGCCAGCAGCTGGCTTTGTGCCGAGTCACCATCTTTGTCTACATAGCAAAGGATGTTTGTGCAATTCTTCGAAAATTTTCTCATGGAACCTTTTAGAAATTAATGGTATATTCACACACAATACAGAGATACATTCCTTTTGTAAATATGTGCTGCCCACCTTACAGAAAGGGCTGAAGTCTTTTCATCTACCAACCCTAATCAAGGATTCTCCCCTAAAGTTAGCTACTGTTACCAGTTTTTGTATGTTCTTCCAGAAGGACATTGTATGTTCACATAGAAAAATTATATAGTATTGTTTTGAGTGTATGTATGTATGTGGGGATGTTATGTATAAATACATACTCCACCATTTACATGTGGCATTTTGTGTTGTGTTTTTGTTTTTGTTTTTTTGCATTTGCTATTTTCATATGCTGTAGTTTTAAATTGTGCTCTGTGGAATTGGAGGCCTGAAAGCCTGTGTGTTTCTAGATGCTTTATACCACTTCCTCTGGAGCAGCTCTGCTTTAGATTTTTTACATATGGGGCCTTTGGGTAAAATTTTATTTAAAGAACAAAATTGCTTACAAAGAAAAGCTTGCAAACTATTTTATGATACCTTGTCTCTACTGCCTTATAAAAAGAAAGAAAAACAGAAAAATGAAAGTGCAGATGGTAACGTGGTGATGGATCCATCTCATGCACTTAAATTAAGCTGAGAGGAAGTTGGAAATCACCAGGTGTGGCCACTGAGGTGAACATTTAGCTTCAACCGGATGCTTGTTGGACTTCAGTCAACTGTGTTTTTGATTGCAAGGGGAAAAAAATGAAAGAGCAAGTAGAAAAAACAGATTGTTCTTCAGAGGTGTAAACCCATGGTGTGTCTTACTCTAGGTATGTTCTGGATGATCAGTACACAAGTTCTTCTGGTGCTAAGTTTCCTGTGAAGTGGTGTCCACCTGAAGTGTTTAATTACAGCCGCTTCAGCAGCAAATCAGATGTCTGGTCATTTGGTAAGATCCATGTTTCCTCATGTCCGTCCGCCCTGAGGAGAAAGTGGATACATCCATTTGGTAATCCTTATCCTTTTCCAGGTGTTTTAATGTGGGAAGTATTCACGGAAGGCAGAATGCCTTTTGAAAAATACACCAATTATGAAGTGGTAACCATGGTTACTCGAGGCCACCGACTCTACCAGCCGAAGTTGGCGTCCAACTATGTGTATGAGGTGATGCTGAGATGTTGGCAGGAGGTATAGATTTTTTGTGTGCTTTCTTTTTGAATCTCTTAGGGATTGGGCTTGGTAGATGGATAACATGCAGTCTTTATAGCCTAGTGAGGTGGTGCATCTTTATAGTGATTTCAAGCTCTAGGTAGGAAGCCAACCCTCTCAACTCAAGT
This sequence comes from Homo sapiens, assembly GCF_000001405.40. Lineage (NCBI taxonomy): Eukaryota > Metazoa > Chordata > Mammalia > Primates > Hominidae > Homo > Homo sapiens. Next base: position 48,138,515 of record NC_000004.12, on the reverse strand, counting down.
TCTGAATAACGGGAAGAAGAATGTAAAGATGTGGAAAATGCTAATAACTACCTCGATACATTCAGGCTGCTTCCTCACTTCCAAGTGGGACTCCTTCCATGGTTGCCTGAGATAGGGACTTGGGGAATAAGCCTGGATAAGTAGCTCTTTTTTCATTGGTTCACTTGTAGAGTTGAAGTATTATTTTTTTACCAGAGTTGGTTTCTTTCTCTAAACCTCAACTTTCCGAGGTCTTTGAAAGTATTGAAATGTTACCTCCTAAAAGAGATTAGATACCAAATGACTTCTGAAAGACAGTAACATTAGCTCACATGTATTATGTACCAGGCACTATACTTAGTGTTTTGGATTTAGTTCTCAAAACAACACTTTGAGGTGGAGATACTTTGACTGTAGCCACTCTGTAGATGAGAAGATTAAGGGTCATGAGGTTGCTGCTTGCCTGGGGTCACTTAGCTACAGAACAGTATAGGCCTGTCTGATTCCAAAGCCCAGAGTCTCAACCACTTGCTGTACTGCCTCCCAAGAGCATTGATTGGGATGGGCAGAGACATTCTGGGCAGGAAGTGGTGCTAAAGGGAGAGAGAACAGCTTGAGCAAAGGTAAGGAGGTGGTTATAAACACAGTGTGCACAACAGTGGAGACAGTGGCCCTATTTAACAGACAGCCCATGTGAGGGATTTTGTGGGGAACAAGATTGGGTAACAAGAGGGTCGGGAAGTGGCAGATTATAGAGGCTCCTACAAATTTGCAGGACTTGATTTCACAGGCAGTAAAAAGATCTATCAGGGTCTTGAAGAGAGACATGAAAGCAGTGTCTTAGAAACGTTAGCCTAGCAGCAGTACATGCAGGGTAAATTAGGGTAGAGACAAGACCCCTTTGGAGATGCCTGTATGTCCTAGTCCCAAAGCAGTGAAGTCTCTCTGTAATATGCTGTGTTTAGGAGTTGGAGCAGTGAGAGGTTTTGTGGAATGGATTCTGGAACCCACAGCTTCTCTTTGACTTTTAATTGTAGAAACCAGAGGGAAGGCCTTCTTTCGAAGATCTGCTGCGCACAATAGATGAACTAGTTGAATGTGAAGAAACTTTTGGAAGATAAGTGATGTGTGACCAGTGGCTCCCAGATTCCCAAGCACAAGGAAGGATGGGCATTTTGTGGCTTTTAATTTATTGAGCACTTGGACATGTAGATCATTTTACTTATACAGTGGAAACACATAAATAATTTGCTTCTAGACCAGCCTCTGTCTAGACTTGCTTCTAGACAGAATCTCCCAGAGTGTGGAAATGTTGCCTTAGAAATGGTGATTAAAATCACTCATTTCTATTCATTCCTCAGGCACTTGAGTGACAGTTGTTTACCAGGCACTGTGTGTAGCCCCAGGGTTTGGCCATTCAGGGGTGCACACATGGGACCATGTTAGCTGATGCCAGTTGAAGGCCAGGGTATTTGGGAAGGGGAAGGGTATTAGAGTCATGACCAAGCAACCCTTCTTTTTCCCTTTGACTTCTACAGAAATCTGGGCCTGAGACATTGTCTACAATTGGGTTCTAGATACATCAGGAACCCATCTTGGATAAATAAATACCTATCTTTTGTTTTGAAAACATCTCAGTTTTCAAGACTGCTCTTAGTATTACATGAACAATATTTGTATGCTGTATATATTGTAAATATATATAATATATAAAGTTATATATTTATGAGAAACACGAATTGTCTTTTAATTGAAACTTTTAATCCTGTAGTATAGGAGTTCACCTTCTTAGGACTAGAGACTGTGCCTTATAGCTGTTAATTCATTTCCCCCTGAACATCAAATATGCCTGAAGAGAAGAAAGTCTAGATTCTTCTATGAGTAACGCCCCCTCCTCACTCAGGTAAATGTGTCTGGGGATGCCTGTCCAGCTTAACCACGTGCATTTGGCCTATGTAATCCTGCCCATGGTGGCCGCAGCTAATCAGAATCAGATGGAAAATTAAACCGGGTAATCTACTTCTAAGCCTTAAGAATATTCCCTGGGACACAGACACTATAATTGGAAGTGCTGAGCTCTGGGGCAGAAGGATCAGGTGACCTTCGCAACAAAGTTTGCCCCCACCTCACATAGGACCCGGAAGCAGCCTGAGCTGTGGCGGAGGATCCAGGAAGCTACGGAGAGAAGCAGCCAGCATGGTGTTCCGTGCCTCCCGGACGTTTTTCAGGAGGCCTGGTTGGACTTGGGTTCCTGGATGGTGGGATTGTTGTACAGCCTCTCAGGAGACCCTGCTGTCAAGACTGTGTGTGTGGATTTCTCACCCTTAGAAGCTCTACTAAGACATCAACGGAATTAGGGCCTTCCTTTTTGCCTTGTGAGCGCCAAGGAAAAGAAACTATCTCGGTCACGTGAGCGCCAGCGAAAAGAAACTGTATCAGTCATCCAGAGACCGTTTATTGCCCAACACGTTATTCTTGCTGTTGGTGGGGTAACTAGCCGAGGAAGACACAGCGCCTTCCCTTCAGGAGTTGCGTCTCCTCTGCAGGCCACGATGGTCTGCTCTGGAGCATTGGGTGAACACACAGGCTGGCTGCTCTGGGCAGCGCCTTCACTCTGACCCTGGAGAACCATTTCATTTCATCCTGGTCAGTCTAGAGTCTGTGCACCAGGCAGTCCATCCACTGAAGGCTGTGTTTATTCTTTTCCTGTGCCCCTCATAATGGAAGAAAGTAAACTGCTTATCCCGAGCCTTATCACAATCTGCCACATTCCTTCTTGTCTACCTGTTTAACTGTACCCCCATCACAAAAACAGGCACAACTTTTTTTTTACATTCCAGGGTACATGTGCAGGATGTGCAGTTTTGTTACATAGGTGAACGTGTGCCATGGTGGTTTGCTGCACCTATCAAAAACTCATCACCTAGGTATGCATTAGCTATTTTTCCTGATATTAGCCTGATATATATATTTCCTGATATTAGCCTGGCATGCATTAGCTATTTTTCCTGATGCTCTCCCCTCATCTGCCCTCCCCAACAGGCCCCAGTATGTGTTGTTCCCCTCCCTGTGTCCATGTGTTTCATGGTTCAGTTCCCACTTATAAGTGAGAACATGTGGTGTTTGGTTTTCTGTTCCTGCATTACTTTGCTAAGGATAACGGCTTCCAGTTCCATCCATGTCCCTGCAAAGGACATGATTTCATTCTGTATAGCTGCATAATATTCCACGGTGTATATGTACCACATTTTCTTTATCCAGCCTATCATTGATGGGCATTTTGGTTGCTAACCATGCACAACTTTTAACTGACTTGTAGCTCATTGAAGGAGTCGGTCCTGGCACACTCTACCTTACTATCACTGTCAGCCTTTTCTCCTTCCTTCCTGACCTTCCCTCCTCCCATCCCATACTTCCCTTTTCACCTTGAGGAGCTACGGGAAGTACTAGGTGGTATGAAAGAGAGTGAGGAGAAGATAGAGTCCCTGTCCTAATGGTCAGTGTATGCTTTTTATGGGAAAACAAGATAGATAGCACCTGGCAACATTTGTCAACATTTCCTTCAAAAATCTTTAAATATTTTTCACTAAGACTTAGAAAAAAAGTTTTATACGAAAGCATAACAAAGGCAAAAGGTGAAGTAAAAATAACAGTCATCACCCAGAATGCTAAGGAGACCTTAATCTAAACCAGGAAATTGGAAGGGCGATTAGAATATGCTGTGTCTTCATTAAAGTTGCTCTGTTAATTAGTTGACACATGGTTATGCTTTCCAGTGGGATGAAGTGAAACTCCCAAGTGTGTTTTGTATTGTTGGTGTTTTTATATTTCTCAGCCATCCCCCAATCACATTTTAGGGTTATTACTAGATTGACTTCCCCCAAATAAAGTGTCTGCTGAGTGGGAGGATGGAACATTCTAAACTCAATATTCCAGAGCCTAGAATCTAATTGTTTCTGCCACTCACGGTGTGGCCTTGGGCAAGTCCCTTATTCTGTCTGTGCCTTCATTTCCTTCCCAGTCCAGAGAGGGCAGTTTGATTTGATAATTTTAAAGGTGCCTTTTACCAAAATTTTGTGATTTCTTGAAAATGATGTTTGCGAGTCACCCACACCTTTGGGGATGAGAGACTAATAGCAGATACCCTCAGAGATTGGGATGGAGATTACTGAGCTTTCTTATATATGCCATTGGTTGTCATTTATACTCTTCTGAGGTTTTCAGAACAGGAAAATAGGTGGGGTTAACTCTGCCCGTGAGAAACATCTTGAGCGAACTATGATTTCAGTTGAAAGATGTGTTTTTGTGAGTAGAGCACCGCAGAAGAACTGAAGACTGTTGTGTGCTCCCCGCAGAAGGGGCTACCATGATCCTTTCCTCCTGTGAGTAAGATGGGCTTTGTCATTTATTTTTGGGGCTTGTTCTGGGGCCTGTTATTCTTGAACAGCAGAGGAAGTTTTTTTTTTCCAAGGCATAGAGCTTGGGGACATTAAAAGATAATTTCCTCAGATGTTGTGACAGAGTTTTGTTTCTTATTTAAAGAACCACAGTGATGATGTAATTCTAATAAAGGTTCAGCATTGAGAACATAAATGAAAGAAAAACAGAAAGAGTGTCCAGAAATCTGCATATGTGTGTGTAGAAATGCAATCAGTATGAAGTACTTGTTTTTAGAATGAGACTGTAATGAGCTCTGGGCTGAAGGCCAGGAGACCAAGTTCTAGTTCTGGATTTGCTCCAGCAGTGGTGGATCACAGTGGGCAACTTTATATATATATAAATACACACACATACACACACACACAAATAAATATCTATATTTAAGGCAAAAGGAAGAGAAGTCAAAACACAACTGTGTTTATACTCTGAAATTATCTGCTTTATCAAGTAAACATATAGACTTAACCTTTATTTTCACAGGGGTATTTATTCACAATTCTATGTAGACTTCCGTTATCGAGGACCTTTCCCAAGCAATTGAAATTTAGGCAAAACTGATTCTTATCTGCAGTCAGAGCCTGAGTAAAGGCCAAAATAAGAGTCAAAGTCACGAGTCTCTACCTGGTTAAAAGTGTGAACATGGTCAAGTGTGAACACTGGCTCAAATGTCTCTTTCCCTCATATATAATACTACATATGAAGATGTTATTTTAATATTTTTATAGAATATAAGACCATCATTAAAAATAAGTGCTTGTTTTAGGAGAACAGAGAAAGATTCCCTAGACACTGTTATCTGTGAAGATCCTTGGTTTGAAAGAGCTGTGGGGGATGCTTATAAATCCAAAGAAATTAGAATAAAAAAAAAAACCAAGCAGAATAGTCTTCTAAATAAGAAGGCAGCCGTCATATCAGAATTGCAATGTGTTTGTTTCTTTATAAAGGTATTTATTGAGCACCTACTATGGGCCATGGTCTATACCAGTTCCTTTATATTCATTATCTGAAATCTTCACTACAAACTGGCAAGGTGAAAATTGTTATTCTTATCTAGCCAATAAGAAAATTGTGCCTTTGAAAGTTTAAATCTTGCCAGAAACTCATATGGTTGTCAGACGCAGGATTTAAGTATGAGACTTTTTTTTTTTTTTTAGACAGAGTCTTGCTCTGTCACCCAGGCTGGAGTGCAGTGGCACGATCTCAGCTCACTGCAACCTCCACCTCCTGGGTTCAAGTGGTTCTCCTGCCTCAGCCTCCCGAGTAGCTGGGACTACAGGCGCATGCCACCATGCCTGGCTAGTTTTTCTATTTGTAGTAGAGACAGGGTTTCACCATGTTGGCCAGGTTGGTCTCAAACTCCTGACCTCAAGTGATTTGCCTCAGCCTCCCAAAGTGCTGGGATTACAGGCATGAGCCACCACACGCGGCCAAGCATGAGACTTGCCAGACTCGGGATTTAAGTGCTCTTCCTTTTGCCTTAAATATATATACACACACACATACACACATATATAAATGAGTTTATATGTATAAATAAGCTCTCAAAGGGAGTGTGTGTATGTGTATATTTGTATACATATAAAGCTGCCAACTGTGATCCACAAATGCTGGACGAAATCAGAACTAGAACTTTAGCCCAGGCCACTCCCTTTTTGCCCACCTTGCAACAAAATATAAAGAAACAATAAACCTGAGAGGTGCTTTAAGAACTTTATTTTGGGAGTTGCTTTGGAAGACTATTCAGTCCCATGTGCAGTTTTGGAAATACTTATTAATTTACCTCTAAGACTCAGAGGGCCTTATTTTGCAGATAAGGAAGGAAAATACTGTCTGATTTTAATACTAGGTGACGATGGAACCAAGCTTCAACAAAGCTCAGTCATATCAGATTAAAGCAATCAAAGACCAGCTAAAAAAGTCAAGTTTTTACATTTCTGACTTTTAAGTAGCATTAAGGAAAAATTGATTGTAATTTTTAAATATCATCTGTTTAAGCGAAATCCCCTCATAGGAGCCAACAATTGTTTGTAGATTTTGTAAAAAAAAAAAAAAAAAATCAGGTTATTCCAGTTGTGCTGACCTGAAAATAACTCATAGTCTTCCATTCACGCAGATAAGAACAAGCCTCCTGTAAACAGAAATATAGGCCAAGCAGAGCAAAGCAGAAAAAGCGACAAAGCAGCAACCTGTGTCCCCTGCCACCTCCACTGGCAGGACAAGCTCAGCAGTGACTTAAGGATCTTTAAATATTAAAAGCTGTGTGAGCATCTGCTCTTTATTTCCCTCAAGGTCAGAACTAAAGAAAATGCTGTAAATTACAGCAGGAAGGATTCGGTTATATATAAAATAAATCACTGTGAGTGTTGAGACAAGGATTTGATTGTCCAAGGGATTAAATAAGGGACTACCTATTGGCGGGATATTTTGAGGATTATTCTCTCTGGCATGGATTTGATGAAATCTCGTTCTCCTTTCCAGCTTCTGTTAATTTGATTTGATGGTAAGAATCACCTGTTGTCTACTGTATATTGCAGCTGAATGTGGCTACATTTTCTGCTGGGTAAAACAATGAGTGTTTACTATTGACAAGGAGACAGCTAAGTGATGCCTCAAGATGTATTACTGTTAATCAAAAAACAAACAAACAAACAAAAAAAGTCCAGCGAAGAAGATTGCTTAAGCTGAGGAGTTTGAGGTTGCAGTAAGCTGTGACTGCACCACTCCACTCCAGTCTGGGTGACAAAGTGAGACCCAGTCTTTTAAAAAAAAAAAAAAAAAAGTTTATATGTTTGTTAGGGTCATTTGCCAAAAACATTTGTTGTTTTAAGCATTGTCATAGAATCCTGGCTTCAAAGGCTGCTATAGGGTGGGAGAAGATAATTGTGGAGCGTGGGATATTGATCATACTGATGGGAGATTTGGAGTGGGGTCTCAGGGCACTGCTCCAGTGAGATTCAGTTTGTGAAACGTACTTGGTATTGCCAGCATTTCCATCAACTCACAGTTGCCCTGAGAACAGATCCAGCCTAGAAGAGTTATTTAAAGGACAGGGCAAGGGAAAGCAGCTGGGGGCTTAAAGAATTCACCTCTTAGCTCCCCTGTTTGCCTAATTTCTCTGCCTTTCTTTATTCCCAACTTAGAGAGTAGAAAGAGTGGTTTCTAAGTCTTGGTGTGCCTGAAGCATGCCTGGGGTGCTGTTAAAAGGCAGGTTTCTGGGCTCATCTCCATAACTGGATCTGAGGGTAAAGTAAGGATGTTTTGGTCACACTGCCTTTCTTGGGCCTCTCTTTTCAGAGTCCTATCTTACTCCTTTTTGTATCTGATTCTCACACCAACTTTGTTAGGTCAACACCTTCCATTATTACTATTATGAATATGAAGATAAGGAGGGTAGCTGTGGTAGGCAGCCTCTAAGATGGCCTGATGATATCTGCCTCCAGATATTCACGCCCTTAGGCAGTCCTCCTCCTTGAGTATGAATTGGACCTAGTACCTCACTTCTTGTGATTAGAATATGGTAAAAGTGATGGAACGTCACCTCTGAGACCAGGTTACAGAGGTGGCGGCTCCCATTCCTGCGATCTCGGGCTTTCTGTCTCCTGCATCGCCGGCTGCTTTGTTGGGAGCACTCTCAGGCAGCCCGCAGAGAATCCCCATCACGAGAAACCGAGGCACCATGACCTGCTTGGAATTCGCTTAGAAGTGTATTCTCCAGCTCTGGTTGGGCCCAGCTTGACTGCAACTCCATGAAAGATCTGGAGACACAAGCACTCAGCTAAACCATTCCAGAACTCCTGGCCCACAAAAGTGTGAGATAAGTGTTGTAAGTCATTTGGTCTCAGAATAATTTGTTTCCAACAATAGATAACTAAGTGTGTGGCAAAAGCAGGAGAAGCCGCAGATTAAAAAAGAACTTGGCCACTTTGGCCACCCTTCTGCCTGGGGCTGGAGTTTGATGCCCTTTCTGAAAGATTAAAATGGACACTAGATGTGTCTTTTCTTTTGTCTTTAAATCATTTCAGTTTTTAACTCGTCACTGCAGCTGCCTTTTGTAACTACTGCAGATCCCCACATTTCTCCTCTGTGGAGCTCCCCAGGCCAGCAGTGCCCACACTCCCTGCCCACCGAGGGTCAGTGAGCAGTACGGCTTCTGGCCCAGTGCCAGCCACGCCCGTGTGCCTTGTGGCCAAGCACTTCTTCACATCACAAGCTGGCTCGATGTCTTGGGTGTGATGTCTGCGAGCTTATTATGAACTTTGAGCTCACAGAAAACAGTGTTCTAGGAAACACTGTTTTGAGATGTGGGGGAGTGGGGAAGTTGTGGGCAAGGTGCCTGCAAAGACCAACTCACATCAGCCCCTTCTGAGAAAGAAAGAAAAATTGCCTCATAGACCAAACAAGGGTTTGGGTGGCTGCTGTCCGTGTCTGGGGAGTTGCCCTGGCAGAAGCTGGGAAACAGATGAGCGGTCATCATCAGGAAGATTTCTGCCTTTCCTTACAGCACCTTTTACTCCCAGAAACATTGTCTTCCCTGGTGCCCGGGACTCCATCCAGCTTGCCAGGCTTCTAGAATCTCCTCACCCCACACAGCACCCCTTCAGGCCATAGACAGGTCAAGCACCACTCTTCCACTCAAATTGATCAGTTTGGTGTCCTGTTAGCTAGGTACTTGTTTTCTCTTAGTCACCAGTGACTCCCCTAAAGTAGTTATCCTCCCTTCTTTAAGGTTTCACTGGCAGTATAATGTCAAAAAAACAGAACAGTCAAGGTCTAACACAAATTACTCACTTATTTTATCCATACATTTAGAAAAACTAACATCTCTGGAGACCATCACTTCTTAGAATAATGGACATTTTAGTATCAAAAGGAAAAGTGCACACACGTGCGAACACAGACACAGGATCACTTCAGACCCCAAATGTATAAAGGGCATAAACTCAGAATAAAGGATAACTTTCTAAATTGAATAAATATGTGAAAAACTCAATGTCCCAATTTTACTATTTTCCCCTCTCCTTGGTGTGGGGTCTTGGTTTGGTGTCTAACTCCAAACCAAGAAGTCTAACTCCAACTTGGAAGTCTTTTCTAACTCCTGTTCAGAGGTAGAAATCCATCCATGCTATAGCCAAGCTAGTTATGTGTCACTCTCCCCAGATAATATGGGTTAATGTGGCTAAAACGTGCCTATCTTCAAAAGGCCCTTAAGAAATGGGGCCTTTTGAAGATAGGCTGGGCGCGGTGGCTCACGCCTGTAATCCTAGCACTTTGGGAGGCCGAGGCAGGTGGATCACGAGGTCAGGAGATCGAGACCATCCTGACTAACACAGTGAAACCCCGTCTCTACTAAAAATACAAAAAGAAATTAGCCGGGCGTGGTGGCAGACACCTGTAGTCCCAGCTACTCGGGAGGCTGAGGCAGGAGAATGGCGTGAACCCGGGAGCAGAGGTTGCAGTGAGCTGAGATCGTGCCACCACACTCCAGCCTGGGAGACAGAGTGAGACTCCATCTCAAAAAAAAAAAAAAAAAAAAAAGGATGTAGTGGTGGGCATTTATGGCAGAGTAATGAGGAAGTTTGGCCTTTCTGTAAATTTCTGGAAAAAAAAACAAAAAGGATATGTTGCAGCAAACTTACAGAATCAGCTCTGGTCACCCAGAGCCATTTTTCCAAAGCCACAAGTTTTTAAGGCTTTCCCCACTCACCACAGCCCATCAACTGCAAAAGCAGCCGGTATCAGACATTCCTCATCTTAAAACCACAACCTGGAGCGCCTGGCTTGGGCAACAAGCCTGGTCTTTGGGTTAAGGCAGCTCTCAAAACTGAGCCAGTTTCAAGCCATGTTTTTAAATATAAATCACTAGCCATGTGCCAGTTATTATGATGACCAAATTCAGTAGGAATGCATTTCACTCAAGGCACTGATTCAAAACGAAACCCTGACATCGGAAATGCCAGGGGATGAACTGGAGGTGACGATGTAAACTTCAAAACATTAGACATGAGGAAGCGACAGCGGCTTTGCTTCCCGCGCAGCCCGGGCCCCACAGTTCTTCACATCTGTTCCTTTGTCCTCTTCAGAGATGACCTTAGGAGCTATTCTGAGAAGGGGTGCTTCTCACTTTTGCTTTCTTCCAGTGCCCCCTGGTGGAAACCTGTTCCCAATCAGCCCAGCTGTTGCCACCCAGGAACCTCTGGGGGTGGAAGGAATGTCAATAGGAGCCTCTCCTAGAGGACAGAGGGGCGCAAATCCTTCCAAGGAAAAAACACAAATACCAAAGATGGGAGGGCCAACTGCCTATCCCATGACAGATGTGCCGGTTTCTAAAGGTCACAGAGATTACATCTGATGCGATGCCCTTTTTCTGATTTGCTGGCCTGAGGCTCATCATTAGAGATATTTACTGAGGAATGAGAAGTAGATGAAAAGAACAGCGCAGATGTAAGCCTGGGAGAGGAAGCTCAGCTCCTTCAGTGATAATCTTCAAGCCCGAATATATTCTTTCCACATTTCCTTCCAGCAGGCAAATAGTCATTGCCTATCTCTGGGGCATTTTTGTCACTCTGGCAAAGGCCCTTGATATGCATGAGTTCCTGCCTAAGTTGGGAATTTGCTAAAAGCTCAAGAGCTTTCCCTCTGCAGGTTAATCGGCAAAACAATTCAAAGAATGGCTTCTGTAATCACAGAATGCCTGTGGAAGGGCGCTGTCTATTTACTTACTGGGAACACCTGTGCTGCTGTAAATTGAAAATGATCATGAAATGAATACTCCTTGATACCTGCATTGGAATGAATTTTGGCCCAACACTTCAACCTGTAAATAAAGATGCCTGCTGTCTTGGAAAGTCATGCCAAGCAAGGGAACACCAGGGAGCTGTTTGGCTTTCATAGTGTGATTTTTCTTCTCGCAATGATTATTTATTGGGCAGCAACTCTGCTGGGCAGAGGATGGAACCACAAACAAAGCAGTGGTTTGCCTTCCTGCTCACCACTGTTCTTGGACTTTGAGGGAAATTAAATAAAATTGGGTCATAATTAAAGCAGTGGTAGGGTAGGTCTGTATCTTTCTTTAAAGGCCATTGTCTTTGCTATTGAATCAGGAAACATAAGAATTTTTGAAAATATTTTCTCCTAAATTCCAGGCTGCAGAAGACAGTGAAGACAACTAAGGGGAATATTATCAGGTGTGGCCATGTGTTGTGAGGTCAGGGAGCTGGGGGAGGCATTTCTCTAGTCCCAGATACTCCTGCCTGCTGACTGATAACAGCAATTTCTCTTTCAAAGTTCTTGACTTGGCCAGGCATGGTGGCTCCTGCCTGTAATCCCAGCAGTTTGGGAGGCCAAAGAGGGGGATCACTTGAGGTTGGGAGTTTGAGACTAGCTTGGCCAATGTGGTGAAATCCTATCTCTACTAAAAATACCAAAAAAATTAGCCGGGTATGGTGGAGTGTGCCTGTAGTCCCAGCTACTTGGGAGGCTGAGGCAGGAGAATCGCTTGAACCTGGGAGGCGGAGGTTGCAGTGAGCCGAGATCATGCCACTGCACTCCAGCCTGGATGACAGAGCAAGACTCCATCTCAAACAAAACAAAACAAACAACCACACACACACACAAAGTTGTTGACACTTGAATAAGGTGGTTCCCCAAAATGTAACTACTCATAGCCTAACATTGACCAGAAGCCTCAATAACATAAATGTTGATCAACACGTATTTTGTATGTTATGTGTATCATACACTGTATTCTTACAATAAAGTAAGCTAGAGAAAAGAAATGCTTTAAGAAAGTCATAAGGAAGAGAAAATAGATTTACTATTCATGGAGTGAAAGTGGCTCATGATAAATGCCTTCATCCTCGTCATCTTCATGTTGAATAGTCTGAGAAGGATGATGAAGAGGAGGGATTGGTCTTTCTGTCTCAGGGGTGACAGAGGCAGAAGAAAATCTTCATGTAAATGTTTATACCATGTTTTTCAAGTGTCAAACTATTTAAATTTAATGTGTTGTGATGGTTAATTTTATGGGTCAACATGGCTTGGCCATGGTGCCCAGATATTTGATCAAACATTATTCTGGATGTTTCTGTGAAGGTAATTTTTGGATGAGATTAACATTTAAATCGGTGGACTTGGAGTACAGTGGGTCACCCTCCATCATGTGAGTGGGCCTCTCCCACAGTTGAAGTCCCTAATCAATGAAAGTCAGACCTCCCCTGAGCAAGGAGGACTTTTGCCAGCAGACCGCCTTTGGGCTCAAACTGCAACTCTTCTCTCATTCTTCAGCTTGCCGGCCTGCCCTGTTAGATTTTGGACTTGCCAGTTTCCACAACTGCCTGAGCCAGTTCCTTAAAAGAAACCTCTCTCTGTGTTCACCCTGACTGTTACAAATGTCATGCTTACAAACATGTACACGCCTCTGCACTGCAGTAAGCATGACATTGCTGAAGCGCTGCAGTACAGCATGTTTACTATTTAACATTGTGTCTGTCATTTATACCTTACTGAGAAAAAGTGTGAGAGCCTCTCCTGAGGCCTGCTTTGATAGCAGGGAGAGAGAGTCTCCTGGAGTCCTGAACGGGGGAAACATCTGCCTTTGAGTCAGGGATAAAGTTGGCTCAGAAGAGAGGAGTTGGAGCTGAAGATTCGCTTTCGTTTACTAAGCCTTCTTCCTCCATTTTGTCTTCAGAGGGAAAACCACACCTGCTCCTATTTGGTTACCTTAAATGTATTTTGTGAGTACCCAATAAATAGTTGCTGAATGAGTTCTAGGGAACTGGGGGATGGGGACAAAGTGGTAAAGTAACTGAGAGTAGCTGGTATGTTCTAGCCATGTTTGCCTCTGCAATCTTATTTAATCTTCTCATCCACAAGGATAGTCCTATTGTGATGCTCATGGACTCTGGGTTTGACTTCTGGCTCAGCTGCTTTTTATGTGACTGGATAAATGGCTGAAGCTCTCTGTTCCTCTGTTTCTTTATGTGTAAGATGGGGATCATAATGTTAGTATAGTGAGTAAGTTAGCATGGCGTAGTATAGTAAGATCTAAGTATCTGTCATGCCTGGCATATGGTAAGGGCTGTGTTGGTAGAAGTGGGGAAACCCTTTCTTAGAAGACAACTTTTATTACCTACGTTTTCTAGATTTGATTGCCCAAAATCACATTGTTGCTCCAAGAAAAGGGAACAGTGATTTGAGTGCATGTCTGCCTGATACTAAAGCCTGCTGAACCCCATATGTTCTTTTAATACAGAAAAGAAAAAACAAACACATTTGAATGCCAGAGAGTTTTTAATAATTTCATTTGGCATCTCATGGTTTGGTACTTTATTTTGGATAAGCATTTGTTTAAAAATATATGTCTGGAATAAAAGGTTAGACTTATGAGCCCCCACAAATGCTGGCTAAAGCTCCGGAAGCTCAGTCTTCACCTTTGCCGTTCCACTCAGTCAAAAGGTCACGGTCAGCTTAGCTTTCTCTGTGGCCAGCATCACACTGTGAAATACTGGGTGATAAGATGAATGAGTGGAAAAAAAGAAGAGCTCAGATGTAATGTAAGGGTGTTGATATTGGTGGGGTCTTATTTAACAGTTATTTATTGAGCTTTTGTTATGTGCCAGGCACTGATGCTAGAAGCTAGGGAGAAGACAGAAAAAAAAAATTAAAAATAAAAAAAAAAGGATAAGATGCAGTCCCTGAGATTGAGAAGCTTACAATCTGGTCCAGTGTCTCCACTGGGGTTGATTTTGCCCCCAGGGAACATTTGGCAATGCCTGGAAACACTTGGGTTTCCACAATTGGAAGGTGGTGGTGGTGTGGGTGTTAGAAGGGAGGGGGTTATGTTGCTGCCGGCATCTAGTGCATAAAGGCCAGAGATGCCCTAAATATTCAGTGGTACACAAGACAGCTCCCCACAATAAAGAATGATCCTGTCTAAAATGTTGATAGTGGTGAGATTGGGAAGCCCTGTGAGAGATGAAGCCTACACAGAGAAACTTAAATGACGATCTCAGGTGGTACCTAACTAGGAACCACAGGGCAGGACTGTGCTTTGGGACAGGACATTTGGGACAGGGCATAGGTGCTTTGGGAACTGAAAGGAAGAGTACATGGGAGTGTATTGCAATGGAAGTCTTCCTTTCCAGGCTGGAGGCAGAAATGCACGACGTGTCTGTGAGAACAGAGCAAACAGAAGAAGCTGGTGCAGCAGGAATTGGTGAAAGCTAAAGTAGTCAGGGTGGGGTCACTTATGGAAGACCTTGAAAGTGGGGGAAGATATAATGCTGAGGATGAAGAGCAGTTGGCTGAAGCAGGCTTTTAGGGAAATGGGTATATGGGGTGAATCGAAGGAGACAGCTCAGAGCAGAGACTCTAGATTCAGGTTCAAATCCTGGCTCCCCGCTTACTAGCCCTTTGTTGGTAAGGAGTAACCTCTCTGTGATTCAGATTCCTCATCTGTAAAACGGCATCTACTTCACAGAGTCATTGTGAGGACTAAGCGAATTAATGCAAAATTACAGGTACGAGTTGATGAGGGCTTAGCCTTGCTTATTGGGAGGGTGTAGAAGAAGGAAAAAGCCAAGCCCTGTGAACAGACTGATAGATTGATGGCAGATCAAATACAAAGGGTGGGGCTCAGGAAGAATCTAAGTTTTCTGTGGTGGACTCATTCACAGACATGGGGAGATTGGAAAGGGGAAGCAACAGAATGGTTTTCTTACTAAGGATAGTGAGGAAGATGATAATTCTGTTGGGGAAAAGGTAAGACAGAGGCCAAATTGGGGAAATAAAAATCCTTTTGCATCTATCACTAAAAGTTATGTACATGTAGAAAGCTATCAATCATAGAATGGGTACCTAACTATCAAATCACAGACCTATTTGATTTTCTGGGTTTTTCCTTTTCTTTATATAAGTTTTGAAATATTTCAAGCATACAGAAAAAAGTAGAAAATAACATAACAGGCTAGTGATTACTCAAGGATAAAGTGGCCATTATATACACTTTTTGGCTTTGATGATATTAAATAATTTGTTTATATTAAAACAGGAGGCTATATAGATGGTCAGAGCTCACCTTCCTGGACCATTTTCCAATGGCTTCCAGGCTGAGAACTGATTGCTCTGCTTGGCCTGTGGCCAAGTTGTTCTCTAGTATCTATGAAGCCTCCCTACTACATAGACTCCCAAGGTCTTATCTTCCTTTATTTCAAGGACTTTTATGACTGAGTTATTCCTCTCTGGTCACACTGTTCACCACTTCGGATTGAACCTGCTTGTTCTGTTCCAAATACCATTTGCAAATTTCCACTAGGAATGAATCAAGACAGGTACATCCTCTGAGCAAGCTTATAATTTTGTGCTCTTTCAAACATATTCATTCATTCATTCATTCACTGAACAAATATTTATTGAGTATTCATTGTGTCAAAAAGTGTTGTAGCTTCTTGGGATATAATAATTGTGAACAAAATAGACAAAGGTGCTTGTTTACATACTAGTGAGGTAGACAAACAGCAAAGAAAAAAAGGTAAATAAATTGCACAGCATGTTAGAAGGTGAGAAATACACCAAAAAAGAAAGAAAAAGTAGAGCAGAGTGAGGAACCTCAAAAGTTAGGGAGTGCAGATGGCCGTAATGTCAAATCAGGGGGCTATTCACTTAGAAGATGAGATTTGAGCAAAGACTTGGAGGGATTGGAGGGAGTTAAGAAAGGAGGGAGGAGTGCTCTGGAAAAAACAAAAGCCAAGAATCTCTGGTGAGAGCAGGCCCTATGGCTCCAGCAGCAGCATTGCGGTGTGGCTGAGTGAGGTGAGCAGGAGCTTATTGCAGAGGAGATGAGAGGGAACAGGAGGCCAGATCATGGAGCATTTTATAGGCTCTTGTGGAACATGTAGCTATAACCCTGAGTGAAATGGGGAGCTATTGTGGGGTTCTCAGACAAGGAGTAACATGATCAGACTTAAGACAAATTAATTACTCTGGCTGCTGTGCTGAGAATAAAGCATAGTGGGAGGAGGAGAAGCAGGAAGAAGTTAGGAGGCTTTTGGTGTGAGCCAGGTGAGGTGATGGTGGCTTATCCATGGTGGTGATGGATGAGATGGGGAAAGCAATAAGTATGTGTGTGTGTGTTTGTGTTTTAAATTGTGTTGAAATATATATATCAAAAATTTACCATTTTAACCATATTTGAGTGTACAGTTCAGCAACATTAAGTACATTCACATTGTTATAAACCATAACCATTCTCTATCTCCAAAACTTTTTCATCATCCCAAATGGAAACTCTTGAATAAACAGCCTTCTGTATCCACAGGTTCCACATTGCTGGGTTCAACCAACTGTGGAACAAAAATATTTGAAAAAAAAAGGATGGTTGTGTCTGTATTGAACATGTACAGACATTTTTTTCTTGGTATTATTCCCTAAACAATATAGTGTAACAATGATTTACATAGCATTTACATTGTATTAGGTATTATAAGTAATCCAGAGATGATTTAAAGTATATGTGAGGAAGTGTGTAGGTTACATGCAAATATTATGTCATTTTATATAAGGATCTTAAGCATCTATGGATTTTGATATCTGTCGGAGGATCTGGAACCAATCTCCCATGGACACTGGGGAAGTCTGTATTTTTTAAAGACACAGTCAGCAAACTTTCTTGATAAATTGGCCTGTGTGTGAGAGAGAGAGAGGAGTCAAGGATGACTAAGATTATTTACCTGAGCAACTGGAAAGACGGAATTGCTTTTGACAAGATGGAGAAGGGTGATAGAGCCTGTTTGGGGAGGGAGGAAGAAAAAGAGTTCAGATTTCATCTCCTGTTTACTTGAAGTATCTACTAGACATCCAAGTGGAGAATTTGAGAATGCATTTGGGTAGGTGAGTCTGGAGTTAATTAGAACTGGGCTAGATGTGTGTATTTTGATGTCATCAGCTGATAGATAGTTTTTAAGCTGCAGGAGGGAATGGGATAATCAAAAGAGTGAATAAGACAAAGAAAAGAAGAAATCAAAAGCTTTGCGGGAAATCTAGCATTATTCAGAGGTCAGGGAGGTAGAGAACAAAGCAGCAAAGGAGACTGACAAGGAGCAAAGCCAAGGGATATGGTACCAATGCTGCCAAGAGAGAGGTTCAGTAAGATGAGGACTTAGAGTTGACCGTTGGATTTAGTGGTGCATGGGTCACTGGTGACCTTAACAAGAGCAGTTTTGTTTTTTTTTTCTAGAAGTGGTAGAGATGACAGCCTGACTGTAATGGAAGGAGAGCAGTTGGAGACAGCAAGTAAAGAGCCTTATTTCTAGGGCCGGAGGACTGGCTCATGCCTTTAATCCCAGGACTTTGGGAGGCCTAGGTGGGCAGATCACTTGAGATCAGGAGTTTGAGACCAGCCTAGCCAAAATGGTGAAACCCCATCTCTACTAAAAATACAAAAATTAGCCGGGCATGGTGACAGGTGTCTGTAATCCCAGGTACTCTGGAGGCTGAGGCAGGAGAATTGCTTGAACCTGGGAGCCGGAGATTGCAGTGAGCCAAGATGGCACCAATGCACTCCAGTCTCGGCGACAGAGCGAGACTTGGTCTCAACCAAAAAAAAAAAAAGAGACTTATTTCTGGATTTTACAATAAATAGAGAGCAAATCAATGAGGGAAATAAGATCACGCGTAGTTTGTTTTGTTTTTAACAGCTAAAGTAACTGCATATATATACGTATATATGTATTTTATATATACATACGTATATACGTATATATGTGTATATATACGTATATATGTATTTTAATAGCTGAAGTAACTGCATATATATACATATATACGTATATATGTGTGTATGTATATATACACATATACGTATATACATATATACGTATATATGTACATATATACGTATATATGTGTGTATGTATATATACACATATACGTATATACATATATATGCATATATACATATATACACATGTATATACATATGTATGTGTATGTATACGTATATTTGTGTACGTGTGTGTGTGTGTATATATATGCTGATGATCCAGTAGAGGGGGAAAAATGGTGATATAGGAGAAGGAGGGAGTATTTTTAAAATTTTGAATTTGAATACCTCCAAGTGGGCTTGGGCACAACATTTTGCCACAGTCTACACTCTATTCTGACCTACTTCATTCATTTATGTAACCTACATTTGGTTTTGCATCCTGTGGCCTGAATAGATACAGATCTATTTGGGGCTCTAAAACAGCACTGGAATAAATTGGTTAAAATGTAAATGAGACCCATTCCTGCCAAAGTCAACAGAGTCCTTAAGTGCTAATGTGCCCTCTCTTTGAAGAGTGACTTTTTGGCAGGTTCCTCATCCCAGCAGACACAGCAGATGAAAATGGCAGTCAGAAGCAGCTGAAATCCAAACACCAAAGAACATGATGTAGTGTAGATTCTTGGGAATTAGTAATTTATTTTATTTTTGTCTCCAGAAGTAAGTCTTTGGGTGGGCCATGGAAAATGAGTGATTTCTGGGTGCAGGAAAAGGAAGAGAGAAATGGAAGAAAAGGAAGAGAGAAAGGAAGAGAGAAATCGGGGGGAGCAATGAAACAGCAGTGGGTGCAAAGGTGAGTCCTTGCCTGGGCTTGGACTTGAACTGTATGTCCATGGTAGAGAAGAGAGGTTTCCCATTGGACCATCAGTCTGTCCATGGCTCAACAACTGAGCAATGGTGACGTCCAAATCAGAGAAAGGTAAGTAACTGATGTATGAATGTAGGTTTAGAAGATCAACTTCTTTGATAGGAAAGGAACTAATATGTATTGATAATGTGTAGGGATTAAATTTTGCAGCCAGCCTGCAAAATGGCTCAGTGTTCCCCACCTTTTAGTATTCATTCCTCTCCATCCTAAACTTTATCTTGGAAACAAAAATCTGTAAGGGTTAGTTCAATGTCCTCCTAAGCCCTCTGGGTTCTGGTTGGATTATACCTGTTGGGAACCCTGGAATGAAGTTGTAATGAGGTTGTTGTGTCCCTAAACAGCAGATCATTCATCTCCTCAAAGTGATCTCTGCTCTATTTTACTCTCTCTCACTCCTGGTCCTTGTGAACCTAGGGATGGTGACAGTTCCAGTACTGCTGGACCTGGGTTCCTGTATATCTTTTGTGGTTTTCACTTCTTTGTAATTAGTCCCTTTATAAATAACCCTTTCAAAGTTAATCTAAGTATGTCAAGTTTTCTCTTGTATCAGAAGTAGCTCTAGGAAGCAGATTCAGAGTTGGGTATGGGATTTATTTGGTCATATATTTAGAGGTCCAGAGATACCCTCTGCTGGAGAAATAACTCAGTTATCAATTAATCAAATTGTCATTGGTACTGCTTGGGATAAAGGGCAAAGAGAGGGCAAGATGCTGGCTTTATGGCATTTCAGGAAAACCCCAATAAGAGAATTGCAGCACAAACCCCTAGGAATATTTTCCATCTCAAAAGCAGCTCCTGACTTTCTACTGGTAAAGACTAAATGCTTAATCACGGATCATCAAATAGTTAAGTGATCCAAGCTGCTTATCGTGAGCTGGGTGTTATCTGATTCAAAGGACTGTGAAATCAGTCATGCGTACTAGTTTTCTATCCTAATACAGAAGTGGCATATATGAAAATGGGCCCTAGCAGATCCAGAAGCTTCAAGAAAGCTTCATAAGCATGCAGCATCTATTCACATTGTACCTACTCTTCCTGCTTCTACTTCAATTCACACCAGTGGCCTCTTGGGTAGTTCTCCAACAGCTTATGGGAGAAAATCTCTGGCTTGATTTACAGGAAGATCTGCATCATAAATGTGTACCAACAGGAAATAGCCATTGTACTATAGCCTCATTCAGAGGTAGCCTGATAGATAGTGTTGAAATAAAGTCCTCCCAGAACTTCAGGAAACACATAAGTTTATTCACTTCATTAGGAAAAGAGATAGTCTGAGACACCGATCTACCTCGATTCATGGGCAATGGTAAAAACAAATTGGTCTGCCAATTTGGAAGGAACAAAATTGGGAGATTGGTGACAAGGAGATCTTGGGGAAAGGGATGTGGTTGAATTTCTTAGAACAGGGACAGAATAGGAAGATATAACCAGAGATTGACAAGATGACCCATGTTGTGGAGGGAGTTAGCTTTTTCTTAGTCTCACTGGTGCTTGTTCAATGGTCCCCAAATACCTTACCATGTGTCCCATAACTCCAAAGCAGCTGACTTGATAAAACAGAAGAATGGCCTTTTAAAGGCTCAATTACTATCACATCTGGAAGACAACATCTTGCAAAGTTCAGGTAGGGTCCTGTAGGATACAATAAAGTCTTAAACCATCAGCAAATATGCTTTTGTTTTTCCATAGCCAGGATACATGAGTCTGGAAACAAAGCAGTGGAGATTGGAGCAGCCTCTCTCACCATTTCATCTAATAATGCACTAGAGTATTGTTGTTTACTTTCCCTGAGACTTTGGTTTTTGTAGGTTTGGAGATTCCGTTGCCAAGAGAAGAATCCTTTTATTAGGGAATATTGAAAGTTGAACTGCCCTGTGGCCACTATGGGATTCCTTGTACTACTGAATTTATAGGCCCTGAAGGGGGTCAATGTAGCTGGGGTGATTATCCTGATTAACAGAGGAAAATTGGGTTGGTGCTTCACAATTACAGCAAAGAGGACTTTGTTTAAACATTAGGGAATGCATTAGCTTTATTTCTTAATATTCTTAATAGTCCTGGTCAATGGAAAACTGTAGCAACCCTACAAAGACAAGACTAAACAAAAACCCAAATCCTACAGGAATGGATATTTGGGCACCTCCTCCAGCCAAGGTGTTGGCAGTGGCAAAGGGGAAATGGAATGGATAATGGAAGAGGGCATATATGATTTCCACTTTAGGATGGGCCGAGCGCGGTGACTCATAACTGTAATCCCAGCACTTTGGGAGGCCAGGTTGGGCGGATGACTTGAGGTCAGGAGTCCGAGACTAGGCTGGCCAACATGGTGAAATCCCATCTCTACTAAAAACTACAAAAAATTAGCTGGGTGTGGTGGCACATGCCTGTAATCCCAGCTACTCAGGAGGCTGAGGCAGGAGAATCACTTGAACCTGGGAGGTAGAGGAGGTTGCAGTGAACCAAGATAGCACCACTGCACTCCAGCCTGGCCGACGCAGTGAGACTCTGTCTGAAAAAAAAGAAACAAAAAATGGATGCTGAGGGGTGGACTGTGCTGGATGTTTCCTGTCTGCCTCTCTCCCTGCCGGTCCACTCTCTGCCTTTCACCAGCCTGCTGTTTGCTGCTGTGTGATTTACATACAACCATCTGGCTTCCTGCTGGGTTAGGCCAATGGAGAGCCCAGCAAGGAGGGAGGGAGGACAGTGGAGTAAGGATATTTATCCTCCTGATTTTCTTGCTGTGAAGTCTCCTTGGGCAGTCTGTGTCCTTGGATGGATGATACATGCTCTTTTCCAGGTGGCCTGGGCCACAGATACCCTCTCCTTCTAGGTTCTGGTAACCTTCCCTTCCCTCCTCACTTGGTTAGGTGTGGTGATGGCTCAGCTCTGGATTCCTGCACTATCCTTGTAGTTTTACTACACTCTGCCTACATCTCTATACTTCCTTTTATAAATAAATCCTTCTCAACATATCCCAGTTTGAGTGTGCCTTCTGATTCTTGTTGGGATCCTGACTGATAATACTTACCTTTATGATCCAGGGACTTTAAAAGATGTTATCTGATTGATTCTTCACCACGATCCTATTATAATCAGCCTTCTTGATTACCCTCTTACTGTATACCTGGTATTGGTCTAGGAGTTTTACATGAATCGACTCAATTAGTCCTCACCGTTGGCTTACATGTTAGGCATCCTATTATTCCCATTTTACAGACGAGGAAACTAAAGCACAGAACATTTACTAGTTTACTCAAAGTCACAAAGTTAGACATTTATAGGGCTTCTCAAAGGGAGTACATACTATTTACCTCAGTTTTACAGTTAGAAAAACTAAGACTTAGAGAAGTAAAGGGACTTATCCAAGATGTAGTCAGCCAGGTGACTAGGGCTAAACCCCAGGTCTGTCTCCCCTCAAAGTGAATGCTCACCTCTAAGGTACTCTGCTGCCTCCAGAATATTTTCGGATGTCAATATGAGTATGAGCTGATGGGGAAATGTAGGTTCTATGAAAATAAAATATCCTTTTGAAATTCAAAATTTATTTATGTTTTTTTTTTGACAGAGTCTCACTCTGTCACCAGGGCTGGAGTGCAGTGGTGCAATCTCAGCTCACTGCAGCCTCCATCTCCCAGGCTCAAGGGATCCTCCCACCTCAGCCTCCTGAGTATTGAAGACTACAGGCATGCACCACCATGCCTGGCTAATTTTTTTAAAAAGTTTTTTGGGGTAGACATGGGGTTCTGCCATGTTGCCCAGGCTGATCTCGAACTCCTGGGCTCAAGCGATCTGCCTGCTTCGGCCTCCCAAGGTGCTGGGATTAGCGGCATGAGCCACCACCCTTGGCTTATTTATGGTCTTTAAAAAGGAAAATCATCTCACTTCAATAAAGATGAAGCTTGACAATGAAAGTCTAGGCATAACCTAGACTTACTAGCTAGTTCTTTCTTCAAATATTCAGTTTATCTTTAAGCTTATTCCATAGTAAGAGCCTATGTTTTATGGAATACTATGCAGCCATAAAAACGAATGAGTTCATGTCCTTTGCAGGGACATGGATGAAGCTGGAAGCCATCATTCTCAGCAAACTAACACAGGAACAGAAAGCCCAACACTGCATATTCTCACTCATAAGTGGGAGTTGAACAATGAGAATATATGGACACAGAGAGGGGAACATCACACACCAGGGCCTGTTGTGGGGTGGAGGGCAAGGGGAGGGAGAGCATTAGGACAAATACCTAATGCATGCGGGGCTTAAAATCTAGATGATGGTTTGATAGGTGCAGCAAACTACCATGGCACATATATATCTATGTAACAAACCTGCTTGTTCTGCACATGTATCCCAGAACTTAAAGTAAAATTAAAAAAAAAAAGAAAGAAAGAAATACCAATACCTAGATTCCTCCCCAGACAGTCTAATTTTTTTGGTCTGGGGTATGCAGGGTATGACCTGTACACCAGAATATTTTTTTTAAAGCTCCTCAGATAATTCTAACATGCAGCTAAGGTTTAGAACAATTTTTAATTACAATAAATACGTAAAAGAATAAAAATCCCACTGAAATGTTGATGGAATTTTTAAAAAGAGCCTATGTTTTAAACATTTCAATTTAAAAAAATATGACAGATCTAATTCAAAATCCCTGCTAACAGATTTCCTAGGAGAGCATCACTTCTGGAATCCTATTCTCTTGTATATTTGTTAGCGAACATTAGCCCTGACAAAGGTAAAAGAGAATACACTGGTCATTTATCACTCACAGACTGAGGAAATGCAAAAACCAGGCCAGAGGAGAAGAGCCTGAGAAGGGAAACCACACTGGCCAAGGTGCCAGAAACTTATTTTTTGCTTTAGTGACAGTTATTTGTCTTCCACTAGTGAAGGAAGGCACGATCGAGACTTTCATACGCTTTATAATAATTCGTCTCACCCTTCCCTTAGAGACTCCCTCAATATCACGTACTCATGGCTTTCTAACAGCTGAGAAATGATCTGCTTTTCAGATAACACCATCCAGTCGGTTTTCTGTTGCTGCTGTTGCTGTTCAGTGCAGAAGCGGTAAGTCTACTTCCGAGGGCAATTTCTTGAAAATTAATTAATTCCGTTTCTTTATTACCTGTGGAGTCACCATGTCTCTTTGCACCCGCTGTTCTCTCTACCTGGGAACCTTCTCCCATTTTCTCCCTGTGGAATGCCTATTTGTTTACAGGTCTAGGTCAAATGTCAGGTCATCTGGGATCCTTTCCTGATCCTTTAGATTTCATTGTTCATTCCATTGCATTCCCACCGTGTGCGGCATTGTTCTCCACTTAATTTTTATTTCATGTATGTTGTTTATAGGTCTGTGCTCCAATACGTATTTTTTCCCTTTAAGGGCAAGAATCCTATCTTAGTTATCTATCTCCCCAAAACTACCGGTGTATCTTATACTTTGGTGGCAGTAAATGACTCTGTAAGAATTAAATCCAAGGCAGCATGTTAACAGAAAAAGCTAACATTTAACAGGAGCTTCCTGTATATCAGATACTATGCTAAAAGATTTATGTTTATTAACTCATACAGTTCTCAAAACCACCTACTTTTTTTTTTTATGATCCCCATTTTACAGATGAGGAAATTGAAGATTAGAGAGGTTACATTGCTTACCCAAGGCCACACTATGAAATGGTGGAGCTGGGATTCAAACTCTTGTTCCTAATCACTATACCATGTCTATTTATAACAAAAAGACACCATCAAATGAGGTAATGCATATAAAATGACAAACACTGAGCCAGATATGGAGTAAGTTTTCATTACAATGATTATAACTTTATGCCCTGAAGATGCACCAGACTCTACTGGGAATGTGACATGTTTTCTCAATTTTATTTTATAACAACTCTATGCTCTTAGCACCTCTAGTTCCTGGAGAAGGAAACTTAAGTTCTTAAAACCAGTAATTTGCCCAGGGAGATGGAGTTAGGAAGCCTTCTAAATGAAAATGGAGTTGGAAAGAGACCTGGATTTTTCTGCTATTTCTGTGAAAATCTAGTGGATGTATAGATAACTTTTGTACAAATAATTATTTGTAACATGATTGCTTTTCAATGTCAGACAAATGAGAACACAGATAAGCCTGAGCACAGATGAAGAGCTTCCAGAAAAATACACCCAGCGTCGCAGGCCGTGGCTCAGCCAATTGTCAAATAAGAAGCAAGTAAGTATCATTTTGACAGGCAAGAGGGGAATGGAGAAGGTTGTCTTTTTAGAGTCTTCATTCATGAGGTGCTGTTTGTTGCCCAGAATCTAGTATCCTGCTTGGCATAAAATAAGTGCTCAGTAATTTGTGAAGGAATGTTCTAGAAGAAAGTAAAAGGAAAAAGAAAAGACCAGTTAAAATAGGCTACTTATATTTAAAGGCAGAACTTGAAAATGGGCAATGAGTGGGAAAAAACATATTCTGGCTTCTGTCATTTTGAGGCTGAGATTAATTTTCACTTCAGTGAGAAACAGCATTCTTAGGAAGTATGGTAAACCCAAGCACAAACTGCCACCACATAAAAAGAAAAAGGCCATTTTTCTTCTTTTAAGGAGAAAAAAAATCCTTAAAACAAGGTAAAACTATTGAAGAGGAGTACATCATCTTTTGAAAATTTTGATATGAAAAAAAATCCAGTAAAATGCTGTCAAGAGAACTTGTGATCTCAAAAGTGTACAAAATGATGAGTGTATTGCTGGATCCTAAAGGAGTTTTATAGTTAGTCCTTTTCTACATTTATCTCATCCTGGCTTCTGCCTTGGTGTAGCTGGATAAGAAAAGTGAGGCAGAAGGCAAATATGCTTTGTCCCTATATTTTTTAGTACAAATTATTAAAATGATAGTAAAACAACTCACTTATTGGTTTTCACAGTCCAACACGGGCCGTGTGCAGCCGTCAAAACGAAAGCCACTGCCTCCCCTCCCACCCTCTGAGGTTGCTGAAGAGAAGATCCAAGTCAAGGCACTTTATGATTTTCTGCCCAGAGAACCCTGTAATTTAGCCTTAAGGAGAGCAGAAGAATACCTGATACTGGAGAAATACAATCCTCACTGGTGGAAGGCAAGAGACCGTTTGGGGTAAGACACTTACATGACTTAGTCAGTATCCAATTCTTCCAACACAAAGAAGACTACTTAGTGACTCAGGCTTATAACTCTTCCCTCTGCATGAAATGGAATCTGTCCCCTCTCCCCCAGGATGTGTGAGAGAATGAGAGAACAGTGATTTCAGGCAGAGTCTCAGAACCAGATACACCTGGCTTCACATCCTGATGCTGCCGCTTACTATTGTGTGTCCCCGGGCAAGTCACTTACCGTCTCTGAGTTTTTGTTTCTTTATTTGTACAATGGAAATAATAATTCTGACAATGTAGGTTCTTATTCTAATTTGTGCTTTCATTTGGGAATTTGTCAGTTTTTTCCTGTTAAGCTCTAAGGTAAGAACAGAAATAGTATTTTATTCACTTTTATGTTTCTAGAATGACTAGTTTTGAAAGCAAACATTGCAGTCGCTGCTGAATTAGATTAGAAAGAAAAAAGACCCTGGGATGCAGATAGGTTTCATTGTGCCAATTGCAACAGATGGTTAATGCCTGACTGGAGTCCTGAGTTGAGAAGAATTCTGAGGAATATCTGGACTTCCTGAGAGAGAAGGCTGGCATTGATTTCTGATATTTGCCAAGATTTGGAGATTTTAAGTATCTAAGTATTATAAGCATGTAAATTACATACCTCTCCAACTACATTTTCTCAATGATGTGGCTCTCTTAACAGTTCTCAACATGTGGTGGAGACTTTTCAGTGGAAAAAGAGGCATTAGTAGGTTCAGGACTGTGTAATTAGCCACACCTGCGGGTATACTATTGGCATGCCTCAGACTTAAAAATTGAATTTTTTATTTCACAGTAAGTGAATAGAGTTTTTAAAAATATATAATATGCAAACATTAATGTCAAAATTCTGCTTTGCCACTACCTCCAAACCCAAGTGTCTCCCCAAAAGTAAATACTATTATCCATTTTCAGATTATTTTCAGTATACTTACATGCACATATCAAAATATATGGTATTGTTTGTAGAATTCATTTACCTAAATCTTATCTTACTTTCTGCATGATTCTGCAACTTACTTTTATTTCTCAATAATATGTCTTGGAGATCTTTTTGTAATTTCAAATGTTGGTTAAGGTATAGGAAAAGTGAAACTTCTACCATGCTGATAGGTGTGTAAGTTGGTATATCCTCCTTTGAGGACAATTTGTTGCATATCCTGAAAGATGTACATATCCCGTGACTTAGCAATTCCCGTCTTTGCTATCTGTCTTTGAGAAATATTCTTCTGTACAAGAAGGCGTGTTCAAGGATTTCTTTACAGCGTTGCTTCTACTAGCAAAGTAGCTAAACTAGAATACCTATGCTATGGAATACTCCTCAGCAATTGAAAAGAATGAAGTCGATGTCTTTGTAATTGCTGTGTTTTTAACATAATCACTATGATATCAGATGATCATTTAAGTGCCCCTTTTTCTCTCTGAAAAGATTGTGGGGTCATAAAACCTCTTAAACTACTCACATTACAAGTTGGCATCTTAATACATTCCTTGTACAGAGATTTTTGTTGAGTTAGAAATAAAAAAACTTTTTTTTCTCCTTTTAACAATTTAATCAGTAAAATGAATTTGATTTCCCCCCTACATCCTTGAGGTTTTAAAAGGATTGTTGCCATGATAATGCCACAAACATGCCAAGCATTTTGATTTTTGCTTTTTCTTTTGTTGTAGGAATGAAGGCTTAATCCCAAGCAACTATGTGACTGAAAACAAAATAACTAATTTAGAAATATATGAGTAAGTCTTCTCCAAAATATAACCTATGAAAATCAGGGACATTTTGGCAGCTTGTAAGTATAGATACTGTTTTGGGTCTGTAGAAGGAAAAAAAAGTAACACATTTGACAGCGTTAATAATAAAGAGACGTTTGATCCTTATCATGGTTGATTCAGAAACTTCTTTTCCTTATACTTATTTTTGTTCTGTTTTGTATAGCCACTTTTTCTGTTTTAACAGTGACAGCCTGAACCCAAACACTCATCTGGCACTTATTTTACTATATATCTTAACTGGAAAATTTACTTTAAAAAATGACATTAAATTTTCAATGAGTGGTAAACTTAACCATATAGATAAAGTACTATATTTTGGCTTATGTTTTTATATGTTTTAGAAATAGCTGACGATAAGAACTAGGCTAATGCTGTAGTTTGGAAGAACTGTTTGGCATGTTCACTAGAGTTCCGCCTGAAATCTATTTTTGTTACAATTACAGATTTGGAAGATGGAGGAAATCTTAGCAATCACTTTTTTAGCCCCTCATTTTGCAGATGAGAAGACTGATAGATTACAGGTAGAGAACGGCCTGAGACTAGTCATATGTTTTTTATAAATTTAGATTTTCAGTTTGAGCATCTCCCCCTACCTTCATCCCACTTGGGCACTTATCTTAAAATTAGCATATGCTTCCACCAGGTGGCAGTAGGTAATATGCATTGAGGCATTAAGACAAGTGCTTCTCTGAGAACCAGGCAGCAAATACAATTGAATGAGAGAACCTCCTTGGTTGGTCTTGCTACTAATAAAGCCCACCTGGAGGCCTAACTCAGTACATCTCTCCTAAAACAAATTCGAATTCAAAAGCTTTGGTGGATAATGTAGACTTTATTGGAGGAGAGAAGGAGATGACTTCAGGACACATGACTCATCTACATTACTCTATGAGATTTCTCCAGTAGCTATTTCTGTTCTCTCTCCAGTCACTCTCCTCAGCTCCATCATAGGATCTCTTCTCTCTTTTCCCACCTTCACTTGGCCTCCTGTCTCTATTGGAGCCATTTAGCCCTTCCCGAGATTCTAATCTCCAGTAAATCAAAGTTCTCAGGTGACTGAACCCACCTTCCTTAGAAAACAGTTCCAAAGTGCTCACTTCGGCAGAGCATATACTAAAATTGGAATGATACAGAGAAGATTAGCATGGCAATTTTTAAAAATTGAAAACAAAAGAGGCCAGGCATGGTGGTTCATGCCTGTAACCGTAGCACTTTGGGAGACTGAGGTGGGAGAATTGCTTGAGCTCAGGAGTTCAAGACCATCCTGGGCAACATGGTGAGACCCTATCTCTATAAAAAAAGGACAGAAAAAAAAAAAAAGCAGTTCCACAGCTATCTACTCAAGAGCATGTCCTCATGAGGTCTCACTGCTATCCTGAGCTGAAGCTGACCAACAAAAACAGGCCTCTTGCAAAGCCAGGTCAGAGATTTTGTATGTATTTACAGATATTATATGAAAATCTCTTGCTCAGAAAAATTAGAAAAATGAGACTTTTTTTCATATAATTTGGATTTTACAAGCGATTAAAGGAGACATTTGTGAAAGTAGCTAACACAGTGCCTGGTGGTTAGTGAATGGACACTCACTACCTAGGAATGTTACTTTCCACCCTTTCATTATTCATTAATTTGCTCATTGATTACCCTGTTTAGACAAGGCCTAGGCTCTGGCTATAACAGCCTGTTTATACTGTGGATGTTGGATCATCTGAATTAAACTACTCTGGGGCTACAACTGCTACCTCATTTCCTTGGGCCTTGATTTATATATGTGTTTTTTTAAAAAATCATCCTTTTTAAAATGACTCCAATTATGAGAAAACTCATTTTTCATTTTATTGCTGTTTTTAAAAACAGCTTTATTAATATGTAGATAAAATAGCTATCATTATTGATCACTGAAATTTATTGATCACTATGTGCCAAGCACTGTTCTAATGACTGTACGAAAGTTACTGCCCTAGGTTGAAGTACTAGAGCATGTGTATAGAAATGGGAACAACCTGGGTCCAAATCCTGGCATCAGCACTGACTAGTGCTTTGGTTCTGGGCAGAGTTACCTAATGTCTCTAAACTTCTGAATGATCTGAAAAGCAGAGAAAATAGTATCTATTCTATCTGTTACATAATACATGTTCAATACATTCTAGTGATTATTATTATTTCATGAACTATGAAACTAACAGGAAAAACATTTACAGTTTGGGCTACCATGCCTGGTATTTACAGGCATTCAACACTCCTTCGTTACTTCAGTCCTCAAATCACCTTATTTGTTCCATCTGTATTTATTGTACACTTACGATGTACCAGATATAACAACCTGAAATATACAGTTATGGAACTTACAGTTCTTGGGGAAAAACAGACATTAAACAACCCTAAGTCCACAAATAAATGTACAATTTTATTTATTTATTTATTTATTTTTGAGACAGAGTCTCGCTCTGTCACCCAGGCTGGAGTGCAGTGTCGTGATCTCGGCTCACTGCAAGCTCTGCCTCCTGGGTTCACGCCATTCTCCTGCCTCAGCCTCCTGAGTAGCTGGGACTACAGGCGCCCGCCACCACGCCCGGTTTTTTTTTTTTTTTTTTTTTTTTTTAAGTAGAGACAGAGTTTCACGGTGTTAGCCAGGATGGTCTCAATCTCCTAACCCCGTGATCCGCCCGCCTCTACCTCCCAAAGTGCTGGGATTACAGGCGTGAGCCACCGCGCCCGGCCCATAAATGTACAATTTTAAATCGTAGTGTTATGATACACTGGAGCCTGGGGCGGGGGTTGGGGCGAGGGCGGCAAGGGGAGGGAGAGCATCAGGAAGAAGAGCTAATGGATGCTGGGCTTAATCCTAGGCGATGAGTTGATCTGTGCAGCAAACCACTGTGGCACACATCTACCTATGTAACAAACCTGAATATCCTGTACATGTACCCCGGAACTTAAAATAAAAGTTGAAGAAAAAAAATAAAATAAACTGTAGTGTTTTGAAGGAACAGTATTGGACGCTGTGGAAGAAAACAGGGCAGGGGATGTAATTCAGATGGGGGATGTTGGGTTGGCTCTGAGGAAGTGACTTGAGGTCTAAAGGTGGTAGCAGGTAGTGTGTGTTTTGGGGGGAGGGTGGGGTATGGTGGAAGGAATGCTGTGTCAATGTGGAGTTCTGATATTTCAGAGGAACCTTTGTGCATAGAAAGATTTATGGCTACTTTAAATGAATATCCGAATTATCAATATTACAATGGAAAAACCTAGTTTTCAGAAAGTCCTCAAATTCAACTTATAAAATTTGGTATACTATATATAAATCTAAAGAAGTAAGAACAATCAGCTTAATTCAAACTCAACATACTAGATATCCTTAAACAATCAGTCCTATTTATAAGCTCAGTTAATTAAATTTTTGGAAACTTTTAATTTGCATTAATAAACTGAATAAATTCAGTTTTCTTCCAAAGTACTTCACATGCCTGACAGGGCAAATTTACAATTGTAATAAGCCCTATGCAAGTCTTTAAATGATCCTGGAAATCTAATAAACTAAACTTATAAATGTGGGAAATCAAGTTCTTTTAACTGTACAAATATCATTTTAAAAACAAGTCAAATTATCTTCAACTTCGGATAACAAGTTTAAAATTAATTATGCCTTTTAAATCAGAGGCAAATATCTAATATGCCAGATTCTCTTAAAATAATAGATATTTTAAATACCAAACATATTGATTATTCCTGAACTTTACAGAAGCATGAGTTTCATTTATCTCATTATCTGTACACGGAATCCTTAATCTTCTCACAGTTAGAAAGTCATTTACTAAGAGAAGCAGATTTACATTCTCAGATCTAATGGGGTTTCTAGATCAAAAATTCAAGAACACAATACTGTTTACTTATAGAAATCTAAGATTGGGACATGAGACCAGAGGTGTTCACATAACATACAGGATGTTTCTACTCACCCATAGCTGGACGTGCTGGATTTAAAAAAAAATGTTCATAGGATTCCTGTCCCTAACTCCTTCATACACATCATTTGGTCTTAGTTGTAATCAATGTTGTCTAGGTCTAAGAGTTGTCTAAGAGTTACAGTTTTACTTACATATTAAAAAAAAAAAACCCTTCTAACTTTTATAATCTGATTTAAATAGATGAAATTCTGAAATACTGTGCTCTTGCCTCCTCTAAGTTCCATTCGTTCAATCTCTTTCCTGCCTGATAGAATTCTGAATTATTTTAAAAGATCTTGAATTTGTCACATACTTCTATCTGGCAATATTAGATTAAGTTTAAAACCTTCTTAAAAATCTTGTTTTTGAGTGCTTGCTTCGGCAGCACATATACTAAAAATTGGAACAATACAGAGAAGATTAGCATGTTCCCTGTGCAAGGATGACACACAAATTCATGAAGCATTAAAATTTTTTTAAAGTCTTGTTTTGAAATGAAAGCCTTTCAGTTTTCCTTTCTCTCTCTTTTGTTCTACCATTTTTTCTTTCTCCTTCCTGTACAACATTTGCTTACTGACTAGGTATTACCATATCAAACTGTATGTTTAGCTTACAGTATTAGTTAATTATGTTTACTGTGTGTACTTCTGATATTCTAAAGTCATTTAACTACATGTTTCATGCAGAGAAAAACAGCATGATTGGGGGCAGAAAAGGGGTTGGTGAATCTGAGGAAGGAAATAATTCCAATGAGACTGAAGCTTAGTGAGTGAGGGGAGACTCAGGAGAGAGATGAGGCGGGAGAGGGTGTTAGAGGCAAGTTCATGTATTGGTTGTTCCATGTATTCTGTTTTTTGATTTTTTAAAAATTTTATATTAGATCTAGAGGGTACACATGCAAGTTTTTTTTTATCAACAGTATATTGTGTAATGGTGGGTATTGGGTTTCTGGTGTACCCATCACCCAAATAGTGAACATTTTATCCAATAAGTCATTTTCCAACTCTCACCCCCACTTCCATCCTCCCTGCTTTGGGAGTTCCCAGTGTCCATTATTTCCATCTCTATGGCTATGTGTTCCCCCTGTTATCTCCCACTTGTAAGTGAGAACATCTACTAACTACTGACTATACTATGACGTAATATACTTAGGAGTGTCAGAAAAGTAAGAATGGGCTTTAATTTTTGGAAGGGGTAACAAAGCACCTATAAAAACATGTAAATAGGAAGTTTCTGAGAGGAAAGACAGAAATGAGTATTTTTTCAGTTTGTCTGCCAAAACTCAGTGTTTGTTCAAGATGATTTACCACATACCTTTCATGGAAATTTATAAGAAGTTAAATCATTCATAATGATATACTAAGTGTATATTGGAAGCTGAATTGAGATATGATAGAATAAACTAGATATTGATTTGAAAATAAAATTATTTTAAACTTAATTAACCCACAATAGTATATTATTGTTTATCTGAATTTAAAAAAACACTCAACTTTCTAAGCTCAGTTCTGAAGTAAGTTCTTAAAAATGAAGAAAATGAAGCACTTTTTTCTTAAAAAAATTGAATATAAAATTTAAAAATCATTTTTATTGCTTTTACAGGTGGTACCATAGAAACATTACCAGAAATCAGGCAGAACATCTATTGAGACAAGAGGTAATTCAATGTATTTGTGGACATTTTCAAAATCTCTGAGAAGTACTTATAAAGACTTTAACCAACTAAAAAAGTATATTATTTCTTGTCTTTTCTAGTTCTAAAATATCATTACATCCCAACTATATATTTTATGTGAAGTTGTAAATCAGATATATTTGTATTAGATCATGTTTTCCATCAACTTTCATTATAATTTCAGAAATACGTTTCTCCTGAAAGGCTTTCAGCTCCAACATAGGCAGACTCCTGCATTCACTCCAAGGTGCATTCTGCCAATGGACTCTCTCTCTCTCTCTCTCTCTATATATATATATAATATATATATTATATATATATATTATATATTATATATATAAAATATATATAATATATAATATTATATATTATATATATAATATATAATATTATATATTATATATATAATATATAATATTATATATTATATATATTATATATAATATTATATATTATATATATTATATATAATATTATATATTATATATATTATATATAATATTATATATTATATATATTATATATTATATTATATATTATATATATTATATATTATATTATATATTATATATATTATATATTATATTATATATTATATATATTATATATTATATTATATATTATATATATAAAATATATATTATATATAATATAATATATAATATATATATATATATTTTGAGACATGCTCTCGCTCTGTCACCCAGGCTGAAGTGCAGTGGCTCGATCACAGCTGACTGAAGTCTTGACCTCCTGGGCTTAAAGCTATCCTCCCACCTCAGCCCTCTGAGTAGCTGGGACTACAGGTATGCCACCATGCCTGGCTAGTTTCTTTGTATTTTTTATAGAGACAGGGTTTTGCCATGCTGCCCAACTGGTCTTGAACTACTGAGCTCAAGTGATCAGCCCGGCTTGGCCTCCCAAAGTGCTGAGATTACAGGTGTGAGCCACCACGCCCAGTCTGGAGTCCTGTATTTGAGTTGCTCATTATAACCTTTGCATCAAAGGCAGTCAAGTATAAACTTGATCCTCAGGAACTTAGGTTAGACTCATTAAAAACACAAACAAAGAAAAATACATGCTGCTGCAGTTTCTTTGTTCTTTGGAAACAAAGGAAAGAGTAGAATAGCCAAAATATGAAACTGAGATCAAAACTGCTCATTTAGGTCAAACCAACACAAAGCTGCCTATAGTTTAAATTTCCAACTGTCAGTAAACATTAACTGTGGGTAAAAGTAGAGTCAGAACTAGAAACTAGGTAAGAGTATGTGTGTCATTTTGCTCTGCTGTTGGATATTGAGGAAATCTAGAAATGCGAATGAGAAATAATCAGTTCTGTAACTCAAAACTCAATGCCAGTAATGGCTCAGGGTACAATGAAGACCTACTTCATAGCAGGGGCTATAGGCAGAGAATGAGGGACACAGGCCCATCCTCAGGTGACCACGGATGGAGGTTGGACAGGCCTCACTTGCTTGGAGGAAACTGAGTGTGGCAGAAAAT
Organism: Homo sapiens; assembly: GCF_000001405.40. Taxonomy (NCBI): domain Eukaryota; kingdom Metazoa; phylum Chordata; class Mammalia; order Primates; family Hominidae; genus Homo; species Homo sapiens. Next base: position 48,103,379 of record NC_000004.12, on the reverse strand, counting down.
ATGCTATTTTCCTGGTATGGTCACAGCAAATGGCCTTTTGTAAGGTGACATTAATAGGTCCAACACGGAGAAAAAAAATTTTATGACAGGTGGGCAGAACGAGAGAAGGAAAGTCCCAGAGGAGGTCCACAGTTATCACACTGGTCACAGGTAATATGGCCCAAATCACTGGGCTGTGCAGATTCAGTATAAGAGCTTCTGCATCTGACAAGAAGCCAGACAAGGCAAGGGTCTTATCTCTTTTCAGAGACTTGAACAGGGAATTATACGCACAGGCCCGCAACCCAGATATGGCAAATATTAAAACTTGGCCATGACATTTTAAAAATAAATAAAACATTACAGATACAGTTGAAGCCCACCCCCTTCATCTTTTTGGTCCTCTCTCATTCCCTAGAGGCAATCGCGGTAGAAGGGTATGTTCCTGTTTTGTCCATGTGTTTGTATTTTGATCATATATGCAGGCACATAAACAACCTATAACATTATTTTATTTATTTTACCATTTGACAGAAAGGAGATCATATGTATGTTGATTTTTTAGTTAAACATTATGTTTTCAAAGTACCGTTATGGGTACATATACTATAGATCAAATACATTCCTTTAACTGTGTATTAGCATATTTCATATGACTATATAAAATTGTATTCAATGTGGATAAACATTCAAAATGTTTCTGATTTGTTACTGTTACAAACAGTGCTGCAATGAATTTTCTTATAAATGTCATCTTGTACACAAGGGCGAGATGGAATTATGTGGTCACAGGGTATGTGCAGATTTAACATTATTAGATATTTTCAAAACATGATTCAAAACGGTTATACTAATTTACGCTCTTGTGGTGAATGAGATAAACTGGTTTCCAACATTCTTGCCAGCAGGTGGCAAGTAGTTTCACAGTTTTTTTTCAATTCATTGGGTGAGAAATTGTATACCTTCTCAAACATTTTCTTGATTACCAGTGCAACTGAGTTACTTTTGAAGTGTCTGTAGGCCAGTTGAGCTTACTCTTCAGTGACATGCCTGTCAATATTTTTTGTCCATTTTTCTATAGTGCTTGCCTTTTAAACTTGTAAGTCTATATTTAAAAAATACAGCTGGGGGTGGTGGCTTAAGCCTGTAATCCCAGCACTTCGGGAGGCCGAGGCGGGTGGATCACTTGAGGTCAGGAGTTTGAGACCAGACTGGCCAACATGATGAAACCCCGTCTCTCCTGAAAATACAAAAATTAGCCAGGCATGGTGGCGGGCGCCTCTAATCCCAGCTACTCAGGAGGCTGAGGCAGGAGAATCGCTTGAACCTGGGAGGTGGAGATTGCAGTGAGCCAAGATCATGCCACTGCACTCCAGCCTGGGTGACAGAGCGAGACTCCATCTCAAAAAAATAAATTAAAAAAATAAAAAATAAAAAAAGTAATATTTTGAATACCGATCTTTTCTGTCAGTTATATGTTGTAAATATATTCTGGTTTCTGGCTTTTAGGAGAACTTTATATTGTTTTCTTGCATAGAATTTAAAAAGGTTAATGTGGTCACATTTCTCAAATTTTCCTTTATTATCTGTGCTTTTTTTTTTTCTTAGTATAAGAAATTTTTCTTCCTCTTGAAGTAGTTAATGGATTTCTATCCTCTTTTAAATGTATTAAGGATTTGCTTTCCACATCTGGGTCTTTATCAGAAATGAGTGTGTATGTGTATATAAAGCATGGGATATTTAAAATATACATATTTTTTCTATGTATCTTAAAAATGTTTTTCTAATTTATATATTTTCTAATTTTTATTTTAAAAATACACCTGGATTAAATCCTACTTGTCATAAGGCATTTAAAATACATATTCTGGTTTGGGTTTCCTTATATTTTATTCAGCATTTATCCTGTTGTGTTCAAAAGGGACCCTGGCTTATAATTTTCTGTTCTCTTTGGTTTTAGTATAAAGGTTACATTAACATCATAAAATGAGTTAAGGGATGGGGCTTTGTCTGTCTTTCCAATCTCTGGAATAGTTTATATTGGTTGGTTAGCTACTATAACTGTCTTGTAACAGTCCAGATATGCTGCTTTTGCAAACAGGTAGATACATGACTACTGATTGAATTTCCTTTTCTTTTTGAAATGTTTGATAATTTATATTTACCTAGAGAATTGCCTATTTTAAATTTATTTTCAAATTTATTGCACAAACAATTCATGGCAATATCCTATAATTTTTATTTATTTCATATTTCAATAGTGAGTATGTTCACGTGGTTCAAAATCGAAAGATTTTGGAAAGTTTTCTTCCATCTTGTCTGCAAGCCACCAATTTCCCTACCCACAGAAAAACTACTATTAGTTTATTTTGTGTCCTTTCCAAGATATTTAATACATACACAAGTAAGTTCAAATATATTTTCTTGTTGTTACTTTTACACAAACGATAGCATACTATATACATTTTTATATATATATTTTTTTACATAAGGATATATATTTAGAATCTTTCCACATCAGTACACAAAACATGTCCTCCTTCATTTTATACCTGCATAGTGTTCTTTAGTTTGAGTATATCACAATTTTTAAAACCAATTCTTCATTATGAAAATTAAATAGTATACATTTCTTTTGCTGTTGAAACAATGCTACCATCCATAACCTATACACATATCTTTTCCCATTTATATGGGTTTGTAGGATAAATCCTCAAAGGTGCAAATTCTGGGTCAAATGAAATATACATTTCTAATTTTAACAGGTATTGAAATGTCCTCAGTAGGAGTTGTATCAATTTATATGCCTACCAGAAATGTAAGCGAGTCTGTTTTCCCATAACCTTTTCAGACAGCACTTTATAGAAAACATCTGGATCTTTGCTCTCTGACACCTCATCTCAGTGTGGATTTAATTTGCATTTCCTGTATTCTGGGAATGCTAAGCATTTTTTATATGCTAAATTTTATATGTCTGTATTTCCTTTTCTGTGAACTCTGTTCATATCCTTTGCATAGTTTTCTATTGGGTTTTTGATGTTTTTCTCAGAATTTGTAGGACCTATGAAGCTATATTAAGGAAATCAGCCCTTTGTGACATGTGGCATTATTTCCTGCAGTTTTTCTATTGTCTTATGGCCTTTTGGCCTGAAGACTATTAAAATTCTCATGTTTCTTGATCGCTTTAGTGGTTTTATTTTATGCATTTTTTTTTTTTTTTTTTTTTTTTGAGATGGAGTCTCTTTCTGTCGCCCAGGCGGGAGTGCTGTGGCGCGATCTCCGCTCACTGCAAGCTCCGCCTTCCGGGTTCACGCCATTCTCCTGCCTCAGCCTCCCGAGTAGCTGGGACTACAGGCGCCCGCCACTGCGCCCGGCTAATTTTTTGTATTTTTAGTAGAGACGGGGTTTCACCGTGGTCTCGATCTCCTGACCTCGTGATCCGCCCGCCTCGGCCTCCCAAAGTGCTGGGATTACAGGCGTGAGCCACCGCGCCCGGCCTATTTTACGCATTTTTATCTTTGATCCATTTGTAATTTTTCCTGATGTAAGGAGTGAGATATGGATCTGACTTTATTGTTTTCTGGATGGTTACCAAACATCCACCTTTCTGCACTGATTTGAGATACCACTGTCATAATAAACAAAATCCCTATTTTGGACTATATCTGGGCTTTCTACTTGGTTTTACTGATCAGTCCTCATAGAGGACTACTACACTGTTTTAAGTACAGAGGCTGTCTCTAGTGTGGCTAGCCTCCCTCATTATTCTTTTTCAGAAATATTCTGAATGTATTAATATATATTTTTTGTCCATATAAGCTTCAGAATCACCTTGTCTCATTTTAAAAAATCTTCCTGTTGGTTGGTTGCATTAAATGTACAGATTAATTTGGGAAAAAAATTTTCAGGCATTACAAATCAATGAGGTTTGGGGATCCATTTGTTCTAGAACCCATATATTGATATTCATATAGAAAAAAATTAAAATTAAATTCATGGCTCTTGGAAAAATAACCATAGGTATATTAAACACCTAATGAGAAAAGCAAACATTTTTGTATTCTTCAGGAGCATTTTAGAGTTTTCTTTGTACAACTTTTGCACATTTATTTTTAAGTTTATCTTAAAGTATTTCATCTTTTGTGTTGGTGTCATAAATGAGTGTATCTTGTT